>NC_000001.11:45917471-46220501 GCF_000001405.40 Homo sapiens
CTGAACCCACGAGCCCACAGCAGTCCTGGCACTCCTTGTTCCAGCCGCCCACTGCCGTGGAGGTAAGGAAACTTGCTGTGAATCTGGGCCTTGACAATTGCTTCTGGCCAAATGGTAAAACGCATACCTTACTCCTTAATAATGGGGAGAAATGGAGTAAGAGTCTTGGTTCTGTCACAGAGAAGAGTAAAATAAATATCACAGATTTCTGTTGTATTCAAAATGTCAGGAGAAAGGAGGGTAGGTTATCAGTACTTGGATTTTTGAGGCTATTATAAGTTGTGTGCCCATCCTGACCATTGGACAGCCTTGTGAACTATGACCTGTGACCACCCCATAGCATGGCAGAGTGCTAGAACTCTTAGGAGGTAAAAAAGTTCAAACCTCACATTTTACACGATGGGAAAATTTGAGTCCAAAACAAGTTAAATGGTTTGTTCAGGTTGAGGAAAATAGCCCTTCTCCCATTTCTTTCTGTCTTCCTTTTCTTATATTCAACATTATTTGATTACGTACTATCTGCTAGGACACTGTTTTGGGCATGGGAAACAAAGCAGTGAACATAAAGCAATAAAATCCCTGTCCTCAGGGAGCTTAGATTCTAGTGGAGAAAGAGAGACAAGTTAATGAGTAAATATGTAACATAACGGATAGACAGTGCTTCTGAGAAAAATAAAGTAGGATAAGAGAATGTAGAGGCCAGGGCTTGACATTTTATATAAGGTGGTCAGGTAGGTCCTCAGTGGTAAGTTGACATAAAAGACCTGAAGGAAGTCATAGAGCCTGAATGGAGATATCTGGAAGAAGAGTGTTCCAGGTGGAGGCAACATGAAGTGCCAGGGGCCTGATCTAGGAGCTTGCTCCATGTATTCTTTGTGCAACAGAGTCCAGTGATACTGGTACAGAATAAGTTAGGTGGTGAGTATTGGGAAATGAGGCCTGAAGTGTAGTGGGCAGCCAGATTAAACAATTTTGAGGCTTTTTGAGATAGAGTTTCGCTCTTGTCACCCAGGCTGGAGTGCAATGGCACAATCTCTCCTCACTGCAACTCTGCCTCCCAGGTTTAAGTGATTCTTCTGCCTCAGCCTCCCGAGTAGCTGGGATTACAGGCGGCTGCCCCCACACCCAGCTAATGTTTGTATTTTTGGTAGAGACAGGGTTTCACCATATTGACCAGGCTGATCTCAGACTCCTGACCTCAGGTTATCCACCCGCCTCGGCCTCCCAAAGCACTGGGATTACAGGCATGAGCCACCACTACTGGCCAGGACTTTTGTTTTTATGCTGGGTGAGATAAGTAGCCACTGGAAGGTTTAAATAAGAATGACATGATCTGACGTAGATCAAAAGATCACGCTGGGCTGGGCGCAGTGGCTTACACCTGTAATCCCAGCAGTTTGGGAGGCCGAGGTGAGCGGATTGCTTGAGTTCAAGACCACTCACAAGTTCGAGACCAGCCTGGGCAACATGGTGAAACCCCATCTCTACAAAAAATACAAAAATTAGCTGGGCATGGTGGCGCGTACCTGTAATCCCTGCTACTCTGGCGGCTGAGGTGGGAGGATGGCTTGAGCCTGGGAGGTGGAGGTTGCAGTGAGCTGAGATCATACCACTGCACTCCAGCCTTGGAGCCAGACCTTGTCAAAAAAACAAAAACTAACAAAAAAACACACTCTGGTTATAGTTAGAAGGCCACTAGGTAAGAGACAATGGTTATTTGAACCCATGATGATTCAGATAAGAAGTGGTCAGATTTGGGGATTATTTTAAAGGTAGAATTGATAGAGGAGGAAGAGATATCCAAGGATTGAGCTCTGGGGCAAGTTTTAGAGGTTGGGGCGATAGTGAGGAATTAGACTAAAATGAATTAGCTATTCATTCAGGAACAAGGACTAGGAGAAGTATCTTAGAAGCCAGTTGAAAAAAAAATGTTAAAAAAGGAAAGCGTGATTGATCAGTAGGTATTTGTTAAGCTTTTTGTTAGAGAATAGTAACCTGAAAAACTAAAAGTTTAAGTGAAACACAATGTATCACACAGATTTAAGTGACATTATTTGATACAGGAGCTTAAATTCCACAGACAGTTTGGGACAGTGATAGACTGACATAGGACAATGTTAGAGGCTAACTTCTCTCTGAAGGCACCTCTTCTAGACGTACTAGCGCTTGGCGTATGAGGCTGAGAAAGATTGTAAGTTGGGTAGCCCCCAAGATGTACCCAGTCCTGGCACATGGTTTTGAGTATCTCTTGATGACTATGGTCTCAGAACACACAACCTGGAGCAACATCTTACAGCTTTGGAGCTTGTTAAATTTCATGTTTTTTTTTTTTTTTTTCATAGACTTACTAACATGTGTGGTCACTGTATTAGTGCTTCATTCCATTCTTCTTTTGTATCCATGCCATGCAAAGTGCCAGTTCATTGATATGACAAGATTATTTTAGCTTGTTGTTTGCTAGATATTTTTATATTCCTTTAAACATTCTTGAGAATCTGGGATGCAGTTATTTAGAAATTGTTTGATCCTTTGAAGGAATACTTTCAGGCTTTGTTTGGTGAGACCAGGGCAGCACTTGAGGCTAATTTTTTCTTACTACTGAGGCAATACTTTGAGTACTCTATTTGATGCCCATGTATTGTGAGTTTTTTCCACTCAGGCTGATGGGAGCATGAACGATTCTGGGTCCTTAGTGAGCCCTGAAGAGGGTACCTGCTCATGTTCTTGGATAGTTTCCTTATCCACATATGCTGATAGATATTCAGCTAAAAACTCAGAGGAAGCCCCTGCAGATCTCCAGAGTTCCCCTCTGTATATCTGTCTTCTCTGGTACCCTGCTTTGAAAATTCTAGCCACCTTAGCCTCCCCAAGTTCTCAACTCTGTCTTCTCAACTCAGGGAGACTGCTGGACTCTGTTTGAGTACCCCCTTTTGCTGCTTCCTAGGCATGCAGTCTTAGGGCTTATTTTGCATGTTTCCCATCGGTCCAGTGTCTGCAAACTATTGTTTCATATATTTCATCTAATTTTTTTGTTTTTAAGGTGCAAGGGTAAATCTGATCTCTGATTCCCCATAATGATGAGAAGCAGAAGTCTAGTCTTGCTAATATTTTGAGCTCATGCTTCTGTCATTAGTTGTTCTTATTGCTTTATGAGATTATTGGTTGACTGATTCACGTTGCATAAGCCCAATAGAAGCAGATTATTTTAAAATTATTTTATCTTCCTTAGTCAAGAAAAGTTGGAAAATGTAATGTCAAAAGAATAAGAATAGGTAACATTTGCTGAGCATTTACTATGTCTTAACATTTTTAAAATGACTTACATTTGTTAAATTTAATTCTCAAAATACTCTGATGAGGTGGGTGACACATGTTCATTTTTTTTTCGATGAGGTGGATAATCTGAGTAAATCTGTTTTATAGATGAAGACACTGTAGTACAGAGAAGTTAAGGAAGTTATTAATAAGTAGTAGAAACTACCATTCAACCCCACAGTATCTTACTCCAATGTCTGTGGTGTTTTTTGTTTGTTTGTTTGTTTGAGACGGAGTCTCACTCTGTCACCCAGGCTGGAGTGCAGTGGCGCAATCTCGGCTCACTGCAAGCTCCATCTCCCGGGTTCAAGCAGTTCTCCTGCCTCAGCCTCCTGAGTAGCTAGGATTACAGGCGACCGCCACCACGCCCAGCTAATTTTTGTATTTTTAGTAGAGACGGGGTTTCACCACGTTGGTCAGGCTGGTCTCAAACCCCTGACCTCGTGATTCACCCACCTCGGACTCCCAAAGTGCTGGGATTACAGGTGTGAGCCACCGTGCCCAGCCTATGTCTGTGGTCTTAACCCCTCAGCTGTTGTTACGGGATCCTGGGAGGTGTTGCTTTTCTAGCTAGAAACCTCTGTGGCTGGTGACGCTTTTGCCTGAGCTTTGTTTGCTCAGGCCTGCTGGGCCCAGTTGGCCCAGCAGGCTGCACTTGCCTCAAGCTACCAGCCTGGATCCCATGCCTCCAAAGAGACTGGAGCGGAATAGTGAAGGGTGTGTGGCAAGTGAGCATAGGGTCCGGCCACTGCACGCAGTCAGGCATGCCAACTGCTGCAGCAGGGCAGCTAGCTCCAAGGGCTGGCATGGGTGCTAGCTCACTGTGAGGCTGCATCGGGACCAGGCGCCACGCAAGCAACTTCCACAGCTGGCACAAGGGAACGCGGTGGTGCCCAGAAACTTGGAGACTTTAGGAGCCACCAGGCCCCAAAGCAGGAGTCACAGCTCAGGCTCGGGGAGCTCTCAGGTCTGGTCTCTCCAAAGGGCTGCAGCTCTTCTCTCCTTCTCTCTTCTCTCCTTCTTGTCGCCCACAATGTGTTGAGCAAGGGGCATGTTTCAGCTCTGTTTGTATTACAGCTCTTTTGGCCCTGCCATTCGGTGGGTCCCGAGTTCTTGTCCTGCATCCAAAAGGAATGAGGTACACAGACAAATATAGGGTGAGCAAGACAAAGGGGAACTTTATTGAGTGATATAATAGCTTAGAGGGGACCCGCAGTGGGTAGCTCCTATCTGTAGGCAGGTCCTCCCGTTGAGTGTTCAGCTCTCAGCAGAGAGGAGGTCCTGGAGTGGGTGGCTCCTTTCTGCAGGCAGGTGGTCCCATTATCTCCCTATGGTCCCTCCCTCCTCTCCCCAAGCCTGGCTGAGTCCAGGGGCTTTTATGGGCCTCAGAGGGGAGGAAGTGCATGCTGGTTGGTCCATGGGCGGCCATGGGTGGGCCCAGGGAAAAGCACCACAAGTTGCCCTTGCGGTTTCTGGGACTGGCGACCCATCCCCCAGGCTTCAGGCTTTCCCTGGCTTGGAGGTGGGTCTTCACTGTGGACCAGCTTCTCTCCACCCAGGAGCCTGTCTGCCTCCTGCTGCTGTTCATGGTGACCAGGCTGTTCATGCTAAGGGGTGCCTGCAGGCCAGCACTGGGCTGTCCTCAGTGCACCCCTCAGCCTCCTTCCCATGCTTGTCAGTGCCCAAAGCCTGGAGGGGGCCAAAGTGGCAAGGGGGTTGGCATGTCAGCACTACCCCGAGCATGTGCACACTCAGCTGGGCTGTGACAGCTCCCGGGCTGGGTCCCAACTTTGCTCCGAGGTTGGAGTAGGCACTGACAGAGGGGAGAAGCCAGGTAGCGGGAGCGGACGATTCTGAGCCTGCGAGGGGCAGGGGCCTTCCTAGGCCCGAGAGTTCAGAGATGCCTGGGTCTGAAGCTGCAGCAGGGCGGTGGTGGCTGCACCTGGGGGGCTCCCACCCCACCAACTCGGAAGGGGTGGGGCTCCCACTTTTCCCTGGCTCCCACCGACTCTGTAGAGCATGCAGCCCCAGCTCCATCTCCTAGCAGTCTTGGGCAAGGGCTCCAGGTCTGATGCATTGTCCTGGGCCAGGTGCTGGGCTGCTCCAACGCATCGAGTCTGGTGCTCCTGGTGGTGACCGTGCCAGTTGTTTACATGGTGATCTGCTCCATGGGGCTGGTGAACAATGTGGGCATGCTGTACTTGCTGCTGTGGGGTGCCGCTTTCACTTCCTACCCTGGGCCCCTGAAGCATGGCCCCAGCTCTGTGTCTCGGGCCAGACCTCTGTGCCCCATGTGCAAGCACGGGACCACCCTGGGCCCAGCTCTGCCCTAGTGCCCCTCTCTGCCTGTTCCTCTGTGCACTTCTCTCCCACTGGCGGACGGCTCAGCTCAGCCTGGCCCAATTGTGGCAGTTCCCAGGGGTGGGTTCCCAGGGCAGTGGGCCTGTAGGGGGGCTTCCAAAGGAGGGTTCCAGGGACTGTCCACCTTGGCGTCTGCACCGGAAGACCCGTGTCCTGCATCTGTACCCCACTGCAGCCGGCGTCATGGCAGTGACTGCTTCATGGCAGTGACGGGCTGCCACTGCCATCACTGTAATGTTTCTGATGAACCATATGCAATCGAGAATTTATTTAATAAATTTACAAACTCTGAGCACTTACTAGCTCCCAGGCACTGTTCTTAGCACTTTAAAATGTAAAGGTCATTTGCTTCTCACACCAGTTCTGTGAGAGAGATTATCATTGTACTTATTTCACACAGGAAGCGAGGGTGCAGAGAGATTAAATAAATTGCTCAGGATAACACAGCTGTATAAGTGGCAGAACTGGGATAGAAACCTGGGTAGTCTGGCTTCAGAGATCACATTCTTAACAACCACACTGTTCCATGTCTCCATCTGAGATATTTTCATTATGTAATATCATACGTTCTGAACCAAAGTAGTTTTTGCAGCCTTGGGTCTTTTCCCAAGGTGATGTATTAATAACATTGTTTAATAAATCCTCCAATCCTGGGGGTGGGAATTGGTATTCCCACAGTCTGTTGTCACTTCTAGGTCATTACCTTTATTACCTTCTTGTAAAAACCTCTGTTCTTTTTTTTGAGACAAGTTCTCACTCTGTCACCTAGGCTGGAGTGCAGTAGCATGATCTCGGCTTACTGCAACCTCTGCTTCCCAGTTTCAAGCAATTCTCCTGCCTCAGCCTCCCCAGTAGCTGGGATTACAGACACCCGCCACCACACCTGGCTAATTTTTGTATTTTTAGTAGAGACTGGGTTTCATCATGTTGGCAAGGCTGGTCTCAAACTCCTGACAAGTGACCTGCCCACTTCAGCCTCCCAAAGTGCTGGGATTACAGGCATGAGCCACCACACTCGGCAAAAAAATCCCTCTGTTTTTTTAGGCCTGTATCATTCCATTTTACCCCTGCTCATTACTGTCATCTATTAATTTAGTTTTGTTCTCTGTACTCAAATTCACAGTCCAGAACAGAATCTGTGCTTAGTGAAAACGGTGATGAACCTCCATTCTGCAACATCTTTATGATGAACCTCTCTTACTCAATTTATTAAGCAAATTAGCAAGTAAAGTAGAAAGATGAGAAAAATGGTTCCAGTAAACAATGTGCATAAGTGAAGAACTGAAAATTGAGTGCTACTGGCAGTGAATTTGACTCTGAGTTCCAGAAGAGAGGGAACTAGGAGGGGGGACTTCCAGGGGCGGGTTCCAGGGACTGCCCACCTTGGCATCTGCACCTGAGGACCCGTAGCCTGCTCCTGTACCCCACTGCAGCCAGAGTCATGTCAGTGGCCATATTAGGATGTCTTTTTTATCTCTCTTTTTTTAATTTGATGAGTATAACTATTATAGGCTGAATTATGTTCTACTAAAATTTGTATAGGTTGAAGTCCTAACCCCTAGTAACTCAGAACGTCACTGTATTTGGAGACAGGATCTTTAAAGGGGCAATTAAGGTTAAATGAAGTCTTTGAGATAGATCCTAATCCAGTATGACTTGTGTCCTTACGAGAAGAGGGGATTAGGACACAGACAAGCACAGAGGGAAGGCCATGCAAAGACAAAGGGAGGTAGCCATTTAGAATCCAAGGAATGAGGTCATAGAAGAAACCAACCCTGCTAATGCCCTTATCTTGGACTTCTAGCCTGAACTATGAGGAAATAAATTTCTGTTGGTTAAGTCACCCAGTTTGTGATACTTGGTTATGTATGGCAACCCTAGTAAACCAACACAGCTATTGAGGCATTTGGCTGCATTGCCCCAGAGTTGGAAAACAGTGTCCCCTTGCATCATAGTGTAGTGAGGACTAGCCCTGCTTAAGGTCTTAAGCCTCTTTATTGACTGTATCTTAGGGATGGTCTTAGGACCTTACAAATTGTTGCCCGTAATAATTTGAAGGACAATGAAGATACAGTCTTGAAATGATACCCACTCTAGCTCTGTAATACATTGCGTTTTATGCCTTGATTGGAAGGAATGAGTCTGTTATAAACAAACGTTGATGCTAGCTCTTAAGTGTCTCAGATGGGTATGATGAACCTTAAGAGGCATAATAAATTTCATTGTGATTTGGGTTAAATTAAATAACCACTAACCTTTACTCCATTTGCATGTCTTCTAAGAAAATGATTCCAGAGTATTGATTGGCACTCAGATGGGGGTGTTGCATTTTTAGAGTAAGAGTGCTAGATTGACTTTGTGTTGTAAGTGGTGTCCTTGAAGAGAGGAGGCAGTTGTGTCTCTGGCTATTCACTGGCCCAGCTGTAGGCCTGCTGGAGAGAGAAGTTTGATGTTAACAGCTTAATGGAACACAGAATGACTTAGGTTTTGAATCAGTTTTGAATTGCCATAGACTTTGTCAGCCCTGAAGTAGGAGGGCTTGCAGCAGGAAATCCTTACTAGAGTGATTTTTATATTGGAAGCATTCTAGCTTTATCTTGCTTCCTACTGCATAGGAATTTCTTCCATACAATGTCTAGCAAAAAGCTATTCAGCCTTTGCTTGAACATCTTCAGCAACAAGCAGTTCACTCTCAAAGCTTTCATCCAGTGGTACCAATTTAGTTCTCTGGCACCTCCTATGTCACACGTATGAGAGACTTTTGGTAGACTTGCGTGGCAAATGGACAGGTGTTCCTTTGGGCCTCCTCCAGAACTAGGCAACCTTTGAAACCCCTTTTTGGTAGTGTCAAAATTATTTCCTGCCAAAGAGAAAGCACTATTTTCATTTTACCAACACCTGCTTTTCTTGTCTTGTCTTTTTTTAAACAACTGCTTTTCAGAGTAATTTCAAAAGAGGAACATCTCCCAGAACTTGTTCTTATCCTGGCCCTGCTGCATAGTGGTGGTAGGCAGATTACTTCACTTCTTTCTACCTCAGTTCTCTTCATTATTAAAATGGGACTCACAATAGTATTTCAAGGATTATAGTAAGAATTAAGTGAGTCAGTACATCTACAATTGTTTAGATATTACCTGGGCTGCTAGACTGGTTATTTTGCTGCTTCCATTGTTGGGAGACTCAGATGTTGCTAATTCTTAGCACTTCATTTTGCTTCCATTACTTTTTTCTTTGCTTCTATTACTTTTCTCATATTCTTATTTTCCCTTGGATATATTGCCTACCATATGTCCATACTGCAGAAGCTCCATTACTGGCTTAGGTGAGGCAGTGGCAGCTGGGTGCCCTCCTGCCCTCTCATGCATTCTCACTAATTGTTTCTGCTGAAAACTGGCCTGTTGGGGCTCAGCAGGACATGGACTGAAATGAAAAACACTTTGAATTACATTCTTTCTAAAAGACCATTTTTTGGCAATGAGGAAAGTCCATCAAAACGGTTTCAAGGTATTTCATTTCTCCTCTTACAGCAGGGAAAGCGCATCTTGAGAGTATCTTCAGAAGAAGTGATTCTCTTGTTAGAGTAGGGAAGGTTTTTTGATTTTTTTTTTTTGTTTTTTCATTGAAAAGGTAAAATAATGAAGACTAGTGCTGTGCTTTAACTTCAGGAACCCTTATATGCGACAGATAGTTTTTCATAGACCCTGGCTCCAGGTGACCCTGAATGAAGATATAATCCTGTATGGCTAGATGCCAAATGGTTGCTCTTGCCTATCAGGGGACCTGTCCCGATAATCATGTAGGTTCTTTTATATTTTTCCTAAGCGTCGGCTGGCTTGAGAAATAAAGGGACAGAGTACAAAAGAGAGAAATTTTAAAGCTGGGTGTCCGGGGGAGACATCACACGTTGGTAGGATCCGTGATGCCCCACAAGCCACAAAAACCAGCAAGTTTTTATTAGGGATTTTCAAAAGGGGAGGGAGTGTGCGAATAGGTGTGGGTGACAGACATCAAGTACTTAACAGGGTAATAGAATATCACAAGGCAAGTGGAGGCAGGGCGAGATCACAGGACCACAGGACCGAGGCGAAATTAAAATTGCTAATGAAATTTCGGGCACTATTGTCATTGATAACATCTTATCAGGAGATAGAGTTTTGAGATCAACCGGTCTGACCACAATTTATTAGGCGGGAATTTCCTCTTCCTAATAAGCCTGGGAGCGCTATGGGAGACTGGGGTCTATTTCACCCCTGCAGCCTCAACCATAAGAGACAGGCCACGCCCAGGGGGGCTGTTTATAAGCCAATACCTCCAGGCGCGTATTCTCTTTCTCAGGGACGTTCCATGCTGAGAATAAGAATTCAGCGATATTTCTCCCATTTGCTTTTGAAAGAAGAGAAATACGGCTCTGTTCTGCCTGACTCACCGGCGGTCAGAGTTTAAGGTTCTCTCTCTTATTCCCTGAACAATTGCTGTTATCCTGTTCTTTTTTCAAGGTGCTCAGATTTCATATTGCTCAAACACATGCTGTATAATTTGTGCAGTTAACACAGTTATCACATGGTCCTGAAGCGACATGCATCCTTTTCAGCTGACAGGATTAAGAGATTAAAGTATAAAGACAGGCATAGGAAAGCACAGGGGTATTGATTGGGGAAGTGATAAGTGTCCATGAAATCTTTACAATTTATGTTTAGAGATTGCAGTAAAGACAGGCATAAGAAATTACAAAAGTATTAATTTGGGGAACTAATAAATGTCCATAAAATCTTCACAATCCATGTTCTTCTGCCATGGCTTCAGCCGGTCCCTCTGTTTGGGGTCCCTGACTTCCTGCAATACTTGCCTAAGAGCAGGAAGCTGAAGCTTTCTAGGATACTTCTGTTTCTAGAACTAGGAAAATTTTATTTACTAAATTTTACATTGTGTTATGGAAAAATCTCAAAAATGTTCAAAAGTAGAAAGACTCATACTACATCCCCAGTATCGTCTACATTGTCAGCTCATGGTATACTATCTCATCTACATCCCCACCTATTTTCTTTCTCTGTCTCTCTTGCTTATTTTGAAGCAAATCTCAAATTTTATGTCATTTCATCTATACATATTTGTATCTCTAAATGTAAGGACTCCTGAAAAATGTAATCACAGTATTATTACCACACCTAAAACAATAGTTTATCAATGTAATCAAATATCCAGTTTATGTTCAAATTTTTTTTGCAGTTGGTTTTTTGGAATCAGTAGCCAAACTATGTCAGCACAGTGTATTTGGTTAATACATCTCTTAAGTAGGGTGGTGATACAATTTAGTGTCTAAACTAGGAAATTTTATATAATGAAAGAGGATTGTTAATATTACTGGGACAACAGACATAAACCTGTTAAATAAAATAATTGGGATGTCTGATCACTCTTTCTTTTTTTTTTTTTCTTTTCTTTTTTTCCTTTTGAGACAGAGTCTCTCTCTATTGCCCAGGCTGGAGTGCAGTGGCACAATCACAGCTCACTGCAACCTTGAACTCCAGGCTCAAACAATCCTCCAACCTCAGCCTCCCAAGTAGTTGGGACTACAGACATGCACCAGAAGCCTGGCTAATTTTTTCTATTTTTTGTAGAGATAGGGTCTTGCCGTGTTGCCCAGGCTGTACTGCAAAGTTTATTTTAATCTAGGGTGTTCTCACCTTTTTTTTTTTCCTTGCAATTTATTTGTTGCAGAAACCGAGTTGTTTGTTCTTGTAGACTTTCCCACATTCTGGATTTTGCTGATTGCATCCTTCAGAGGTTTTTTTCTGACATGTTCTTATGAGCTCTGTATTTCCTATAAACTGGGGGCTTGACCTGATTGTGGTTTGGTTGGGTTGAGGGGGTGGGAAGAATACTTAACAGTTGGTTCAGTGTATATCTGTCAGGAGGCGGGTAATGTCAAGTCTCTCCCTTGTTTTGTTAGTAGTGGCCATTGATAATTATCACCTAGATTCATTATTTTCTTAGGAGTTTGCAAAAGATGATTCTCCTTCCCTTTATTAACTACAGTACTTACACAAAAGAATTTTCTCCTCATTATCTGTTTTTTTTTACCCTGAAGTACAGATAATTACCCTTATTCGCATTGACTCAGCTTAGACTCTTTCCTGAGTCTTCAGCCTAAAGCCTGAGTGTCCTCAGTTCCTTGGTCAGTGTTTCATACCTGCTTATTACTGCTTCGTTGTGAAGATTGTTTGCCCAGAGCAGCAGGGGGGGAGTTGTTGGTGGTGAAGCCCCTTGGAGTTTGCCATTTACATAGCTAACTGATTGCTCAGCTGAGGAAAACCTTGGCTTCCTCTTCTGGCCCACGTAGAAAGAGGAATTATCTGTAGTAGTCATGCTTGTTATGTAGACTCTGGGACTCTGAGAGGTGAGAATGCATCTAGAAGGCAGCAGCTTTTCTTTCATGTCCCTAGATGCCACAAGAGGAGGAGCCATTGCTGATCCTGATGGCCTCATTTTGGTAGATAGGATGGGCTTAGGGCTAGAGAGTCCTGCTGTTAAGAAACTAGCATACTGGAGTAGTCAGAGAAACGATTAATTTACAATAATAGATCCTTGACACAGAAGAATTAATTTTCATGGCTTTGTTTGTTAATATATACATATGTGTGTGTAAATAGATGGATTTTTTTTTTTGGAGGGCTATCTTCAGGATAAATTACTAGAACTGGGATAGCTGAGTCAAAAATTAAATGTATATGTAGTTTTATTAGATATTGTCCAGTTTCCCTTCACAGTCTATGGTTATACTATTTTACATTTCCATCAGCAGTTTAAGATAATGTCTATTTGCACACAGCCTTGCCAACAATATGATTGTCAAGCTTTTGAATTTTTGCTAATCTGAGAGCTAAAAAATGGTATCTCAATGTAGCCAAGTAAAAAGTCATATTAAAATATTCCTAAAGGATGAAGTTTGTTTTGAGGGGGGATGGAATTTCTCTGTCGCCCAGGCTGGAGTGCGCGATCTCAGCTCACTGCATCCTCCGCCTCCAGGTTTAAGCAATTCTCTGCCTCAGTCTCCCCAGTAGCTGAGATTACAGGCACCCACCACCACGCCTGGCTAATTTTTTTTGTATTTTTAGTAGAGACGGGGTTTCACCATCTTGGCCAGGCTGATCTTGAACTCCTGACCTCATGATCTACCCGCCTTGGCCTCCCAAAGTGCTGGGATTACAGATGTGAGCCACCGCGCCTGGCCTGTTTTTTGTTTTTTTTGTTTTGTTTTGTTTTGTTTTGTTTTGTTTTGTTTATCTTATGTGAAGGGAATCAGTTTCCTGTCCTGGGAAATTGAGATAGATGCATTCATTCATTCATTCATTCATACATTCAACTGCATACTAGGCCCTCTGAGCAGGAGAAGATGCCCACATAGGCAATAGAACACTTCGCAGCACGGGGTAGAGTAAAAGGGATGCTTTTTATTTCATAAGCTTTCAGCCTTATTCACCCCTATTCAGTCATTCCCAGAACTTTTCAAGTGATTTCTCTGGATGTTAGCAGAAATATTTTTTTAATGTCAAAATTCCAAGAATAGTTCAAAGAGCTTTTCACCCCCCAAACCAGGGGTCAGCAAAATAAACCCCATGAACCAAATGTGACCTGTGGGCTGTGTTTATACAAGCCACAAGCTAATAATGAAGTTTACATTTTTTAAGGGATATTTACAAAAAACAAGGAATATGTGACAGAGACCACATGTGACCTGCAAAGCCTAAAATACTTATTATCTGGCCTTTACAGAAAAAGTTTGACAGCCCTTGTCCTAACCCATACTGAATTAGCTCCTGATATGTTATCTCATCAGCCCTGAACACTTTAGTGTATACTTCCTACAGAGACATTTTCATAACAGTACAGCCATTAAAATCAGAAAATTAACATTAATAAATATTACCATCTAATCTACAAGTTTAATTCATATTTCACCAAATGTCCCAGTAATATCCTTTGTAACAGAAGGCTCCGATCCAGGATCATGTGTTAGAATTTTACTGTTATTCGTCTTCTATCTCCTTTAATCTGATGCAGTTTTGTAGTTATTTCCTCAACTTTTATAACCTCAATACTTTTGAAGATTACAGACCAGTTTATTTGATAGGATGTCCTTTAATTTGAATTTGTCTGTTATTTCCTCAGGATTAGAATCAGGTTATGAACCTTTGGCAGAAATATCACAAAAAGGTGGTATTGTGTTCTGTTTTTTTTTTTTTTTTTTTTTTGAGATAGAGTCTTGCTCTGTTGCCCAGGCTGGAATGCAGTGGCACAGTCACTACCTCCTGGGCTCAAGTGATCTTCCCACCCCAGCCTCTTTTGTTGTTTTTGTTTTTTTGAGAGTGTCTCGCTCTGTCACCCAGGCTGGAGTGCAGTGGCATGATCTGGGCTCACTGCAACCTCCACCTCCCGGGTTCAAGCGATTCTCCTGTCTCAGCATCCTGAGTAGCTGGGACTACAGGCGCCCGCCACCACACCTGGCTAATTTTTGTGTTTTTTTTTAGTAGAGACAGGACTTCACCATATTGGTGAAACTAGTCTCGAACTCCTGACCTCAGGTGATCCGCCCACCTCAGCCTCCCAAAGTGCTGGGATTACAGGTGTGAGCCACCATGCCCAGTCCCACCCCAGCCTCTTGAGGAGAGTAGCTGGAAATACAGGCATACACTACCATGCCTGGCTAAGTTTTAAAAAATTTTTTTAGAGACAGGGTCTTGCTGTGTTGCCTAGGCTGGTCTTGAACTCCTGGGTTCAGGTAATCCTCCTGCCTCGGCCTCCCAAAGGGCTGGGATTACAGGCGTGAGCTACTGCACCCAGCAATGTTGTGTTCTTCTCATTGTGTCCTGTTAGGTGATACAGGCTTTCGTTTTGTCCCATTACTATGAAGTTAACCTTGATCACTTTATTAACGTGGTGTTTTGCTGCTGTAAAGTTTTGCTGCTGTGAAGTTACTCTTTTTTTCCCTTTGTAATTAATAAGTATTTTATGGGAATGTTCTTAAAATTATGTAAGTACCCCATTCCTCATCAAATTTTAACCCTCTGTTTTTAGGATCCATTGATGTTCCTGGTTGCATTATTATACTATGCTGGTCACCAAATGGTATTTTTACAATTTCATAATTCTTTCTATACCCATCAGTTGGCATTTCACCATAGCAAAAGCTTTCACCTCTCCCTATTCATTTTTCACTTACTTTATTATACTGTATAAATTCAGTGGACTTTTGACTGGGCGCTGTGGCTCACACCTGTAATCCCAGCACTTTGAGGTGGGTGGATCACTTGAGGTCAGGAGTTCAAGACCAGCCTGGCCAACGTGGTGAAACCCTGTCTGTACTAAAAATGCAAAACTAGCCAGGCGTGGTGGCTCACGCCTGTAATCCCAGCTACATGGGAGGCTGAGGCACGAGAATCGCTTGAACCCAGGAGGCGGAGGTTGTAGTGAGCCAAGATCGCACCACTGCACTCTGGCCTGGGAGACAGAGTGAGACTCTGTCTTTCAACTGCCCCCTCCCCACTCCAAAAAAAATTTAGTGGATTTGTCTTATTTGATGGGTTATATAATCTGTTAATACCATTTTAGTTTTGATGCTCAAAATTGTATCATATCTGGTCAAGGGAAGTTTCTTCAGGCTGACTTTTGTGTCTTTTTGATGTCTCTGTCATTCTTTGAGAACTACGTAACTTTCTGCCCTGAGAAGATATTCCTGGCTGGCTTATTTTGTACCCTCACTAGCCCTTGAGCTTTTTCTCTAGGCAGCATAGTTCTTTTTAGTGGAGAATGCTTTTTAAAAGCCAAAATATGAATCAGGCATGGTATAATCCCAGCACTTTAGGGGGCTGAGGAGTTCAAGACCAGCCTGAGCAACTTAGTGAGACCCCATTTCTTTAAAAAAAAAAAAAAAAAAAAAAAAAGGCCAAGTGTGGTGGCACATGCCTGTAGTCCCAGCTACTCAGGAGGATCATTTAAGCCCAGGAGTTCAAGGTTGCAGTGAGTTATGATCACATCACTGTACTCCAGCCTGGGCAACAGAGCAAGACCCTGTCTCTTTAAAAAAAAAAAGCGGGGGGGTTGGGGGGGGCAAATGTTGATGGTAGACATGGTTGCCCATACTTAGGTTCACTGCTCCCGGGAAATGTATACATGTAACACACATGTATTTATTTCTTAATTTCTGTTATTGAAAACTATAAGCTCACACTGATACCTCCACTTCTAATTCTAGTTTGGTTCTAGTTTTTGTTTTTATATTTGTAACTTCCTTCTTTGAAAGTGAGAACTCTGGCCGGGCACGGTGGCTCACGCCTTTAATCCTAGCACTTTGGGAAGCCAAGGCAGGTAGGTCATCTGAGGTCAGGAGTTTGAGACCAGCCTGGCTGACATGGTGAAAACCCGTCTCTACTAAAAATGCAAAAAAAAAAAAAAAAAAATTAGCTGGGCATGGTGGTGGGCACCTGTAATCCCAGCTACTCGGGAGGCTGAGGCAGGAGAATTGCTTGAACCTGGGAGGCGGAGGTTGCAGTGAGCCAAGATCGTGCCATTGCACTCTAGCCTGGGCAACAAGAGCAAAAACTCAGTCTCAAAAAAAAAGAGAAAGTGAGAACTCTGACCCCCCATTACCCTTGATATATTTACTTATTTTTTTCTAGTCTCTAATTACTAGTTTATTTTCCTCAATTTGTTTTAGTAAACAAAATATTGTATCCTTCTACTTTAATGAAAAATTTTAAGTTTTTTTTTTTTTCCCCAACTTTAGCTTTAGGGTCAGGGGGTATTGTGCAGATATGTTACATGGGTAAATTGTGTGTTGTGGGGATTTGGTGTACAGATTATTTTGTCACTCATGTAATGAACGTAGTGCCCAATAGGTAGTTTTTCAGTTCTCTCCCTCCTCCCACCCTCCACCCTGATGTAGGCCTTGGTGTCTATTATTCCCTTCCTTGTGTCCATGTATATTCAGTGTTTAGCTCCCACTTATAGGTGAGAACATGGAGTAATTGGTTTTCTGTTCCTGCATTAATTCACTTAGGATGGTGGCCTCTAGCTGCATCCATGTTGCTGTAAAGAACATAATTTCCGGTGGGCGGATCATGAGGTCAGGAGATCGAGACCACCCTAGCTAACACGGTGAAACCCCGTCTCTACTAAAAATTACAAAAAAATTAGCCGGGCTTGGTGGCAGGTGCCTGTATTTCCAGCTACTCGGGAGGCTGAGGCAGGAGAATGGCCTGAACCCAGGACGCAGAGCTTGCAGTGAGCTGAGATTGTGCCACTGCACTCCAGCTCTGTTGCCTAGGCTTGAGTGCAGTGGCATGATCTCAGCTCACTGCAACCCCTGCCTTCTGGGTTCAAGTGATTCTCATGCTTCAGCTTCCCAAGTAGCTGGGATCACAGGTGTGTGCCACCACACCCGACTACTTTTTGTATTTTAGTAGAGAAGAGGTTTCACCATGTTGGCCAGGCTGGTCTCAAACTCTGCCTCAAGTGATCCACCTGTCTTGGCCTACCAAAGTGCTGGGATTACAGGAGTGAGCAACTGTGCCCGGCCAATTTCATTCTTTTTAATGGCTCTGTAGTATTCTGTGGTATGTGTATATGTACCATATTTTCTTTATTCAGTCCTCTGTTGATGGGCACCTAATTTGATTCCGTGTCTTTGCTATAGTGAATAGTGCTGTGATGAACATGTGAGTGCATATGTCTTTTTGATAGAACGACTTATTTTCCTTTGGGCATATTTCCAATGATGGGGTTGCTGGGTTGAAAGGTAATTCTACTTTTAGTTCTTTGAGAAATCTCCAAACTGCTTTCCACAGAGGCTGAACTAATTTACAATTCCACCAATAATGTACAAGAATTTCCTTTTGTCTGCAGTCTCGCCAGCATCCATTATTTTTTGGCTTTTTATTAATAACCATTCTGGTTAGTGTAAAATGGTATCTCCTTGTGGTTTTGATTTGCATTTCTCAGATGATTAGCGATGTGGAGCATGTTGTCGTGTTTGTTGGCTGCTTGTGTGTCTTCTGAGGAGTGTCTGTTCATGTCTTTTGCCTATTTTTTAATGGGGTTATTTGTTTTTTGCTTGTTCAGTTAAGGTTTTTTGTAGATTCTGGATATTAGACCTTTGTCAGATGTATATTTTGCAAATATTTTCTCCCATTCTCTAGGTTGTCTGTTTACTCTGTTGATAATTTATTTTGCTGTGCAGAAGCTCTTTAGTCTAATTAGGTCCCATTTGTCAATTTTTGTTTCTGTTGCAATTGCTTTTGGTGTCTTCATCATGAAGTCTTCCAGGGCCTATGTCCAGAGTGGTATATTTTAGGGTTTCTACTAGGGTTGTTATAGTTTTAGGTTTTACCTGTAAGCCTTTGATCATCTTGAGTTGATTTTTGTATATGGTGAAAGGAAGGGGTCTAGTTTCAACATTCTGCATACGGCTAGCCAGTTATCCCAGCACCATTTATTGAATAGGGATTCCTTTTTGCATTGCTTTTGTCCACTTTGTCAAAGATCAGAAGGTTGTAGATGTGTGGCTTTGTTTCTGGATTCTCTAACCTTTTCTATTGGTCTGTTTGTCTGGTTTTGTACCAGTACTATGCTGTTTTGGTTACTGTAGCCTTGTGGTATAGTTTGAAATTAGGTAGTATAATGCCTCTGGAATTGTTCTTTTTGCTTCTGCTTCAGATTGCCTTGGCTATTTGGGCTCTTTTTTGGTCCCATATGATTTTTAGAATAGTTTTCTCTAACTCTGTGAAAAACGTCGTTGGTAGTTTGAGAGGAATAACATTGAATCTGTAAATTGCTTTGGGCTGTATGGCCATTTTAACAATATTAATTCTTCCTATCTGTGAGCATGGCATAGTTTCCCATTTGTTTGTGTCATTTCTGACTTCTTTCAGCAGTGTTTTTTAATTCTTGTTGTAGAGATCTTTCACCTCCCTCTTTAGCCATATTCTTAGGTATTTTATTCGTTATGTGGTTATTGTCATTGGGATTTCATTCTGGATTTGACCCTCAGCTTGGACGTCATTGGAGTGTAGAATCACTACTGATTTTTGTATGTTGATTTTGTATCCTGAAACTTTGCTGAAGTTTATCAGATCTAGGAACCTTTGGGCAGAGGCTGTGGGGTTTTCTAGGTATATAGAATGGTAATTGTCTGTGAAGAGAGAGAGTTTGCCTTTTGTTTCTTTCTCTTGCCTAATTGCTCTGGCTAGGACTTCCTATGTGGAATAGGAGTGGTGAGAGTGGGCATTCTTGTTTTGTTCCAGTTCTCAAGGGGACCGTGTTTTTTGCCCAGCATGATGTTACCTGCAGGTTTGTCATAGACGGCTCTTATTATTTTGAGGTATGTTCCTTTGATGCTTAGTTTGTTGAGGTACTTGATTGTCTGATCATTTTTTCCTCTGTGTAACTAATCTCCTTTTGTAACCACCAGCCTTCTGTGTGTATGCCCTTCTCACTTCACTGGGTCTCCAATACCCCATGAAAGACTGGCACCACTGTTCTCTTCAAGCAGACAACTTCCTTATCCCCATCAGTCTCTGACATCCCAGGCCAGGTACCTCAACCCCAACCCAGCCACATGGCCACCATCATCATCATCATCTTGTGGCCTCTAGACTGAATTATTCAGGAAAGAAGGAGAGGAAGGAGGATTCTAAAGCCCCCTAAGTACCTCAGATTCAGTCTCAGGGGCCTGCACATTTTGAAACATCTGACTTGAGTTTTTTTAAGTTTCTTTATTTTTTAGAGATGAGTCCTCTCTTTGTTGTCCAGGCTGGCCTCAAACTCCTAGGCTCAAGCAGTCCTTCCACCTGGCCTCCTGAGTAGCTGGATCTAAAGGCATTATACCACCATGCCTGGGCTTTTTTTTTTTTTTCTCCAGTCACTTTTGTTTTTATTTATTCTAATATTATTTGTTTGTTTATTTATTTTCTTTCTAGAAATGAGATCTCACTACGTTGCCCAGGGTGATCCTAAACCCCTGGGCTCAAGTGATCCTTCCACTTCAGCCTCCTGAGTAGCTGAGACTAAAGGCATGCACCACCATGGGCAGCTTTTTTTTTTAATTACAGTCACTTTTATTTTCATTTTAAAATTTTATTTATTTACTTGCTTGTTCATTACTTTTTTTTTCTAGAAATGGGATCTCTCTGTTGCTCAGGCTGATCTCAAACTCCTGGGCCCAAGCGATCCTCCCACCTCAGCTTCCCAAGTAGCAAGGACTACAGGAGTGTGCCACCATGCCTGGCTGAGACAAAATTTACAAAGTATAAAATATGCCCATTGTGGTTGGGTACGGTGGCTTACGCCTGTAATCCTAGCACTTTGGGAGGCCGAGGCAGGTGGATCACCTCAGGTCAGGGGTTCGAGACCAGCCTGGCCAACGTGGTGAAGCCCCGTCTCTACTAAAAATACAAAAAAATTAGCCGGGTGTAGTGTCGCGTGCCTGTAATCCCAGCTACTTGGGAGGCTGAGTCAGGAAAATCACTTGAACCCGGGAGGTGGAGGTTGCAGTGAGCCGAGATCACACCACTGTACTCCAGCCTGGGAGACAGAGTGAAACTCCATCTCAAAAAAAAAAAAAAAAAAAAAAAAAAAAAAATTACCCATTGTAAGCAATTCAACGTAAGCGATTCAATGGTTTTTTACTAAATTTAATTGCCTATTGTAATCTCTTCAGTGTAAGGGATTCAATGGTTTTTACTAAATTTATATAATTATGTATTGTCACCATAATCCAAATTTAGAACACTTCTGTCACTCAGAAAGTTTACTTGTACCCACCTGTAGTTAATCCTACTCTTCTAATTCCTAGCTCTAAGCAATAACTCATCTGCTTTTTGGTTCTGTATTATGTGCTGCTAAATGTAGTTTTTTGTTTCTGGTTTCTTTCACTTAACATAATGTTTTTGAACTTTATACATGTAGCATATTCATTCCTTTCTATTGTTGAATAATGTTTTATTATTGGATAGACCATATTTTGTTAGTCCATTCACCAGTTGATGGACATTTATATTGTTTGCAGTTTGGGAGTATCACATTAATGGTGCTGTGTACATTTCCATGCATATCTTTGTGTGGACATATGTTTTTATTTCTTTTGGGAGTCAGAGAATTGTGTTGTATGGTAAGTTTATGTTTACTTTTCTTTTTTCTTGGAGATGGAGTCTCACTCTGTCATCCAGGTTGGAGTGTGGTGGTGTGATCATGGCTCATTGCAGCCTCAATCTCCTGGGCTCAGGGAATCCTCCTGCCTCAGCCTCCCAAGTGACTGGGACCACAGGTGCACACCACCATACCCAGCTAATTATTATTTTTTTATTTGTAGAGATGAGGTCTCACCATGTTGCCTACACTGGTCTTGAACTCCTGGGCTCAAGTGATTCTCCTGTCTTGGCCTCCCAAAGTGCCAAGATTACAGGTGTCAGCCACTGCGCCCAAACTATGTTTACCTTTTTAAAAAACACCAAACTGTTTTCTGCAGTGGACTGCATCATTTCACATTCACAGAGTTTATTTTTTAACATTCTCACCAGCACTAATTACTCTCTCTTCTTGATTTTAACCATTCTAGTGGTGTGTAGTATATCACTGTGGTTTTAATTTACATTTCCCTAATGGGTAATGATCTGAGCATCTTATCTCATTGTTAGCCATTTGTATATCTTTTTTGGTGGAATGTCTGATCAAATATTTTTGTTCATTTAAAAAATCTGTTCGTTTTTTTTTTAAATATTGAGCCTTGAGTTCTTTGTATGTTCTAGATACAAGCCCTTTATTAGCTATATGATTTGCAATTATTTTCTCCCTGTCTATGGTGGTTCTTTCCATGTATTTGGATGGTGTCGTTTGAAATGCAAAAATTGATAATTTTTTATTTTTTATTGATCATGCTTTTGGTATCTAAGAACTTACTTGCCTAACCCAAGCTGTTTTTTTTTTCCATTTTCTTCCAGAAGTTTTACATTTTCTACTCCTAAATTTAGGTTTATGATCCATTTGAGTTAATATTTATGTATGGTATGAGGTCAAATGTGTGTGTGTGACTGTCCAATTTTTCTAGCAGAATTCGCTGGAAAGGGTATCCTTCTACTATTGAATCCTCTTGACACCTTTGTTGAAGTCAATTGACCACAAGTGTTAACAGTTTATTTCTGGACTCTCTCTTGCCTTCCATTAATCTATATGCCTATCCTTGTGCTAATTCCACACTATCTTTGTTTAATGTGGCTTTATACTAAGTTTTGAAATCAGGTGGTATAATTCCTCCAACTTTGTTCTTTTTCAAAATTATTTTATGTGTTTTGGGTGCTTTGTGTTGCTATATAAGTATGAGGATCAATTTTTCAATTTTTTTTTGGGGGGGTGGGGTCGCAGGGGACAGTCTTGCTTGGTAGCCCAGGCTGGAGTGCAATAGCGCGATCTCAGCTCACTGTAACCTCTGCCTCCTGGATTCAAGTGATTCTTGTGCCTCAGCCTCCCAAGCAGTGGGACTACAGGCATGCACCACCACACCTGGCTAATTTTTTTGTATTTTTCCTAGAAACGGAGTTTCACCATGTTGGCCAGGCTGGTCTCAAACTCCTGACCTCGTGATCTGCCCACCTTGGCCTCCCAGAGTGCTGGGATTACAGGTGTGAGCCACCGTGCCTGGCCCAATTTTTCAATTTCTACAAAAGACCTTGCTGGCATTTTGATAATGATTACTTTGAATTTATACATCAGTTTGAGGGAGAATTGCCATCTCAACAACACTGAGTTCTAATCCAAGAACGGAAGTTCTCTATTTATTTAGGGTTTTTTTTTTTTTTTTTTTTTGAGATGGAGTTTCGCTCTTTTGCCCAGGCTGGAGTGCTGTGGCACAATTTCGGCTCACTGCAGCATCCACACCACCCCCACCCCGGGTTCAAGTGATTCTCCTGCCTGAGCCTCCCGAGTAGCTGGGATTATAGGTGCCCACTGCCACGCCTGGCTAATTTTTGTATTTTTAGTAGACATGGGGTTTTGCCGTGTTGGCCAGGCTGGTCTCGAACTCCTGACTTCAGGTGATCCACCCGCCTCGGCCTCCCAAAGTGCTAGGATTAAAGGCATGAGTCACCATGCCCGGCCTATTTAGCTTTTTAAAATTTTCTTTTAGTGTTTCATAGTTTTCAGCATACAAGTCTCATACTTCTTTTGTTAAATTTATTTCTAAGTATTTTAATATTTCTAATGCTATTGTGAGTGGGGTTGCCTTCCTAATTTCATTTTTGGGTTGTTTGTTGCTAGAATATAGAAATACATTGACTTTTGTCTATCTGTGTCAAAGTCAAATAAAAATATAGAGATAAATCTCTAAACAAAATGTTTTCTTTGGGAAAACAGAAATGTAATTTCGGGCATACAAACAGAGTAGAGTAGTCTTCAGTGTGTCTACAGAGCAAAGAGAAGGTTGAGGATTTTTTTTTTTTTTTTGAGACAGAGTCTCGCTCTGTCGCCCAGGCTGGAGTGCAGTGGCGCGATCTCGGCTCACTGCAATCTCCGCCACCCGGGTTCACGCCATTCTCCTGCCTCAGCCTCCTCAGTAGCTGGGACTACAGGCACCTGTCACCACGCCCTGCTAATTTTTTTGTATTTTAGTAGAGATGGGGTTTCACCGTGTTAGCCAGGATGGCCTCGATCTCCTGACCTCATGATCCGCCCGCCTCAGCCTCCCAAAGTGCTGGGATTACAGGCGTGAGCCACCGCGCCTGGCCTATGAGGATTTTATTAGAAAGAGAATTGTTGCATATTGTTTTGAAAGAAAAGTCATTGGTACTTGCAAAGTTTTTAGAAGCTGGCAAGCTCTGATTGGTGAATGACAGTGGTAGATAAAACTGGTCTTAAGGTTTTAGCAGGTTATTTTGGCAGCTAGCTTGCAGTATAATTTCTGGGTTGGTGCTTTGTGCCCTGAGTGCTTTTCTTTTCCTCTTGTCTTGATTCTACTTGGGTATGACAAGATAGCTCCAATTCATATAATCAGTTTTTCACACATGTATTTGGTGACATGACCAAACTTATTTATATAAGTTTTATTAGGTGTTTTTGTTTTTTTATTTGTTTGTTTTTGTTTGTTTTGACAGAGTCTTGCTCTGTCACCCAGGGTAGAGTGCAGTGGCGGGATCTCGGCTCACTGCAGCCTCCACCTCCTGGATTCAGGTGATTCTCCTTCCTCAGCCTCCCGAGTAGCTGGGATTGCAGGCGCCTGCCACTGCGCCTAGCTAATTTTTCTATTTTTAGTAGAGACGGGGTTTCACCATCTTGGCCAGGCTGGTCTTGAACTTCTGACCTTGTGATCCACTCACCTTGGCCTTCCAAAGTGCTGGAATTACAGGCGTGAGCTACCGTGCCTGGCCGTTTTAATAGTTTTTTAAAAATTTCTTTGGGATTTTCTACATATAGGATTGTTTTGTGTGTGAATGATAACAGTTTTACTTATCTTCCAATCTTTTTTATTTGTTTATTCCTATTTGTTTTTTGTTTTTTTATTTGTTTATTCCTTATTGCACTGGCTAGAACCTCTAGTACAATGTTGAATAGAAGTGGTAGAAGCCAACATACTTGCCTTGTTCCTCCTCTTAGGGAGAAAAGCATTCAGTCTTGTTGTCAAATATGTCTTCTGCATCTATTGAGATGGTTGTGTAGTTTTTGTCCTTTATTCTTGTAATATATTGTAACACAATTATGAAGAAGTGTTTGGAGAGTAATACATTCGCTACTAGAACAGTTTAGGTTTGCTTTTGTTAAGGTGCGAGAAGTTTTACCCACCATTGCTTTTATAACATCAGTGCAAATGCCAACCCAGTGAATAAGGTAAATGATGTCTCAATATTCCTGTGAAAATAGTTTTGACTTTGCTGTCCTCCTGAAAGAGTCTCAGGGACCCCAAGAGGTTTGCCAACCATACCTTGAGAATCACTGTCCAGCTTGATTGTAGTGGGTTTCTTTTTTTTTTTTTTTAACTGAACCAGCTCAAGTTTTACAGAATTAAAACATGTATGTTTATAAAGGATATGGAACTGTAATTTTCTTAGACTGTTGCTATCTGGCTTTGAATCAAAATTACAGTAATGTTGTAAATTAACTTAAGCAGCTTTTTCTTTTATTCTATTTTCCAGCACTTTATAAGACAAAGACCACTTGTTTGAAAGTTTTTTAGTTTTCTTCAGTAAAGCTACCTGTGGTGATGAGGACATGGAGATGCATAATAGAGTTTTACACTTGGCAACATGTATTCATGTGGGAAAACTCAGTGATGAGTAACTCAAAGAGGTGCTGAGAATTCGGTGCTTGTACACCATTTCATTTATTTTTTATTTATTTTTTAACTTTTAGGTTTGGGGTACATATGCAGGTTTGTTATATAGGTAAATTGCATGTTATGGGGGTATTATATACCATTTTAACAAAGGATGATTAATTGTGAAGTAACTAGACAAAGGCTTGGGCTGCTAGGGGCAGTAAATTGTGTGAAGGTGACTAGGAAATGTTTGGTAAATAAGGGTTTAGTAACACTTGTCATGTAGATTCAAGTCACTGCTGTCTCTAGTGATAAGAATGATCTCCAGTGATTAAGAATCTTCCTGGTACATGAGATAGAACACCTTTACAAATGCAAATTTATATTACTTTTACAAAAGGGAAATTTATACCTTACTTTTAGGCAGAAAGGGGGAAGGCAGAGAGTTTGTTGCTTCTTAGTGTCTTTAGCCAAAGTGGCATACTTTAGGATAACATTTCCTGGTCCCCTTTAGAAGAATAATACAAGATTCAGTGTCAGTGTATGGAAGCCAATCAATCCCCAATTCTGTCCTGGAGAACACAGGGAAGGCTTCAGAGAGAAGGAAATTTGAGCTGAGAAGTGAAAAATTAACATGTATTAGGTATACATTTGGGATAAGGGTATTTAAGTTGAAACAGTAGCATATGCAAGAGAATAGAGACATAATGGTATGGCCTTGTTTACTACTGGATGTAAAGTGTGTGCATGGTAGATTCTTGGAGGCATGATGATGGGTGGGACAAATTAGCAGGGGGCTATACCATGAAGAGTCTTGATTGTCATGCTCATCACTAATTTGGATATTTATTTATTTATTTGGCCATAGCAGTTGGAGGATTTTGAACAGGAGATTTATGTGATCATCTGATAGTTTGGTCAGGGGCATCCAGACTAGAGTGACTCCATCTTGATTAAAGGCCAGATAAAGCCAAACCTCCTGGGTTACATTCCCAAGGGGTTGGACACTGTTGGTCACAAGATGTTTAGGGTTGAGGGAACAAGTTAATGATGCTAACTAACGAAAAGATGCTTATGAAACTTATGAAATGTTTCAGTACTTGAAGATCAAAAAGCATTCTTAGTTTAAGAATAGGTTTTGCTTTCATACAAAATTAGCTGGGCGTGGTGACGCGTGCCTGTAATCCCGGCTACTCAGGAAGGCTGAGGCAGGAGAATCGCTTGAACCCGGGAGGCAGAGGTTGCCGTGAGCCAAGATCATGCCGTTGCACTCCAGCCTGGGCAACAAGAGCAAAACTCTGTCTCAAAAAATAAATAAATAAATAAATAAAAAATAGGTTTTGCTTTAAAGATAATAATGCACTCATGAATTTTTGCTAAAATCCGTAGTAACATAGGGAAATAACACTACTGATAGCCTGTCACAGCTGATCACAAGCCTTTGTAATGAAGTACACTATCCTTAACAACCTATATAAGCAAGCAGTATGTTTAAGGTAGGGGTGTTCCTCCTCTTGAATTCTGAGGATGTCCTGCTCTGTAATAGAGAAGTCTCTAATAAACTTCGCTATACTCTGTGACACCCTGAATTATTTCCTGCATGAGATCCAAGAACCTGCTCTTGGGGTCTCAGACAAGACCTCTTTTCTAGCGACAGTCTTCTTTAAACATGCCACTATAGCTTGGATTTGAGCCATGATTGTACCAACTAAAATGCACAATAATTACTGCCATCATATTCTCCTACCTAGGTAATATCACTTCCTTTCTTGTACTCTTTACATACGTGTAAGCCACCCACATTTTAAATTTAATTTTTATTTTGTCAAAGAAATATGTGGACATAATTTCAAAAGTCTGTTAGTTCTTTAAAGCTAATAAAGGGATTTTGAAATTCCCTTACCCCATTCCTACCATCCTTGATTTTTATTTATTGAAACCAACTACTTTAAATTTTTTTATCTATTTCAGTGTCAAATTAATACAACTTAATATTATTTCTAATAAAGTCATTGTGCATTATGATTATGTCTGTTTTCTTTTGCAACTTTTTGTTTTCCTGAGGGTAATAATGGTCTCACTTTTGCATTGCTTTATATTCTATGTAGCAATCATTTATTCACCCCAAATTTTCTATCAGAGCTCCAAAATGTTTTTCAGTATATTACATTAGATGATTTAATCTCCTAATTTAATCTTCTCCCCCACCATACTCCATCCTTCCAGAAACATTTCTTCTAGAGCCTTCTCGTCTTCTCCTCCAACTCAGAGTGATTATTTTCTAGTCCCCTTGCATATTTATTTGCCATCATGGTATTTCCAGTATCTCTCTCTACTGTGGGTTCTGAATTCCTCAGATCTTCTGCCTTCCTCTTGGAAGCCTCCTGTCCTTCTGTGCCACGACTGCCTGTGCCAAAATATGTTGTGAGTTCTCTTCTTCACATATCTAAGTCTCTTCAGCTATGAGCCTCTGAAGGCCAAGGATTGAGTATACTTGCACCTTTTTGAGTATTTTAAGTGCCTGACATAGAACCTTGCAATTAGCTGTCATTAAAAAATGACTGTGGACCAGGTGTGGTGGCTCCTGCCACAAGCCTTTGTAATGCCCAGCATTTAGGGAGACTGAGGCAGGAGGGTCACTTGAGCCCAGCAGTTCATAACCAGCCTGGGCAACATAGTGAGATCTTGTCTCTATGAAATAATAAACAAAATTTAGCCAGGTGTGGTGGTGTGCACTTATTCCCAGCTGCTCAGGAGGCTGTGGTTGGAGGATCACTTAATCCTGGGAGGTCAAGTCTATAGTGGACTGAGATTGCACCACTGCAATCCAGCCTAGGTGACAGAGTGAAACCCTATCTCAAAAAGACTGTGTTTTCTGATCATGGCATGTGACAAATAATACAAATGAAATAAAAAATAAAAAATTGAGGGTAAAAGAAAAAACAGAATAATAAAAAGATAAAACAACAACCATAAAAATGACCATGATGATACTGGTCTATTGAAAGTGGGGGGCCTGGTCCTTATGTAGCGTCTCTACCCATGGCTGCCTCGTAGAAACTAACTGTGTTCTAATCTTTTCTGCTATGGAAATTTGGGCACAGGCCAGACAGCTGGGCAATTTATTGAGGAAGGAGGTAGAAAAGAAGGATTGTTACTAATACAGGATGGGTTTAATCTGTATTAGTAGCAGATTAAACTGTGTATTAAGTAACAGATTAAAGTATGTATTAGTAACACTTAAACTATGTATGTATTGGGCCAAAATACATAGTAATTACAGGACATTTTGCATTTCCTGTCAACCACTAGCTCTCAAAGCTACTGGTCTAGAAATGTAACCTGTGAGTGGGCTTATAATTTGGAGCTTCCAGAGAAATCCAGAGGCCATGGGAACTAGTAAAGACAAACCAAATATACCACAACTTCCCAGACACTATGTTATCAGGGCAGTCTATACTAGTTCCAAGGCCCATGTTTGTGGATGGCCTCAGTAGTGGAAGTGTACTCCATTCAGAGAAAAAAATCTATAGTCTCACTGGCTGCTTTCCTTTGATTACCAAGAGATGTACTGCTTTAAGAATACATTACAAAACCATTATCTCCCTTTCCTTAATTCTCCAGTCTCTCCCATTCATTAATTCTCCAAATAATAAACATGTATCAGGCACTGTCCTGGACACTGGAAATATAGGCATGCCTAGAATACCCAGAATCTGAGGCAGTGCCCAGTCTAGGGTTTTTAAATTTTTCTCCTATCTCTTTTACCAGGTTGATTCCATTAGAACTGTGTGAATGTCAACTGCAAATAATCAAAGACAGAATTATCTTGTTTTCTTGGTGGTGGGGAGATTTACTAAGGTGTGGTGGAAAATCCTATCCTCATCTTGAGACTGGGGATGGAGACAAGTTGCCTGTCATGAAGGGAACTTGCTACTACGTCACATAAATTATTCCAGGGCAGAAGATTGTACTGGCTTATATTTGGCCAATTTCCTCCCTCTCTTTATGTCTTTTCTTTAAAACCCTTGATTCCTTCCAAGTGTTCTTAGTCTATTAAATTCATGATATCTTGGGCTTGGCATTCCAGGTTTAGACCTGTATTTGTTTCTTTTCCCTGTAAGTTGTAACTGTTGCAGGAACATGTAGCAGAGATGTTTAGATTTGGCTGGTATAATCTGCCTGGGACTGAATTATGCTTCCTTTGCATTGCTGGTGGTCTTTTCTGCTATAAGATATAGTGAAAGGATTCAGGATTGTTCAGTGTAGAGATAATCTGTACCTCTTTATTTTTTGTCTGGCTCAAGATAGCGCTCTCTTTATTGTGTCCTGATATAGGGTTGATAGTCACAATAGTAGTCAAGGTGGTCACGACTAAAGACTTTGGTGGGAGCATACTGTTTCCTTAGTCTCTGTCATAGCAGACCTGCTCCCCAATATTTGTGCCTACGTCAGAGTTTTGCACCAGTCCCTAGGGTACTTATTGCTGTCCTCTCGTCCATGAAGTTAGGCCACATAAAATGCCCTTGATTTTCTGGATACTTGACTTTTAGATCATTTGAGGATGAAGCACCACACTAAGAAAGTCCGAGGGCAAAGAAAATTCAAGTTAGATTAGGCCTTCAAATAATGTTATTATTTTATCTTGACTTAGGGAAAGCTATGTAGCATTTCTTAGCCTTCAGTTCCTTGTCCAAATAAAGGGATAATAATAGTCGCTGCTTCATAGGGTGTGAGATACTACATGTAATGCTTTAAACCAGGGTTGTTAGTTTTACAAGCCAATCTTTTGGCTTCCCTCTGCCACATAGGAAGAATTGTCTTGGGCCACACACAGAATACACTAATGATAGCTGATGAGCTTTAAAAAAAAAAAAAAAAAAAAAAAAACCCAAACACCTCATAATGTTTTAAGAAAATTTCCAAATTTGTATTGAGCCACATTCAAAGCTGTCCTGGACTGCATGTGGCCTGTGGGCTGCCAGTTGGACAAGTTAGCTTTAAACCAAGCCCAGTGAGCTCTTAGTAATTGTTAGATATTATCATTGTTGTTTTAAATGCATAGCTGATTTCAGCAGAACATGAGGAAAACCCTGAGGGACCCAAATCAGAGAGAGAAAACAACACCTAATCAATAAGAGTAGAAGTGCTAGCCAGAGCAGTAGGCAAGAGAAAGAAATAAAGGGTACCCAAATAGAAAGAGAGGAAGTCAAACTACCCTTGTTTGCAGATGACATGATTCTATATGTAGAACACCTGATAGTCTCAGCCCAAAAGCTTCTTTTATTTTTTTGAGACGGAGTCTCGCTCTGTCGCCCAAGCTGGAGTGTAGAGGGCCCATCTCGGCCCACTGCAAGCTCCACCTCCCAGGTTCATGCTATTCTTCTGCCTCAGCCTCCCGAGTAGCTGGGACTACAGTTGCCCGCCACCACACCCGGCTAATTTTTTGTATTTTTAGTAGAGACAGGGTTTCATCATGTTAGCCAGGATGGTCTTGATTTGCTGACCTCGTGATCCACCTGCCCTGGCTTCCCAAAGTGCTGGGATTACAGGCATGAGCCACTGCGCCTGGCCCCAAAAGCTTCTTAAGCTGATAAACAACTTCAGCAAAGTTTCAGGATACAAAATCAATCACTAGCAGAAAGCACTAGCATTCCTATCCGCCAACAGCAGCCAGGGAGAGAGCCAAATCAGGAAGGCAGTCCCATTTACAATTGCCACAAAAAGAATAAAATACCTAGGAATACAGCTAACCAGAGACGTGAAAGATCTCTACAATGAGAATTGCAAAACACTGCTCAAAGAAATCGGAGAGGACACAAACAAATGGAAAAACATACCATGCTCATGGATAGGAAGAATCAATATCATTAAAATGATCATATTGCCTGAAGCAATTTATAGATTGAATGCTATTTCTATCAAACTACCAAGAGTATTCTTCACAGAACTAGAAAAATTATTTAAAAAATTATATGGAACCGGGCCGGGTGCGGTGGCTCACGCCTGTAATCCCAGCACTTTGGGAGGCCAAGGCGGGTGGATCATGAGGTCAGGAGTTCAAGACCAGCCTGGCTAATATGGTGAAACCCCATCTCTAGTAAAAATACAAAAAATTAGCTGCATGTGGTGGTGTGTGTCTGTAGTCTCAGCTACCTGGGAGGCTGAGGCAGGAGAATTGCTTGAACCTGGGAGGTGAAGATTGGAGTGGACTGAGATCATGCCACTCCATTCCAGCCTGGGCGACAGAGTGAGACTCCATCTCAAAAAAAAAAAAAAAAAAAAAAAAAAAGTCATATGGAACAAGAAAAGAGCCCAAATCGCCAAGGCAATCCTAAGCAAAGAGAACAAAGCTGACTTCAAACTATACTACAGGGCTACAGTAATTAAAACAGCATGGTGCTGGTACAAAAACAGGGACATAAACCAATAGAACAGAACAGAGAGCCTATTTTAAAAATCAGGGGTTTTAAAATCGTAGGCCACACACCTATGATAACCTGATCTTTGACAAAGCTGACAAAAACAAGCAATGGGGAAAAGACTCCCTATTCAGTAAGTGGTTCTGGGATAACTGGCTAGCCATAAGCAGAAGACTGAAGCTACATAGTACCCCTCCTTTACATCATATACAAAAATCAACTCAAGATGCGTTAAAGACTTAAACGTAAAACTATGAAAACCCTGGAAGACAACCTAAGCAGTACCATCCTGGACACAGGAATGGGCAGATTTCATGACAAAGACACCAAAAGCGATTGCAACAAAAGCAAAAATGGACAAGTTTAATTAAACTTAAGAGGTTCTGCACAACAAAAGAAACTATCAACAGAGTAAACAGACAACCTACAGAATAGGAAAAAATATTTGCAATCTGCATCTGACAAAGGTCTAATATTCAGCATCTATAAGGAACTTAAACAAATTTACAGGAGAAAAACAACCCCATTAAAAAGTGGGCAAAGGACGTGAACAGATACTTTTCAAAAGAAGGCATACATGCGACCAACAAGCATAAGAAAAAAAGCTCAATATCACCGAGCATTAGAGAACTGCAAATCAAAACCACAATGAGATCTATCATTTCACACCAGTCAGAATGGCTGTTGTTAAAAGTAAAAAAATAACAGATGCTGGCAAGGTTGTGGAGGAAAGGGAACACTTACACACTGTTGGTGGGAGTGTAATTTAGTTCAACCATTGTGGAAAGCAGTATGGTGATTCCTCAAAGAGCTAAAAGCAGAAGTACCATTTGACCCAGCAATTTCATTACTAGGTATATACCCAGAGGAATATAAATCATTCTGCCATAAAGACACATGCACACGAATGTTCATTATAGCACTATTCACATTAGCAAAGACATGGAATCAACCTAAATGCCCATTAATGATAGATGGGATAAAGAAAATGTGGTACATATATACCATGGAATGTTATGCAGCCATAAAGAACAAGATCATGTCTTTTGCGAGAACATGGATGGAGCTGGAGGCTACGATCCTAAGTAAACTAACCCAGGAACAGGAAACCAAATACCGCATGTTCTTACTTATAAGTGGGAGCTGAATGAAGATAACTCATGAACACAAAGAAGGGAAAACAACAGACATTGAGGTCTACTTGGGGGTGGAGAGAGAGAGGAGGGAGAGGAGCAGGAAAAGTAACTATTGGGTGCTAGGCTTAATATCTGGGTGATGAAACAACCTATACAACAAACCCCTGTGTCAGGAGTTTACCTATGTACCTGAATATGTACCCCTGAACCTAAAAAATAATAATAATAACAGTGGGAGCCAGCTTTGAAGCTTCCAAAAATGGGGTCAGGGAGGAGATGTGCTAGTCTCAATAACCTTGAGGGGAAAAAAGATGAGGTCTTGGCTTGTTTAGTGTAAGCAATTAGAATGGACACCCCCTACATACAATTAGGACCCTCAAAAGACTTCACCCTCAGTGCAGGAATGGACTAGGAAAACCACTGGCATGTACAGATAAAAAGAACTTTCTTAATCTCATCTGGATTTTAAATAGGGCTTTTAATAAAGGAAAGACGTCTCCCTTGAAAATTTCTACCTGTAAGCCTTCACTTAACTGAAATTGGGGGTTGGAGTTTATACTCTTTGTGTGGTCTAGAAGCTGGTTCTGGGCTGGTAATAACTCTGGCTCATCTGTCAGAAACAAACTTAACACTTCTATTAAGTGACATACCCTCAAATCAGGTATCATAGGATTCTCATAAATGCAGCTTCACTGAAGGTAAGTTTGTAGTACAAAATTACAAACCAACCAACCAATCTCCCCTAAGTGAAAATCAATAGATAAAAGAAACAGTTTGGAACTTCAGAAAGTAGCATTAGAGGGTGGGCACAGTGGCTCACAACTTTCATCTTAATACTTTGGATGGCTGAGGCGAGTGGACTGCTTGAGCCCAGGAGTTCGAAACCAGCCTGGGCAACATGGTCAAACCCTGTCTCTACAAAAAAATACGAATGTTAGCTGAGTGTGGTGGCTCATGCCTGTAATCCCAGCACTTTAGGAGGCTGAGGTGGGAGGATCGCTTGAGCCCGGGAGTTCAAGACCAGCCTGAACAACATAGTGAAGTCTCATCTCTACTAAATTTTTTTTTTTTTAATTAGCTGGGCATGGTGGTGCATGCTTGTTTTCTCAGCTACTTGGGAGGCTGAGGTGAGGATTGCTTGTGTCAGGGAGGTCAAGGCTGCAGTGAACTGTGATTGTGCCATTGCACCCTAGCCTGGATGACAGAGTGAGAACCTGTCTCAAAAAGAAAAACAAAGTAACATTAGAGATTAAGACTGTAAGATTAGTATATTTAAAATTATTAAGAATATAAAAGAAGGAGGCTGGACATGATGGCTTATGCCTGTAATCCCAGCAGTTTGGGAGGACAAGACGGGCGGATCACTTGAGCCCAGGAGTTCAAGACCATCCCAGACAATATGGTAAAACCCTGTCTCTACAAAAAATACAAAACTTAGTCAGGCATGGTAGCATGGGCCTGTGGCCCCAGCTACCCTGGAGGCTGAGGTGGGAGGATCACCTGAGCCCAGGAAATAGAGGCAACAGTGAGTGGAGATTGAGCCACTGCACTCCAACCTGGGTGACAGAGTGATCCCCTGTCTCAAAACAAACAAAAAAGAATATAAAAGAAGGAAACAGAAACAAGAGAAAAAAAGACCAAATATATTTGGACAAAAAGCTAATTAGAATTCGAGGAATAAAATATATGTATTGTGTTGTTGAAATTGAAAATGCAACAGTCGTGTTAAATAATAGAGCTGTGGACAAAGTAAAATTTTTATCAAGAGTGCAAGACAGAAATGGGAAGATATAAACTATGAATGAAAGCTAAGAAATACAGAAGATATGATCAGATGGTCCAACAGAATATGGAGAAATGGGAAGAGGCAGTATTCATAGAGATAATGACTGAGACCTTCCAGAACTGATTAGAAACAAACAAGGAACATCTTGAAGCATGGTGAGTCCCCACTATAATAAATAAAAATAAATCCCCATCTAGATACATTGCAGTACTGCAGAGCCATGAAAACAAAGAGAATATCTTAAAGAACCCTCAAGAATTCACTAAAGTAAAAGAGCTCAGCAAGAAAGTTCACTCAAGAAAATTGAAAATATATGTTCATGCAAAAACTTGTAAACAAATGTTCACAGCAGCAGCATCTATGATAACCAAAAAGTAGTAACAACCCAAATACCTTGTCATTTTATGAAAGGATTAACAATTGTGGCATGGAGAATTTATGCATGCCACAACATGCATGAAAACATGCTGAGTAAAAGAAGCCAAAGACTACATAATGTATGATTCAGTTTCTGTGAAATGTCCAGAATACGTAGAGTCCACAGAGACAGTGAATCCATAGAGACAGTACGTTGGTGGTTGGTTGTGGGGAGAATGGGATGGAGAATGACTGCTAATGGGTACAAGGTTTCTTTTTGGCAATGAAAATATTCTGGAATTAGATAGTGGCAGTGCTTGCACAGCCTTGTGAATATACTAAAAATGAATGAGTTGTACATTTTAAAAGGGTGAATTTTATATTGTTGGAAATATATCTAAAAAAATAAGTTAATGGTTAAAATAAAGCAACCAGACAGAAAAAGAAAAATTAAGTACAAAGGAACAGCACTTATGCTAAGAGTAAGCTTTTCAACAGCAATAACAGGAGCCATAAGACTACAGAATAATATTTTTAAAGTATTGAGAAAAAAGTTACTCTGAACAAGACACTAGAATTATCCATACTTGCTAAATTAGCAGTGGAAGTGAGTGACCAAAAAAAGCCATTTTCAGACCATCAAAAACCAAGAGAACAAAATCTATAGAGAAGATTTATTACTATCAGATCCTCTCTGAAATAATTACTACAGGATATATTTCAGAAACAAAGAAGAAATACATGAGATCCCAAGAGGGAATGTTAAGCAGTGAAATTAGAAAATACATGAGTAAATCTAAGCAAGCAATTATTGTATAAAATAATAATTACTAATTTGGCAATGTAAAAGTAAGATAGACCTGAAATAATAGATTGTAATAATAGGTAAGTTGAAAGGGAGTGGGAGGATTGGAGTTAAAAGCGATCTAGGATCTTTTAATTTTGTTCAGAAAGAGAGTTGAGGTGCTGGTTAACTTTAGACATTGTTGAGACAAGAACACCTATTAAACCTTGAATAATAACAACTACTTTAGGACAGAAAAAAACAAAACAATATGTAATTTCTAAACCAATAGAGCAGAGGTTAAAAAAAAAAACTTGATTAATTCAAGGAGAGTTGCCATCAGACTTGGAGGAAAACTTTACCTTAGAGCAAAGACTTTTCTCCTAGTTCCTCTGATGCCTGCTGCCCTTGCGGGGAATTCTGACTACCTGCTTCTGTGGAAATACATTCATTTGTTCAATAAACACTTGTCGAAAACCTCCTATGCCCTGTGTACTATTTCTAGGTGATTGGGATACCTCTTAGAGCTCACTCTAGAAAAGAAGAAACAGACAGTAAACATAGTTTATGTAGTATGTTAGAAGATGACAAATGCTATTGGGAAAAAAGGTAGACCAAAGGGGATTCAGGAAAACAGAAAATTGGGAAGGTGACATTAGAATAAAGCCTTGAAGGAGTGAGGGATTTTGCCATTGTGTAGTTGAAGGAAGGACATTGCAAGTAAAGGGAACAGTTAACGCTGGTCCTAGTAGCTAGAAGTGCCTGTGCAAAATTAGCAGCCTGTGGAAGGTTTTGAGCAGAGGAATGAAATAATCAGATGTGTGCTTTAAAAGAATCACTGTGGCTTGCTCATATTAAGAACAGATTAGGGTAGAAGACAAGAGTAAACCAGAGAGACTAGTTAGGAGGGTATTGAAATCCAGGTAAGCAATAAATAATATATCAATAATAATATAATGGATACGTAATAATATCTCCCTTTATTGGGGAGGGAATATGTATTTTTTTCCCACTCTCACTTCCCCATCTTAACCAGGACATCTTGGTTGTTACTCTGAAATATTATAGCATCTGGAAGTGCTTGACTGTAACCAGCTCCACATTCTTCTTTATATTGTTTACACTTACTGAAACAGAAGTGATCTTTTCCTCATTCTAAATTCTAAAAGGTGCCTGCCAAGTACTATCCAGTCACGGAGTGCTCAAGTTCCTAGGAGCAGCTAGACCTCTGAGATTTGGAGACTGGAGAGACCTAAGGGATCTGCAACCAGACATCTTATTCCATACCCTTTGTTGCTTCACAGTGGGAAGCAGGCTTCCTAAGTAAATTTACAGCAGCTCTTGCAGGGGTCAGATTTTCCGAGTGCCTGCTAGTTGCTGGAGGGAGGGGTTTTTGAAGGCTAGAAACGATCTACTACTCTCCAAATGTGGTTACAATTCAACATTGTCACAGAGAATGCACGATATGCCTTAGCCCTTGTTCTTGCTGTTGACTGAGATGACCATGGCGAGGTATGTAAGAAATTGAAATGCCAAGTCTCACTCCAAGTAGCCAAGTGACTGGGATGATTTAACACCAGTCTTTGCATGAGGTAGCTCCGGGGGCTTCCAGGCTACCACCCGTCCGCTGAGAGTTAGTGTACCCAACTCTGCAGATATCCAGTACTTCATCTTACTGGAATGAAAGAATTAAGACTTGCCCTTTATCTTCTTAGGATCCTGGGGAAATGGCCAGAGCCTGTTGAAATGGAAAAATTAGCCAGTTCCTTGTTGTGGATCTCAGCTGAGTCATGGTATCTGTAGCAGAGTGTCTGACCTTTTTTTCCCCTGGCAGCTGTTAAAGATTTGCCAAGTGAGATTATGTGTACCTTTATAAAAAGGCATGTGGCCTGGAAATACGATCTTTAGTGTTTTGGCTTTTATTTTAAATTTTAAATAAGGTTAAGGCAAATGAAGCTGGAATTAATTATCCGTCCCTGAAGTTTCAAGACATTTTCACTTTCAGACACAAGGATTTAGATATAACAGTTTGATTTACCTTTCATAGGCCAGGTATACATGTATCTTCTTTATTTTAATCCTTGTAACAAATCATACTCATCCATTCATTTAACAAATACTTATTGAGAGCCTACTGTGTGCCAGGCAGCGTTCTAGGTATTGAGGAGTGCAGCAGTACACAAAGCATACAAAAGCCCCTGCCCTCATACAGTTTAATTTCTGATGAGAAGAGAGACAACAAAATGAATGTGCAAAATATATACCATCATATATATATTGGGGATTAGTTCCAGGACCCACACGGATACCAAAATCTGCAGATGCCCAAGTCTCTTATATAAAAGAGCATACATAATATTCGCATATAACCTATACACATCTTCCTGTATACTTTAAATCATCTCTAGATTATTTATAATATCTAATACAAAGCAAATCCCTGCAAATAGCTGTTATACTATATTTTTAAAATTTATATTATTTTAAAAGTTTTAAAAAATATTTTCCACCCATAGTTGGTTGAATCCATGGATGTGGAACCCACATGCTGACTGTAGTGTGTTAGATGATGATAAGTGCTAGGAGAAAAATATATCAAGAAAGGGGGATAGAGAGTTTGGGAGGGTTTGCAATTTTAAATAGAATGATCGGGGAAAATTCACCCAGAAGATTGTACTTGAGCAAAGACCTGAAGGAAGAGGGGAGCAAGCCTTGAGGCAACCTGGGAGAAACATAGGCAAAGGAAATCCCAATTGTAAAGGCCCTGAGATGGGTGGCTCGCTTGGCATTTTCTAAGAAAGGCGAGGAGGCCGGTGTGGCTGGAGAGTGAGCAGGAGGGAGAGAGGTCATGGAGAATCCAGACCATATAATGCCTTGTAGGCCATCATCAGAACTGGCTTTTTCTCTCAGTGAGACAAGGAGAATTTTAAATGGAAGAGGGACATGATGTTGCTTACATTTTAAAATTTTTGTATAGTTTTATTGAGGTATGATTGGAATATAATAGATTGTATGACTGTGATAATGAACATGAAGATAATGAACAGATCTATAACTCTCAGAAGTTTCCTCATGACTATCTATAATCCATTCCTTGCTTCTCATTGGGCAACTACTAATCTGCAGTCTGTCACTATAGATTAGTTAGCATTTTCTATAATTTTATATAAATGGAATTGGATCAACTAAACAATTTGTCCTTGTGAGTCCCACCAGTGAAATTTCTTAATTGTGGTGGGTCAAATTCAAATTTTATTTTTTTAGTGGTTCTACTTTTGAGAAAATTTTTATTTCACCTCTCCCAATGGATAGATGTTTATTTCAAGATACATTGCAACCTATTGTCAACACTTCAAACCTGCCAATCATTGACTTCTTGAAGGAGTGTAATTTGTTATCTATGGCTCCTAAATGTTCCTCATATCACCAACCCTTACTGTGGGTGGTACAATGCCAGTATAATAAAGACAGCTATTCATGGAAATTTGTTCACTGCAATTGCCAATCAGCATGAGTCTGTCTTTGAAAGGATTATTTTTTCACAAAATCCAGCATTTCCCTGAATAAGTGGCTTCATCTTCCCTTGTTATGGTCTATGGAAGTCACAGAGAGAGCAACTACTGCTGTTACTGGAATTTCAGTCCATACTATGGTCAGTGTCCACAATTTCTGTCACAAAGTATGCAAGCATTACTTTGAACTACATCCGATACAGCTTAGTGGTTTAGGTCATTACTTGCAAATCAGTGAGTCCTGTTTTAGCCACGAAATCAAGTGTCACTATAGCCATGCTCTGGAGAGAGAAATAATGGGCTTTTGGTATGGTGGATACACCCATCAGCCAGCTATTGGTTATTTGGAAATTTTTGGTGACTGTTCTGCCCAAACCTTGCCACCTATTTTGCAGTGCCTAGTTGAGCACAGTTCATATCATCTCTTGGCATACATACCCAAAACATCTAGTGCTATTGAAATAAATGCAAAGCAAAGTGCAAGACCATGAGAGGAATTCGTCACAATGTGTTGGACTCGTATTTGGTCGAATTTATGTGGGATGATTGACTTGGAAATAATGTTTTCAATTCCCTTTTAGCGCATGTGTCAGAACAGTCTCCTGTTAAGTAACATTATGTTTGACTTTTGTTTTTAGTATATTTTAGTATAAATATCCAGGGACAAATTTTTTGATTGAATACACCTGAGAGGCAAATTGTTCAACTCATCCATGAAAGCATACAACATACTCTTTTTTGTCTGGCATCTTGCTTTCAGCATAATTATTTGTGAGATTCATCCATTGTGTGAATCAATTATTCATTCCTTGTTATTGCTGAGTAGAATTCCATTATATGGATATACTGTGATTTGTTTGTCACTCATCTGTTGGTGCATATTTTAGGTGGTTTGTAGTTTCGGGCTTTCACAAATAACAGCATATAAGTGGATCCTGCTATTTTATCCAGTCTGACAATCTCTGCCTTAACTGGCTGTGTACTTAGAACATTTATATTTAATATGATTATTGGTATGATTGGGTTTAAATATGTTATTTGTTTTCTAATTGGCCCAACTGTACGTGTTCTTCTTTTTCTGGCACAATCATTGGCTCACTGTAGCCATGAACCCCTGGAGTCAAGCAGTCCTCCTGCCTCAGTCACCCAAGTAGCTAGGACTGTAGGCATGTGCCAACATGCCCAGCTATTTTTTTTTAATTTTTATTTTCTGTACAGATTTGAGGAAGGAAAAGGGGTATTGGAGGTTTAAGGAGAAAATGTGAATTAGTTGTCTTGGAGAGTGAGCAAACACATTACTCTGGTAAATGTGCTAAGATTGTCAGGCAGTAATGAGGCCCCACTTGATGTTTGTCACTGTGAATATAAAGACACATCAGCCAGCATGATTCTGGGTTTTTCTTCAGTCACTCTAAGTTCCCAGGTGCAGTTGCAAAATAGATGGGAAGCTTGGTTGTAAAGGGTTGGGATTTCGCCAGGACTTTGGTGTCCTTGGGAGGTAGCAACGTTTCATTTGGAGCTAGAATTTAAAGCAGACACTCAGAAGAGAAATTGGGGATATAGGCAGTTTGCTGATGACATACTGAGTTCAAGGAGGCAAAGTATAAGCTTTTCTCAAAGGTTCAGAGTAGTGGGAGACTGTCAGGTTAGAGAGTGGAAGGCATTCCATGGTGACTGAGGTAGTTAGGGGTATGGGCATGATTGGATTCCTCCTGATGGTTTCTTAGGGGAAAATGGTTATCATTTCTAATGATAATCTCTTTCTTGAGATTGATCTCATTCCTTCCATCAGCCCTACAGAGTCTGGCTGTGGCCTTCCCCATAGCTTCTATAACCTACTTCTTTTTCTGTCATTCTCCCCTCCTGTCATCCACTCTTGACTTCTTTGCTATTTCTTGAACATCCCAAATTTGTTCTTGTCTCAGTGCCTTTACCTTTACTTTTCTCTCTGCCTCTCAGCTCTACTTTTGTCTGAGTCCTTCATATCATTCAGCTCTCTCATCAGACTTCACTTCCCTAGTTAGCACTCCCACACCAGTCTCTTATTTCCTTTCTCCTTTTCTCCCTCTCCCTCCCTCCCTCTCTCTCTCTCTCCCTCTATCCCCCTCTCCCCCTCTCCCTCTCTCTCCCTCTTTCTGTTCTTTCTTCCTCTTCCTTTTCCCACAGCACTGTTCACTCCAGTTATGAGGATAGAGACTGTTCTTTTGTTCCCTACTGCTTCCCTCCTAAGACACTGCCTAGTGTGTAGTAGGTGTTCAATAAATATTTGGATGAATATAAATGGCAAACTTCCCTAATGCCTTCAAAAGATAGACTGACTTTCAAATAAATTGATATAGACTTTTCAGTAATAGATGTTGCATGAAATGGCTTTTCATCACCATCTGGTTTTCTCCAACCAGAAGAAAAAGCTTCAGACATTAACATGTAGTGGAAAGCCCGTTTATAGAAGAAACCCAGGGCTGTTCTGACATTTATTCTGAAATGAGAATATTACTTAATTCACGGACTAAACGTTCTAAAAATAATAATTTCATAGATTAATAGTTTTGGGGGGTTCTTAGAGAATATGAGAATATTTTGACTTGTGCTTTTTATTTTGTAAATCAATTTGCAGTGGTCATTCTTCATTAGATACTGTTTAAAACATGGTTTTTGCCCGTAGGGAGCTCCTTGTGTTTGCTTGGGAAATAAAACTAAACATTGGAAAAGCACAGTGGCAATACAAGATGAAAGTCAAGGCAGTGAAAAAAGTTATTCCAAGGAGGAACACAGTGCTTTATGGAATCTAACTGGTGCCGAGTGTAATTGCTGACCCAGTTCAGTTTAAAGAAGTATACTGTGCGGCCCGTGGAATGGTGTCCCTCTTTAGTTCCTTAAAAACCACTCAAGGTCTCTGGGCCCATGGTGTGGCCCTATTATAATTCATATTTTGTTTTCATTGCAGTTGTCGGACAAGTAACCGCAAGAGCTTGATTGTGACCTCTAGCACATCACCTACACTACCACGGCCACACTCACCACTCCATGGCCACACAGGTGAGTGCTTGAAGGTTAAGAAAGGTTGAATGAAAGAGTGGCCACAGATGCCCAATTTCTTTCCTACTTCTCATGTTGTGCAGTTCCGTATATTACATTGTCACTTTACTTGGCTGACTGAAGCAGACAGAGCTCATGGGCTTGCTTTCTGTACGAGAATGAGTTAGCCTGCTTTTGACTCTTAGTTGTTTCTTACCTTGTTCTCTCAACATTCCTTTTAGTCTTGTACATATCTTGGGGCCAGGTATGTGTCCTGGGTTTATGGCCTCTGTTCTAGTGTGTTCTAGTGTGTTACAGCTCCATTCGTCTTGGGTCATTTGATGAGGAGTCCACTAATATTTTGTACTACCGTGCCCAAGGATTAGGGCTCACAGAGAGGGTTTTTCGTCTAATGGGACTCCTGTTAACCTTCCTGCTCTTAGATTAGGAGATAACAAAAGCAAGAGGAGTATGTGTTTGTTTGTTTGTTTTTAAATAGAAACGAGGTCTCTCTATGTTGCCCAGGCTGGTCTTGAAATCCTAGGCTCGAGTGATCCTCCCACCTCATCCTCCAAAGTACTGGGATTATAGGTGTGAGCCACTGCACCCGGGTTGGAGTATTTGTTTCATAATGATACTGATATTACATACTGGAATTAAAGCAAATGACCTCATGGATTCAGGCTGCTCTAGCCCTGGAATATGGGCTCTTCCCGACAGTATAAGGACTGATTTACATGGCTCTGAAGAATAGATAAAAATTATGAGGCAGCTGGGCACAGTGGCTCCCGCCTGTAATCCCAGCACTTTGGGAAGCTGAGATGGGCCAATTGCTTGAGCTTAGGAGTTTGAGACCAGCCTGGGCAACATGGCAAAACCCCGTCTCTACAAAAAATACACAACTTAGCTGGACATGGTGGTGTACACATGTAGTTCCAGCTACTTGGGAGGCTGAGGTGGGAGCATCGCCTGATCACCTGAGCCCATGGAGGTTGAGATCATACCACTGCACTCCAGCCTGGGCAGCAACAGAATGAGACCCCATCTCAAAAAGAAAAAAAGAAAAGAAAAGAAATACGAGGCTTCCATTGATTCTGGCACATTGTCCTTCCCAGAGAGGGGCAGAAGAAAGACCTCATCGGAGTCAGCCATGTGCTTCTGTGTAGAAGGTATATTCTTGTATCCCAGGGGAACCAGGCCACGGGACTCAGCTTTGCTGAAAGGGCTGCAGCACTTCTGTGCAGTTCATTGCTACACTCTTTATAATGGAAGATCTAAACCTACAGTTAGTGGCAATTGACAGACTTAGAACTGTTCAGAGCTTGCTGCCTGGGCATAGAAAGCCATGGTCACTGTTGTCCTAAGCCTGGACCTTGTCTGTCTTTGGGCGTTAAAGCAGGATATCAAAGCAGTGAAATGGGTCAGCATCAAGCTGAGTAAGATGTGTATATTCTCCATGAATTTGTTTCCTTGCTCACAGTTTACTGTCTTTGGAGGGAGAAAGTGAGGGTACATGTGGAGTATTTGAGGGTCCTGAGAGTCTGGTGATTCTGAAACTGAACTTTGTCCTTGGGAGAAGGATCTCACCTTCTTTGGCTCAGATTCTCTTAGCCTAGAAGCCAGCCTTTTAGTGTGATGATGGCCCCTTTCCAAGAATCAGTAAATCTCTCAATCACAAGCTGTCACTTTAGAAGATACCACCAAGAGAACAGGGATCCCAGGGAACTGGAGACATACTTGACCTTTAAAGCAAAGCTCTCATTGTGCTTAGGTGCTTTCCTCTAAAAAAATTGACTGAAATTAGCTGGATTAGCTCAAACAGCACATCCTAGATTTTTAGAGAAACTCAGCATACATCTATCTGACCTGACCTTTTTATCATATAGGAATAAATTTAACATGTCTAGACCTTGTATATAGTTGCACAACTAATGTGAGTACTGAGCAGTAGTTACTACTGGCTGCTCTTCTCTAGATGATTATCTCTCTATTTAGATTCTCCACAGTTAGCATTTAGAACTAAATCTTCCTACTCAAGTGGATTTGATTGAGAACACCACCTGGCCTTTTCAGCCTGCCTGGATCTGTAGACTCCAGCTTTGAGTTAATGTGTGTAACATGCTTAGTACTTTACAAATGTTAGCATCTGTATTATCTCTTAGCAAATCACTGCAGAAAATCTAGGGGGCAAGAATGGACATAAAAGCCCAGTTTGTGACTGTAGACTATACTTATCCAGCTGTTGAGACAGGCAGCACTGATTGTTCCACGCAGATCCCACATGGCATTAGATTATATCCTCAAATCTTTTTTTTTATAGATAATTTTATTATACTTTAAGTTCTAGGGTACATGTGCACAACTTACAGGTTTGTTACATATGTATAGATGTGCCATGTTGGTGTGCTGCACCCATTAACTCGTCATTTACATTAGGTATATCTCCTAATGCTATCCCTCCCCCATCCCCCCACCCCACAACAGGCCCCGGTGTGTGATGTTCCCCTTCCTGTGTCCAGTGTTCTCATTGTTCAGTTCCCACCTATGAGTGAGAACATTCGGTGTTTGGTTTTTTGTCCTTGCGATAGTTTGCTGAGAATGATGGTTTCCAGCTTCATCCATGTCCCTACAAAGGACATGAACTCATCATTTTTTATGGCTGCATAGTATTCCATGGTGTATATGTGCCACATTTTCTTAATCCAGTCTATCATTGTTGGACATTTGGGTTGGTTCCAAGCCTTTGCTATTGTGAGTCATGCCGCAATAAACATACAAGTACATGTGTCTTTATAGCAGCATGATTTATAGTCCTTTGGGTATATACCCAGTAATGGGATGGCTGGGTCAAATGGTATTTCTAGTTCTAGATCCCTGAGGAATCGCCACACTGACTTCCACAATGGTTGAACTAGTTTACAGTCCCACCAACAGTGTAAAAGTGTTCCTATTTCTCCACATCCTCTCCAGCACCTGTTGTTTCCTGACTTTTTAATGATCGCCATTCTAACTGGTGCAAGATGATATCTCATTGTGGTTTTGATTTGCATTTCTCTGATGGCCAGTGATGATGAGCATTTTTTCATGTGTCTGTTGGCTGCATAAATGTCTTCTTTTGAGAAGTGTCTGTTCATATCCTTCGCCCACTTTGTGATGGGGTTGTTTGTTTTTTTCTTGTAAATTTGTTTGAGTTCTTTGTAGATTCTGGATATTAACCCTTTGTCAGATGAGTAGATTGCAAAAATTTTCTCCCATTCTATAGGTTGCCTGTTCACTCTGATGGTGATTTCTTTTTCTGTGCAGAAGCTCTTTAGTTTAATTAGATCCCATTTGTCAATTTTGGCTTTTGTTGCCATTGCTTTTAGACATGAAGTCCTTGCTCATGCCTATGTCCTGAATGGTATTGCCTAGGTTTTCTTCTAGGGTTTTTATGGTTTTAGGTCTAACATTTAAGTCTTTAATCCATCTTGAATTAATTTTTGTATACGGTGTAAGGAAGGGATCCAGTTTCAGCTTTCTACATATGGCTAGCCAGTTTTCCCAGCACCATTTGTTAAATAGGGAATCTTTTCCCCATTTCTTGTTTTTGTCAGGTTTGTCAAAGATCAGATGGTTGTAGATGTGTGGTATTATTTCTGAGGGCTCTGTTCTGTTCCATTGGTCGATATCTCTGTTTTGGTACCAGTACCATGCTGTTTTGGTTACTGTAGCCTTGTAGTATAGTTTGAAGTCAGATAGCCTGATGCCTCCAGCTTTGTTCTTTTGGCTTAGGATTGTCTTGGCAATGCGGGCTCTTTTTTGGTTCCATATGAACTTTAAAGTAGTTTTTTCCAATTCTGTGAAGAAAGTCCCTGGTAGCTTGATGGGGGTGGCATTGAATCTATAAATTACCTTGGGCAGTATGGCCATTTTCACGATATTGATTCTTCTATCCATGAGCATGGAATGTTTTTCCATTTGTTTGTGTCCTCTTTTATTTCATTGAGCAGTGGTTTATAGTTTTCCTTGAAGAGGTCCTTCACATCCCTTGTAAGTTGGATTCCTTGGTATTATATTCTCTTTGAAGCAATTGTGAATGGGAGTTCACTCATGATTTGGCTCTCTGTTTGTCTGTTATTGATGTATAAGAATGCTTGTGGTTTTTGCACATTGATTTTGTTTCCTGAGACTGCTGAAGTTGCCTATCAGCTTAAGGAGATTTTGGGCTGAGACAATGGGGTTTTCTAGATATACAATCATGTCATCTGCAAACAGGGACAATTTGACTTCCTCTTTTCCTAATTGAATATCCTTTATTTCTTTTTCCTGCCTGATTGCCCTGGCCAGAACTTCCAACACTATGTTGAATAGGAGTGGTGAGAGAGGGCATCCCTGTCTTGTGTCAGTTTTCAAAGGGAATGCTTCCAGTTTTTGCCCATTCAAAACTGGCTGTGGGTTTGTCATAATTTATTGAGAGTTTTTAGCATGAAGTGCTGTTGAATTTTGTCGAAGGCCTTTTCTGCATCTATTGAGATAATCATGTGGTTTTTGTCTTTGGTTCTGTTTATATGCTGGATTACGTTTATTGATTTGCGTATGTTGAACCAGCCTTGCATCCCAGGGTTGAAGCCCACTTGATCATGGTGGATAAGCTGTTTGATGTGCTGCTGGATTCAGTTTGCCAGTATTTTATTGAGGATTTTTGCATTGATGTTTATCAGGGATATTGGTCTAAAATTCTCTTTTTTTGTTGTGTCTCTGCCAGTCTTTTGTATCAGGATGATGCCGGCCTCATAAAATGAGTTAGGGAGGATTCCGTCTTTTTCTATTGATTGGAATAGTTTCAGAAGGAATAGTACCAGCTCCTTCTTGTACCTCTGGTAGAATTCAGCTGTGGATCCATCTGGTCCTGGACTTTTTTTGGTTGGTAAGCTATTAATTAGTGCCTCAATTTCAGAGCCTGTCATTGGTCTATTAAGAGATTCAACTTCCTCCTGGTTTAGTCTTGGGAGGGGGTATGTGTCGAGGAATTTATCCATTTCTTCTAGATTTTCTAGTTCATTTGCATAGAGGTGTTTGTAGTATTCTCTGATGGTAGTTTGTATTTCTGTGGGATCGGTGGTGATAACCCCTTTATCATTTTTTATTGTGTCTATTTGATTCTTCTCTCTTTTCTTCTTTATTAGTCTTGCTAGCAGTCTATCAATTTTGTTGATCTTTTCAAAAAACCAGCTCCTGGATTCACTGATTTTTTTGAAGGGTTTTTTTGTGTCTCTATCTCCTTCAGTTCTGCTCTGATCTTAGTTATTTCTTGCCTTTTGCTAGCTTTTGAATGTGTTTGCTCTTGCTTTTCTAGTTCTTTTAATTGTGATGTTAGGGTGTCAACTTTAGATCTTTCCTGCTTTCTCTTGTGGGCATTTAGTGCTATAAATTTCCCTCTACGTACTGCTTTAAATATGTCCCAGAGATTCTGGTATGTTGTGTCTTTGTTCTCGTTGGTTTCAAAGAACATCTTTATTTCTGCCTTCATTTCGTTATGTACCCAGTAGTCATTCAGGAGCAGGTTGTTCAGTTTCCATGTAGTTGGGCGATTTTGAGTGAGTTTCTTAATCCTGAGTTCTAGTTTGATTGCACTGTGGTGTGAGAGACAGTTTGTTACAATTTCTGTTCTTTTACATTTGCTGAGGAGTGCTTTACTTCCAACTATGTGGTCAATTTTGGAATAGGTGCGGTGTGGTGCTGGGAAGAATGTATATTCTGTTGATTTGGGGTGGAGAGTTCTGTAGATGTCTATTAGGTCCACTTGGTGCAGAGCTGAATTCATTTCCTGGATATCCTTGTTAACTTTCTGTCTCGCTGATCTGTCTAATGTTGACAGTGGGGTGTTAAAGTCTCCCATTATTATTGTGTGGGAGTCTAAGTCTCTTTGTAAGTCTCTAAGTTAAGGCCTTGCTTTATGAATCTGGGTGCTCCTGTATTGGGTGCACATATATTTAGGATAGTTAGCTCTTCTTGTTGAATTGATCCCTTTACCATTATGTAATGGCCTTCTTTGTCTCTCTTGATCTTTGTTGGTTTAAAGTCTGTTTTATCAGAGACTAGGATTGCAACCCCTGCCTTTCTTTGTTTTCCATTTGCTTGGTAGATCTTCCTCCATCCCTTTATTTTGAGCCTATGTGTGTATTCAGTATTAAATATCTACTACATAAGTAGGTTACAGTGTCAGTAATGTCAGTTCAGTAGGTACATACCCAGCCATTCGAGAAATGGAAACTCCCTACCTTATTTTTTTTTTAATTATTTCTTAGAGTAGTTTTAGGTTCACAGCAAAATTGAGGAAGATACTGAGATAAACCATATACCCCCTGCCCTCACCTATATATAGGCTCCCCATTATCAGCTCCCTACCAGAGTGCTACATTTGTTACAGTTGATGAGCCTACACTGACACATCACCCAGGCACTAGTTTACATTAAGATTCACTGTTAGTGGTATACATTTTGTGTGTCTGGGCAACATTATCATTTACCATTATAGTATCATACAGTCTTTTCACTGTCCTAAAAATTATCTGTGCTCTGCCTATTTATTTCTTTCTCCCCTTAACTCCTGGCATCCAGTAATCTTTTGACTGTCTCCACAGTTTTGCCTTTTCCAGAATGTCATATAGTTGGAATCATACAATAGCCTTTTCAGACTGGCTTCTTTCACTTAGTAATACGTACTGAAGTTTCCTCCATGTCTTTCCATGGCTTGATAGCTCATTTCTTTCTGAATAATATCCTGTTGTCTGGTTATACCACGGTTTATTTTTATCCACTCACCTACTGAAGGGCATCTTGGTTGCTTCTAAGTTTTGGCAATTGTGAAAAAGCCGCTATAAACATCTGTGTATAGGTTTTTGGGTAGACGTTAATTTTTAACTTATTTGGGTAAATAAGGAGCACAATTGCTATATTGAATGGTAAGAGTGTATTTGATTTTGTAAAAAAAAAAAAAAAAAAAACTCTTCAAGCTGGGCGTGGTGGCTCACGCCTGTAATCCCACACTTTGGGAGGCCAAGGTGGGCAGATCACTTAAAGTCAGGAGTTCAAGACAAGCCGGGCCAACATGGTGAAATGTCGTCTCTACTAAAAATAGCCAGACATGGTGGTGTGCACCTGTAATCCCAGGTACTTGGGAGGCTGACGCAGGAGAATCGCTTGAACCAGGGAGGTGGAGGTTGCAGTGAGCCAAGATTGTGCCACTGCACTCCAGCCTGGGCAAAAGAGTGAGACTCTGTCTCAGAAAAAGAAAAAGAAAAACTCCCAGGCCGCCTTCCAAAGGGGTGGTACCATTTTACATTCCCACCAGCAGTAAATGAATAGCTCCTGTTGCATCATATCCTTGCCAGCATTTGGTGGTGTCAGTGTGTGGATCTGGGTCTTTTTTTTTTTTTTTTTTTTTTTAAGGCAGGGTCTCACGCCATCATTCAGGTTGGAGTATGGTGGCACAGTCACAGCTCAATACAGCCTTGAGCTCTTAGGCTCCCAGATTTTGGCTATTCTAATCTATGCGTAGTTGTATCTCATTTAATTTTCAATTCCTGGCGGAGCACGATGGCTCACACTTGTAATCCCAGCACTTTGGGGAGGCCCAGGCAGGCTTTTTTTTTTGAGAGAGAGTCTCACTCTGTCACCCAGGCTGGAGTGCAGTGATGCGATCTTGGGTCACTGCAACCTCCACCTCCCAGGTTCAAGCGATTCTCCTGCCTCATCCTCCCGAGTAGCTGGGACTACAGGTGTGTGCCACCACACCCAACTAATTCTGTATTTTTAGTAGAGATGACGTTTCATGTTGGCCAGGCTGGTCTTGAACTCCTGACCACAAGTGATCTGCCTGGCTCAGCCTACCAAAGTGCTAGGATTACAGGCGTGAGTCACTGCACCTGGCCTTGCATATAACTTTTGACTGCCCCGAAATTTAACTACTAATAGCCTGCTGTTGACCAGAAGCCTTACTGATAACATAGTTAATTAACACATAATTTGTATGTTTTATGTATTATATACGATACTCATAACAAAATAAGCTAGAGAAAAGAAAATTTGTTAAGAAAATCACTGGAAGAGAAAATATACTTACTGTTCATTAATTGGAAGTGTATCATCATAAAGGTCTTCGCCTCATCATCTTCACATTGAGTAGGCTGAGGAAGATTAAGGATTAGTCTTGCTATGTCAGGAGTGGCAGAGGCAGAAGAGGTGGAGGAGGTGGAAAGGGATGCAGGAGTGGCAGGCATACAACTTTTACTGAAAAAATTTGTGTATAAGTGAACCCGTACAGTTCAAACCTGTGTTGTTCAAAGGTCCACTGTAATCCAAATCAACCTTCAAATACCACTATACCACTTTGCCTTATGATGGCAAAATACACCTAAATCCTCTCTTCAGTACCTTGTAATTTTGCTGTCATTCATTTCACTTATATATAAGCACATGTGTGTACGTGTGTGCATAATGTATGTAAAAGCATACCTAATCACATACATTGTTGCTGTTACAGATTAAGCACCCCCAGTCCAAAAATCTGAAATCCAAAATGCAAAACTTTTTAAGCACCAACATGAACCTCACAGGAAATGCTTGTTGGAGCCTTTTAGATTTTGGGCTTTCAGATTTGGGATGTTCAGCTGGTTAGTATAATGCAAATATTTCAAAATCAGAAAACAAATTTGAAATTTAAAACACTTCTGGTCTGATAAGGGATACTTATCCTATATTATGTTGAACAGACTTATCTATTAGACAAATTAAGAATAAGAAAAACAAGTTTTTAGTTTACCTTCATCACTTCTCCAGTGTGCTTGCTTGTTTCATGTAGAGTTCACTTTCTCCCCTATATAATTTTCTCTCTGAACAACTTCTTTTAACATTTCTTGCAAGGCAGATCTACTGCTATAGAATCCCCCATTTTTTGTTAGGGAAAATCTTTATTTCTTCTTCACCTTTGAAGTATAATTTCACAGGGTACAGAATTTTAGGTTGCTTGCTTGGTTTTTTTGTTGTTTTTTTTTTTTGTCTCTCAACAGTTTTAATATTTCACTCCACTATCTTCTTGCTTGTGCGGTTTGTGAGAAGTTGGATGTAATTCTTGTCTTCGCTCCTCTGAAGATAAGGTGTTTTTTCCCTCTGGCTTCTTTCAGATTTTTGTGTACCTTTGGTTTTCTATAGTTTGAGTATGATATGTCTAAGTGCAGTTTTTTTCTGAATTTATCCTGCTTGGTATTTTCTGAGTTTCCTGAATTTATGGCTTTGTGTCTGACTTTAATTTGGGGAAATTTTATGTCATTATTGCTTCAAATAATTCCCTTCCTTTCTCTCTTTTTCTTCTTGTATTACTGCTGCATACGTATCACACCTTTTGTAATTGTCTCACAGTTCTCGGATGTTCTGGTGTTGGTTTTTTTTTTTTCGGTCCTTTTTTCTTTGCTTTTTAGTTTTGGAAGTTTCTGTTATCATATCCTCAAGATCAAAGATTATTTCCCCAGCAGTGTTCAGTCTATTAATGAGCCCATCAAAGGCATTCTTCAGTTCTGTTACAGTGATCTTTAACATTTTCTTTTGATTCTTCCTTAGAATTTCTATTTATATTATCCATCTGTTCTTGCGTGTTGTCTACTTTTCCCATTAAAGTGCTTAGCATAATTAATCATCGTTTTGAAAAATTCCTAGTCTGATCATTGCAACATTCCTGTCATATCTGACTCTGGTTCTGATGCTTTTTCTGTCTCCTCAAACTATTTTTTGCTTTTTAGTGAGCTTTGTAATTTTTTTGTTAAAAGGTGGACGAGATGAACTGAGTAAAAGTAGCTGTGATAAATAGGCCTTTAGTAATGTATTGGTAAGGTGTAGGGGAGGAGAAGTGTTCCATAGCAGGGATCCGCAACCCCTGGGCCACGGACCGGTACTTCTCATGGCCTGTTAGAAACCAGGCCACACAGTAGGAGGTAAGCGTCAGACAATCAAGTGAAGCTACATTTGTATTTACAGCCGCTCCTTATCACTCACATTACCGCCTGAGCTCTGCCTCCTGTCAGATCAGCTGCAGCATTTAGATTCTCATAGGACCATGAACCCTGTTGTGAACTGTGCATACAAGGGATCTAGGTTGCACACTTCTTATTAGAATCTAATGCCTGATGATCTGTCACTGTCTCCCATGACCCCCAGATAGGACCATCTAGTTGCAGGAAAACAAGTTCAGGGCTCCCACTGATTCTATATTATGGTGAGCTGTATAATTATTTCATTATACATCACAGTGTAATAATAATAGAAACAAAGTACACAATAAATGTAATGTGCTTGAATTATCCTGTAAACCCCTTGCCTCCCCACTTCCTGGTCCATGGAAAAATTATCTGCCATGAAAACAGTCCCTGGTGCCAAAAAGGTTGGGGAATGCTGTTCTATAGTCTTGTGACTAGGTCTCAGTCTTTTGATGAGCCTTTGTCCCTGGACTGTGAACTTCTCCAGTGCTTCTCAGTATTTCCCCCACACCATAGCTGGGACAGGATGGTTCTTGGCTGCTGGAATTGGGTATTTCTTCCCCCAAGTAGAGCTGGCATTGATGAAATCCCAGCAAGTTAGATGCAAACAAAATAGTTTCTCCCAAGGACAGGCTTGTTAAGAACAGAATGCTCCGGCGCGTATCAAAACAGTTCCTTTTCCCTCCTCCTGCTGGAATCATGAGATTTTCTTCAGTAATCACTGTGAGGATCCAGTAAGGCTCCTTTGGATAAAACTTACAAAAATTTGGGAGCCCCCCCATGACTAGATCCCCCTGGAGTTTTTAACTCTCAGCATAATCCACACTGAGCTTCCAGCAATTCCTCAGTTACAGTTCAGGTCTTCCTGCCCTGGCACTGGTTGCTATGGAGGTTTCTGCTTAAGAATTTCTGCTCCTGCCGGGCACGGTGGCTCACACTTGTAATCCCAGCACTTTGGGAGGCCAAGGCAGGCGGATCACGAGGTCAGGAGTTCGAGACCATCCTGGCTAATATGGTGAAACCCTGTCTCTACTAAAAATACAAAAAAAAAATTAGCTGGGTGTGGTGGCAGCTGCCTGTAGTCCCAGCTACTCAGGAGGCTGAGGCGGGAGAACGGCTTGAACCCAGGAGGCAGAGCTTGCAGTGAGCCCAGATCGCACCACTGCACTCCAGCCTGGGCAACAGAGGAAGACTCTGTCTCAAAAAAAAAAAAAAAAAAAAAAGAATTTCTGCTCTGGTAAGTTGTACCTCACTGTGTCTGCTGTCTGTCTGTCCAGTTTTGGGGGCAGTGGTTCATCCTGTGATGTCACTTCGCTGACAGACTAAGAAGTGTTTTTTTTTTTTTTTTTCTCCTCCAGTTTGTTCAGCTTTTTACTTGTTAAAACAGAGTGGCAACTCCTAAGCTCTTTACATGCCAGGCCAGAACTGGAAGTCAGTTTATTTATTTTTATAACTTGTAGAGTATTTCATTGTATAACTGTACCACAATGTATTCATTTTCTTATTGGTGAATATTGCATCAGTCTAGGCCCAATCAGGAGACAGATAACAGACAAGCGATTTTAAAAAGTTTTAATAAAAGTAATACAAACTATGACAATAAGAGCCTAACTTCCATAGGCTACCATAGAGCTGAAGGAGAGTTCTCAAGGAAGAACTAACTTGGAAGGAGGATTCTCTAGGCTGGATTCAGGACTTGTTGTAGTTGCAGCCCACTGGATGTAGTTGCAGCCCACTGGATGGCAGAGATGTTTTCTGGTTTGCCCAGACCAAAGCTGGTCCACAGTTACTCAGCAATCAGGGAATAGCCCTCTGGAGCACAGGTGAGTCTCAGCCAGTGGTCAGGCCTAGAGAGAGAAAGTAGAGGTGCTGCTGTGAGCACTTTGTGTCCTCAGGAAGGACGTGAAAGACAAATCCTGGGGGTCGGGGTGTTGAGCAAGCAAACAGAGAGAGTCAGTGGGGACAGGCCTGGAGCACACAGTATCTTTGTAGGTAAGGCTGTGGAAAGGTGTCTGTGTGATTGGGGCAGAGCAACCCACATATCCACGTTCCCACACCACTGACTGATAATGCAGTTGCTAGAATTAGCACCAAGAGCCTGTTCTTTCTGCAGTGTGCCTCCAATACCCTCTACTGAGAAAGTTTAACATCATGCTCACTGTAGAGGATAGATGATGCTTAAAGGAATTCTCTTCTTTATCTCAGAGCAGGTATTGAAGGATTAATTTGAAGCTTAGTGGCATTAAATTGATAACCAGCATAGACATTTAGATTGTTTATACTTTTCCACTATTATAGTCATCAATGCTACAGAAACATCCTTCTTCATATTCTTTTTGTATATATGTACACAGACTTTTTCTGGCATATATATGGAGGCATGGAATTGATAAGTCTTGGAATAAACTGTATAAATTTTTAGGAGTAGGATCAATAGGTCAGGAGGCATGCATATTTTAATGTTGTTTGTTACATATCATCTAATTGATTTTACATGAGTATTCTGGAACTAAGAGTGTGCCTTCCATAAAAGCATTCAGTCCCTATCATTCAAGGTCAAGCTCAAGCCCTAGTGTCAAGCAGGAAGATCCAGCTGCCAATTCCAGGTGAGGACTCCTGCTGCATGGAAGATGACTAAGATCGTAATAATGCCAGCCGTCAGTAGGAGTCCACAGACCTCGGCCCACTGCATCTTCTTTGGGTTTGAAGCTGTCAAGGAGGACTCAACATTCAGCACACTGGTTGGAACAGCATTTCACTCACAGAAAGGACAGATACAACAAGATCAGAGTCTGTGATGTGCACCAGTGGCAAAGATCCCATTCCATCCTGTGGTGGGCAGATACACTGGTGGGGCTGGCCGTGTGCCACATGCCACACACACTTAAGCAATACAAAGAAGTTTACTCCATACCCAGAAGAGGGGAAAAGTTTCTGCTAATAAGGAAGAAGAATCTGTGGCCAAGTGACAGCTTGCCACACAGCTTCCTTATGAGGGAAAGTTTTAGACCCAGGCCACTAATTGGGTAGTCTTGGAGAGGGGTGGCAGGTCATGTGACGGCTACATCCCTTACAGCCAGTAATCCATCCCTCTTTACTCCCTGACACGTATAGACTCCTCACCTCTATCTGCATTGAATCTATTTGGGCTAATTTCATTATCCCTTACTCCTGTTTATGCCCATTGCCACAGGAACCCTCAGGTTACCCGCACCCCATCATCTACATGCTTAATTCATCTAAACCTCTGAACATTCCCTGCTCTGTCTTATCCCTCCCTGACTCTGGAAACCCTTCCAGTGTACCTTTTGGAATTCCAGTTCTTTATCAGCAAGATCTGTCTCGTAATCTGTTCTCTAAACATTCTTTCTTCTTCCTGTTCTAGTGGAATCATAGGGGAAGAGGGAGAGCTTAGAACACTGATTATCTGCAGACTACTCAAGTGTTAACCCTTTTCTCATAATCTCAAAGCATTGGGTCTAGTAGTAAGGGTAGATGTCCTCTGTTTTTTCATTATTTTCACTGTCTTCTCCCTAATCTCCCCAAACTTAGAATCTTACATATCATTAATTTGTATCATTTAGTACCTATCATTGCAGCTGTAAAACTCTTCATACATTGCAATTGTAAAAATTTTAGCTCTTGACTCCAATTACTCTCTTCAGTTCTACTCCTGTATTATTCTTTTTTTCAGTCTGTTTGTGAGCTGTAATGTGTTATTCTTGGTGGTTTCGATACACCCGTAGTTGATAACTCCAGTTCTTAAGACTTTCTGTTCTTTGAACTCCTGTCTTCCAGTGAACCTCTCCACTACCCTACCTCAATCACTTATGCCCTAGATCTGTACTTTAGACCTTGTCTCCATAATTTCAGTTTCCTTCTTCCTGCTCTCTGAGCACCACCTCTAATCTTTCTATAGCTTGTGTCATCTAGAAACCCCACCTTTGAAAAACAGTCATTTGATCCTGGGACCTTTAATCCTTGGGAACCTTCGATAACTATATTGAGATGTCTTCCAGACATCTGTGTGAATAATTCAGTATGTTTGTCTTGATTTCAAGGAAAAAATAGGGCTAGAGATACAAATGTTGGACTTTCACCATATAAAAAGATCTTAAATCTGTGTGTCTAGATGTCATCACCTAGGGAGTGAACATAGACAGAAAGGACTAAAGGTACAAGGACTGAACCCTGGGACATTCCAGTTTTCAGAGACCAAAAGAATGAGGAGAGACCCAAAAGGAAAGAGGAAAACTTAGAATATATAGTGTCCTGGAAACCACATAAAAAGAGTATTTCAGAAATAGCATGTGATCACCTGAGCCAAATGATATAGACAGATCAAGTGACATGAAGTCTGAGTATTGCCAGTGGGATGTAGCAATGTAATGTCAGTGTTGACATTGATTAGCTGTTTTGATGGAATGGTGGGGGCAAAACCTAATTGGTGAGTCAAGAAAGAAAGGGAAAAAGAAAATGGAGATAATAACTAAATAATTTGTCAAGGAGTTTTGCTGTTAGAGCAGAAATGAAATGCAAAGATGGGTAGAGAGATCAAGAGAGTTTTCTTATTTGAAAAAAGTAACAGTGTCTATGTACATACACTGATGGAAGTGATTCAACAGCAAGAGAAGATCTGATAATGCAAGAGAAAGGAGAATGGCTGGCACAGTGTCCTTCTATAGTTGAGAGGGGATGGGATCTAGTAAATAAGCAGTAGGTTAGCCTAGCTAGGAGCACAAACAGTCCTTCTCTAGGAATAGGGGAGGATGTGGGGAATACAGTGCAGATTATGGCTGGGTAGATGTGGTAAAGATAGCTTATTGAAGTTCTTCTCTGATTAGTTGAGGCCAGGTGCTGTGGCTCACGCCTGTAATCCCCACACTTCAGGAGGCCAAGGCGGGAGATCATGTCAGCCCAGTAGTTTGAGACCAGCCTAGGCAACATGGTGAAACCCCATCTCTACAAATGATACAAAAATTAGCTGGGCATGGTGTTGCATACCTGTAGTTCCAGCTACTTGGGAGGCTGAGGTGGGAGGATCATCTGAGTCTGAGGAGTTCGAGGCTGCAGTGAGCTGTGATTGCACGGAACTGTGATTGTGATTTTGAGAAAGAGCAAGACCCTGTCTCAAAAAAATATTTTTTTCTCACTAAAATGGAAAGTGAGGTGATTAGCTGAGCCTGAAGAGAGAGGATAAAGTATGATACAGTCTTTTAAAAGGATGGGAGAAAGAGTACACTAAGAAGTATGGTCTGATTTCCAGTAGTATGAAGAGCCAAAGTTAGTGATCATACACATAAAGTGAGACTAGTCAGCTTTTCTATATGACTTTCTGAAACTTCTCAGGCTAGGATTTTGGAAAGATTGTGTGAAGATACTGAAATTACTCCTGACAGAAGGCATGATAAAAAGAATGTGAGTGATACAGGAATAAAATCCTTAAAGAGTGAAGGGGATTTCCCAAAGGTTTGTATGTGACTTTTAGCAAGGAGGAGTAATGGTTGTTGTAGTCTGATGACATCATTTCAAACCTGGGTGTTTTTATGGAGAACAGAGGGAGAATGCCTGAAGATGAAATGAGCCAGCAGGATGTCTACCCCACCTCTAGGTCTAGTGGTACAAAGGGCATGTGAAATCCAACAGCCATCATTTGAGAGAGCTGCCAAGGAAGCTGCATCCACAGGGGACAGTCAAGTTGCAACCTGTTCAGGGTATGTTAAGGGCTGTACTAAATGTGTGTCCAGGGTGCTTGGGAGTACAAAAGTAAAGATTTGTAACCCAAGCTAGTCATTAAGCAAGGTGTTCTTTTTGGAGGTAGCTCATTGAATGAGGTAGAAAGCTCATTCTAAGATCCGTATGAAATAGAATTATATGATTAGGAAATTAACAGTCCACAGCATTATAGTTGCCTGGATACGATGGCTCACTCCTGTAATTCCAACACTTTGGGAGGCCAAGGTGGGAGGATCACTTGAGGTCAGGAGTTTGAGACTAGCCTAGGCAATATAGTGAGTCCCTGTCTCTCCAAAAAAAAAAAAAAAAAAAAAAAAAAGCCAGGTGTGGTAATACACACTTGTAGTCCCAGCTGCTCAGTAGGCTGAGGTGGGAGGGAGGATCGCTTGAGTACAGGAAGTCACGGCTGCAGTAAGCCGCGGTCACGCCACTGCACTGCTCTCCAGCCTGTGAAACAGAGCAAGACTCTGTCTCAAAAAAAAAAAAAAAACACAGACCATAAAAAAGTACAGATCGTTTGTTACTAGATTATAAACTGCTAATCAAATATGGATGGGTAGGCAGAAAGTCACGGAGGGCTATATGCAGTGCTAAAGGGATGAGGTATGAGGAGTCCATGGCATGGACTCTTTTTTACCTAAGATCCATGGACCCTGAGTGGTTTTACAAGTGCCATAAATCCCCTAAAATTATATTCCCAATTTTGTATATATGTTCATTTTCTTGTGGAGGCAAGATTTGCCAAAGGTGGTTTTTTAATCTAAAAACTGAATACTTTTTTTTTTTTTTTGAAACAGAATCTCTCTCTGTTGCCCAGGCTGGAGTGCAGTGGTGCAATTTCGGCTCACCGCAACCTCCACCTCCTGGGTTCAAGTGATTCTTGTGCCTTAGCCTCCCAAGTAGCTGGGACTGCAGGTGTGCACCACCACACCCAGCAAATTTTTTTTTATTTTTAGTAGAGACGGGGTATCACCATGTTGGCCAGGCTGCTTTTGAACTCCTGACCTCAGGTGATCCGCCCACCTCAGCCTCCCAAATTGCTGGGATTACAGGTGTGAGCCACCACACCCGGGGAAAACTAAATACTCTTTAAGGCTTGAAGAGGCAAAGTGGTCCGGGCACAGTGAGTCACACTTGTAATCCCAACACTTTGGGAGGCTGAGGTGGGCAGATCACTTGAGGTTAGGAGGTGGAGACCAGCCTGGTCGACATGATAAAACCCCATCTCTATTAAAAATACAAAAATTATCCAGGCATAGTGGCACATGCCTGTAATCCCAGCTACTCAGGGGCCACAACATGTGAGAAGAATGCAAGGAAAACTCTGGAAACATTAAAATCACATTGTTCTAGTGGTGATTACCTGTGGAAAAAAGTAAAAAAGCAGCTTTAACTTTTTATTCAATTTGCTACGGTTTTTGGCCATAAGAATTTGTGAATTGTACGATAAAAATGTTAAAATAAAAGTTATTAACAGAGGGCAGTGCTGGCAGTTGGAAGACCAGTTAAGAGGCCATTGCCATTATCAAGATGTTAGGGGAATGTTTGAAATAAAGAAAATATATGACTATGAGAAAAATGTAAGAGATTAAATCAGTGGCATGTGGATTGATTGTCTTCAGATTCCCTGAGTGATTAATGCCATGTGTTGATACCCTTAACTTAGATAAGGAATACTAATAGGAAGAGAAGAGTTAGGGGGAGGAAGACGAACCCAGGATCAAATTTACACGTATTCAGACACTTGATTTATGACAAAAGTGGCACTATAGAGCTGTAGGCAAAATCCATTGGATGTTTGTATAGAGAAATTGGAAAACGTGGCTCTTCACAAGAAAATCAATTCCAGGTGAATTATAATTTTAAATGTGAAAGGTAATACAGTAAAACTTTTAGAAGGTGTACAGAAGAAAATCTGCATGGCCTTAAAATAGGGAAATTTTTTAAAAACAGGATATAAAGGATAAGATTCCTAAATTTGACTACATTTAAAATGAAGAATTTCACCGGGCACGTGGCTCATGCCTGTATTCCCAGCACTTTGGGAGGCCAAGGCGGGTGGATCACCTGAGGTCAGGAGTTCGAGACCAGCCTGGCTGACATGGTGAAACCCGGTCTCTACTAAAAATACAAAAATTAGCCAGGCGTGCTGGCGGGCGCCTATAATCCCAGCTACTCAGGAGGCTGAGGCAGGAGAATGGGTTGAACCCGGGAGGTGGAGGTTGCAATGAGCCGAGGTGGCGCCATTGCATTCCAGCTTGGGCGACAAGAGGGAAACTCTATCTCAAACAAACAAACAAACAAACAAACAAAAAGGCCGGGTGCAGTGGCTCACGCCTGTAATCCCAGCACTTTGGGAGGCCGAGGCGGGCGGATCACAAGGTCAAGAGATCGAGACCATCCTGGCTAAGACGGTGAAACCCCGTCTCTACTAAAAGTACAAAAAAATTAGCCAAGCATGGTGGCATGTGTCTGTAATCCCAGCTACTCGGGAGGCTGAGGCAGGAGAATCGCTTGAACCCAGGAGGCGGAGGTTGCAGTGAGTCAAGATCGCGCCACTACACTCTAGCCTGAGTGACAGAGCAAGACTCTTGTCTCAAAAAAAAAAAAAAAAGTTCTGGTTATCAAAAGATACTATGAAAAGAGTGAAACGAGAAGCCACAAGGTGCGAGAAGATAATGTGACACATAAAAGTAACAAAGGACTTGGGTTCAGAATATATAAAGAACTCCTGGGGCCAGCACAGGTGGCTCCTATAATCCTAGCACTGCGGGAGCCTTAGGTGGGCGGATCACTTGAGCCGAGGAGTTCGAGACCAGCCTGGGCAACATAGTGAAACCCTATCTCTTATATTTAAAAAACAAAAACAAAAACCACACAAAAAAACCTGTACATCAATAAAATAAAAAGATAGTATGATTGAAAAATGGCCAAGGGACTTGGACAGTTCACACAAAAGAGATCCAAGTGGTCAATAAATGCATGAAAAGATAATTTACTCTCATTAGTAATTATGAAAATGCAAAAGAAGCTGGGTGCGGTGGCTCACGCCTGTAATGCCAACCTTTTGGGAGACCGAGGTGGGCAGATCACTTGAGGCCAGAAGTTCAAGACCAGCCTGGCCAACAGGGCAAAACCTTGTCCGTACTAAAAATACAAAAAAATTAGCTGGGCATGGTGGCGCACACCTGTAATCCCAGCTACTCAGGAGGCCGAGGCAAAAGAATTACTTCAACCTGGGAGGCAGAGGTTGCAGTGAGCAAAGATCACGGCACTGCACTCCAGCCTGGGCAACAGAGCGAGACTCTGTCTCAAAAAAGAAAGAAAGAAAATGCAAAATAAAATCACAAAAAGATATTATATGACCAATAATGGCTTAAAGAGTGACAAAACCAAGTATAGATGAGTATGTGAAACAGTAGGAATCCATAAGTGCTGCTGGTGAGTGTATAAATTAATACAACTATTTTGCAAAACAGCTTGGTGTTTTCTTACGTAAAGTACAGAAACAAGCAAACTAGAACACAAACGGACACATATTATATAATCTCATTTCTATGAAATGTCCAGGATACACAATTTCATAGAGGCAGAAAGTAGATTAGTAGTAGCCAGGGGCTCGTGTAGATGGAAATGAAGAGTGACTGCTAACACTCGAGTAGAGGGAAATGAAGAGTGACTGCTAACAGGTATAGATTCATTTTTGGGCGATAAAAATGTTCTGGAATTATATAATGGTTATGATTGCATAGCTTTGTGAATATACTAAAAACCTCTAAACTGCACACTTAAGGGTAAATGTTACATGAAAGTTATATCTCACTTTTAAAATTGTATGAGAGAAAAACTAGAGTGTTTAGAGTTGCATATTTAGTTGGTAAAGCTATAAGGAAATGATTATCATAATATTGACTTTAGATGGGGTAAAGGGAGGGGTTTTGATCAGGAGGGATTATGTGGAGGGATTTTGGAAGATGGCATTGTTAAACCTAGATGGTGTTTACACAGGTGCTTGCTATATAATTATATTCCTTTATAACTAGTTAAACTGTATAAATGAAGCAGCTGATTCAAGGTCAACTGACTGCTCCCAGTTTTGTTTATAACTTGTTTCTCTGGGATGAATCATCACTTACCTTTGAACTGTCTCCTCCAGCTGCTAAAATCGATTCTTAAAGTGGAAAAAGCCTGCTTGCTAGGCTGCTAGATTTTCTGTCAGATTTTTTGTTTTTTTTTTTTTTTTTTGGTCCCATTGAGCCAGTTATTGCCATCCTTAAGGAAGGATTCTTCTCAATAATGTCATTTTTTCTGGAGCTAGAACCGTGAATGTAAGTCATTAATAACAATCAGCTTAGCTGGGCACAGTGACTCACACCTGTAATGTCAACACCTGGGGAAGCCAAGGTAGGGGAATTGCTTGAGACCAGCCTGGACAACATAGTGAGACCCCCATCTCTTCCAAAAATTAAAAAATTATCTGGCTTTTCCACTTTATGATGGCTTACACCTGTAGCTCCTGCTCCTCAGGAGGCTGAGGTGGGAGGATCATTTAAGCCCAGGAGTTTTGAGGCTGCAATGAGCTATGCCTGCACCACTGCACTCCTGGGTGACAGAATAAGACCCTACCTGAAACCAAAACAAACAAAAAAAAGTAGCTATAAAAAAGAATGAAATCACTGATGCAGCTGGAGGCTATTGTCCTAAGTTAATTAAGGCAGGAACAGAAAATAAAATACTGCATGTTCTCCCTTATATGTGGGAGCTAAACAGCGGGTTACTCATGGCCATAAAGATGGCAACAGGCCAGGTGCAATGGCTCACGCCTGTAATCCAGCACTTTGGGAGGCCGAGGCAGGTGGATCACTTGAGGTCAGGAGTTCAAGACCAGCCTCGCCAACCTGGAGAAAACTCATCTCTACTAAAAATACAAAAATTAGCCTGGTGTCATGGCACACGCCTGTAATCCCAGCTACTCAGGAGGCTGAGGCAGGAGAGTCGCTTGAACCCAGGAGATGGAGGTTGAAATCGCCCCACTGCACTCCAGCCTGGGCAACAGAGTGAGACTGTGTTTCCAAAAAAAAAAAAAAAAAAAAAAGGCAACAAAAGATTGGAGACTACTTAGAGGGGGCAAGAGTTGAAAAAGTAGCTATTGCGTTCTGTGCTCACTACATGATTGATGAGATCAATCGTACCCCAAACCTCAGCATCACGCAATATACCCAGGTAATAAACCTGAAAGTGTACCCGCTGAATCTAAAATAAAAGTTGAAATTATTTTTTATGTGAATTTTTAAAGAATCAGTTTAAATATTTTCTTCAGAATGTTTTGTTGTTTTTGCTTTTGTCTTTGGAGACAAGGTCCTGCTTTGTCACATAGGCTGTAGTGTAGTGGCATGATCACGGCTCATTGCAGCCTCAACCTGCTGGGCTCAAACAGTCCTCCCACCTCAGCCTCCCGATTATCTGTGACTACATGTGCGCACCACTATGCCCAACTAATTTTTTAATTTTTTTGTAGAGACAAAGTCTCACTGTGTTCCCCAGGCTGGCCTCAAACTCCTGAGCTGAAGTGATCCTCCTGCCTTGGCCTCCCAAAGTGCTAGAATTACAAGTGTGAGCTACCATGCTGGCCCAGAATGTTGTTATAACATCTTAATCTTCCTTCCCCCAAAATAAGACCAGTTCAAATTGTAACCATCCAATGGGTCCTCCTTGCCCACTGTCCAGATAGAGCCAATTTATCAAAACAGGGGAATTTCAATAGAGAAAGGGTTTAATATACGCAGAGCTGGCCAAACAGGAGACTGGAGTTTTATTACTGAAATCAGCCTCCCCCACATTTCTGAGGCTATGGTTTTGTTTTGTTTTGTTTTGTTTTGAGATGGAGTCTCAAAAATTGCACTCCAGTGCCCAGGCTGGAGTGCAGTGACGCGATCTCGGCTCACTACAACCTCTGCCTCCCATGTTCAAATGATTCTCCCACCTCAGCCTCCTGAGTAGCTGGAATTACAGGTGTGCATCACCACACCTGGCTAATATTTGTAGTTTTAGTAGAGATGGGATTTCACCATGTTGGCCCGTCTGGTCTCAAACTCCTGACCTCAGGTGATCCACCTGCCTTGGCCTCTCAAAGTGCTGGGATTACAGGTGTGAGCCACTGTACCTGGCTGAGGCTAGGGTTTTTTAAGGATAGTTTGGTGGGCAGGGGGCTAGGGAATGGGGGAATGTTGAGTAGTTGAGTCAGGGATGATGTTATCTATAGGAGAATCTGTGAGGTTAGGAATCTTGTGGCCTCTGGCTGAATAACTCCTGAGCCATAATTTTTAACCTTGTGGCCAATTTGTCAGTTTTACCGAAGTGGTCTGGTCCCCAATCCTTCAGAGGGTATTTTCCCAGCAGGAGCTGTTACCTTCTTTGTTTCAAAGTAAACTAAATTCCTACCAAAGTTAGTTTTGGCCTAAGCTCAGAAATGTACAAGGGCAGCTTGGAGGTTAGAAGCAAGATGGAGTTGGTTAGGTCAGATTTCTTTCATTGTCATAATATTCCTAGTCAGATTTTTCTCACTGTCATAATTTTGGCAAAGGCAGTTTCAAAATTATTGATTTTATTCTGTCAACAAACTTTAAAATGGTGGTAATTTTGGCTTTTTTTTTTTTTTGAAAGAGTCTTGCTCTGTTGCCCAGGCTGGAGTGCAGTGGTATGATCTCAGCTCACCGCAACCTCTACCTCCCTGGTTCAAGCAATTCCCCTGCCTCAGCCTCAGCCTCCCGACTAGCTGGGATTACAGGTGCACACCACCACGCCCAGCTAATTTTTTTGTATTTTTAGTAGAGACGGAGTTTCACCATGTTTGCCAGACTGGTCCCAAACTCCTGACCTCAGGCAATCTGCCTGCCTCGGCCTCCCAAAGTGCTGGGATTAGAGGCGTGAGCCACCGCGCCCGGCTGTAATTTTGGCCTTTTAAGGTAAATGTATATTGGAGAAATAGAGAAAACCCAATAAAAGTAGCACACATTTTTAGGCCTTAGCATCTGTGGTAGAATAAAGAATTTCTGTGATCTTTGGTCCAGATGTAGGCACAGAGCCTCTGAAAACCTTGGAATTTCCTGAAACATAGGATTGTCTTGTTATACCAGTGAGGTGACTCGTAGTGGGCCCCTGGATAGTTTCAGGTTGGGGACTGATCACAAGAAAGACAAACCACATTATTAGAAGGTTGAGATAGAGGCCGGGAGATTGAGTTCAGTCATTTAGCCAATCATTTAATCAATCATGACTATGTAATGAAAATTAAAACTCTGGACAACCTTAAGCTCAGTAGAGCTTCCTGGTTGGTGAACACAGGAGGGTGACACTCCCGGATTCCACAAGGAGAGGGCACAGGATCTCTACTTCCCCTCCCACACCTCACCCTGCCTTTGTGTATCCTTTATAATAAAACTGTAATAATAAGTATAGTGCTTCTCTGAATTCTATTAGTTGTTCTAGTAAATTATTGAATGTGGGAGGGCTGTGAGTACTCCCTGAACTTGCAGCTAGTCAGCCAGATATGCTGGTGGTCTTGGCCCCTCCCCCTGCCATCCCCACAAAGACTTATGACTGGTGTTGGAAGTGCGGCAGTCTTGTTGAGGACTTTGCTCTTAAACTGTGGGGTCTATGCTAACTCTATATGGATGGCATCAGAGTTTAATTGCAGTATACCCAACTTGAGGTAGTGTCAGAATAGCATCTTCTGAAAAGTCTGCAGAGCCTGGCCAGTTGGAAAGAATGCTTGTTTATTATATTGTTGCTTGCAGTTGGTGGGAATTCATCATTACTTCCCCTTGCATTACAGATGCCTTTTGCCAAAGATTTCCATCACATATATAGTGGTCTGTTTTTTGCTATTACCCTGGCAACAACTCCATAACTTGGAAACCATTTCTTTTCTCCAACGTTGGCCATATTTGGTAATGTAGAATGTTGAATTGTGAATCAGCTCTAAAAATCCTAATAAATAAATGAACCTTAAAAATTGATTACTTAATAAGTACAGTATTTACCTTATTTATATAAGAGCAAAGACTTATCATATGATGCCTTTCATTCTGGTAGGTGTCACCAAGAATTCAATATAAGACTCAGAAAAAGTCTTTGACTTAGAAGGTGTTGTAAACTAAGCACATTCTGATTTCATTATCATGGCCTTATGGAAGCCCTCATCACTTTTCATTTGGCTTATCGAAGATACCCCCTAACTCCTTTTCCCTCTCTATTCTGTCCATTCTAAATTTTAGAGTAAGACACTTTTTTTTTTTTTTTTGTCTGAGACAAGATCTTACTCTGTTACCCAGGCTGGAGTGCAGTGACATGATCGCAGCTCACTGCAGCCTCTACCTTCCAGGGCTCAAGCAGTCCTCCCACCTCAGCCTCCCAAATAGCTGGGACTACAGGTGTGCACCACCACCCTCAGCTAATTTTTTTTAGTTTTTGTAGAGATGGAGTCTCACTATTTTGCTTAGGCTGGTCTTAAACTCCTGAACTCCAGAAGTCCTCCCACAGTGTTAGGATTACAGGCCCAATTTTCTTTTACAAAATATGTTCCAAATATGCCAACTTTTTCTGTGCTAACAAGTGATTTTTAGTAGTATACTCCCTAGGAGATTTGGGATAAGGGGCACAAACACTCTTTTTAGGGCGAAGGTGATATTTTATCATTGAGTGCAAAGGTAGCTACACTTTAAAAGAAATTTGTGCCATGAAAAAAGCAATTTGAAGATGGACGTTTAGAAATGTTACCATCTATATGTGATTTTGGTTGAAAAATGTTATGCCTCCTCCAAAAGCTGGTAAGTCTATCATTTGAAAACATTGGAAATAGAATGTTTCTAATCTTCCAAAAGAAAGGTTCAATTTTTGATCTATTGTTTAAAAATATAAAACTATAATACCTCTTCATTAGGTTCCAAGAAAAATTGCTGACATTACAGAAGATAAAAATTTATCATCCCTTGGAGGGAATTGAAAAACAAGTATCATGATTTAATAAATACAGCCAACAATGCACTTCTTCCATTGGGAGCTACATGTCTTTGTGAGGTTTATTTTATTTTATTTAATTTTTAATTTTTTTTTTTTTTGAGACAGAGTCTCATTCTTTCAACTAGGCTACAGTGCAGTGACACAATCGTGGCTCACTGCAGCGTTGACCTCCTGGGCTCAAGTGATCTTCCACCTCAGCCTCCCAACTAAGTACGACCACAGATGCACACCACCACACCCAGCTAATAATTTTTTAAATTTTTGTAGAGACAGAGTCCCACTGTGTTGTTGCCCAGGCTGGTCTTGAACTCTTGGCCTCAAGTGATCCTCCTGCCTCATCCTCCCAAAGTACTGAGATTACAGGCAAGAACCACCACCCCTGGCCTATTTTTTATCTATAATAAAAGCAAGTCAAAATCTAAATTAAAAAACCAAACCACAGAAGGGTTTAGACCTAAGATTTTTAAAAATAAGAGCCATCTGATCAGGCACAGTGGCTCCCACCTATAATCCCAACACTTTGGGAGGCCAACGCGGGAGGATTGCTTGAGCCCAGGAGTTCAAGACTGCAATGAGCTGTGATTGAGCCACTGTACTCCAGCCTGGGTGGCAGAGCAAGACCCTGTCTCAGAAAAAAAATCCATAAAAATGAGTAAATGAGTACATAAATATGAGCTATCTTCAATCACATTGCATTCTAAATGAAAAGGTAAAAAATTTTGTACCATGAATATGTAAGGTATTTAATATATTTGTTTTACTTATTTATATTTATTTTTAAACAAATGTTACTGTGATAAAATTGATATACAGTATTCAAAGTATAAAATTAGATAAATTTCTCTTTTTTTGAGACGGAGTTTCACTCTTGTTGCCCAGGCTGAAGTGCAGTGGCGTGATCTCAGCTCATTGCAACCTCCACCTCCCGGGTTCAAATGATTTTCATTCATTTGAATGAAACCTCAACCTCAACCTCCTGAGAAGCTGGGATTACAGGCTCCTGCCACTACATCCTGCTAATTTTTGTGTGTGTGTGTGTTTTTTTTTTTTAGTAGAGACCAGGTTTCACCATGTTGGGCAGGCTAGTCTTGAACTCCTGACCTCAGGTGATCCATCCGCCTTGGCTTCCCAAAGTGCTGGGATTACAGGCGTGAGCCACCGCACCCAGCCAGCTTTCGACCTATGTATACACATCTGTGCAGCCATCATCACGATCAAAATTGTGAATACATCTGTCATCTCCTAAAGTTTCCCTAGGTCCTTTTGTAATTACTTGCAGGCAACCACTGATGTGCTTTTTGTCACTCATAGATTACTTTGGATTTTGTAGAATTTTATCTAAATGGAGTTATATAGTATGTACTGTGTTTTTTGTCTGGCGTCTTGTCCTTTGTATTTCCATATGAATTTAAAAATCAGATTATCAGACAGGCAGCTGGTATTTTTATTGGGATTGTGCTGAATCTGTAGATCAGTTAGGAGTGAATTGACTTCTTAACAATATCAAATCTTTTAACCCATGAACATGCTTTGTTTCTCCACCTATTTAGATCATCTTTAATTTCTCTCAACATGTTTTCTGAAGTTCTTATGCCTCTTTTGTCAAATTTATCACTAGGTGTTCCATATTTTTATGCAATTATAAGTGGTATTGTTATTTTTCATTTCTATTTACAGTATGTATAAATGTAGTTGATTTTGTATATTGATCTTTTATCCTGCAGCCTTGCTAACTCTCTTATTCCAGTAGCTTTATTGTAGATTCTGTTGTATTTTCTGGAGATACTCCTGTTGTCCATGAAGAAAGACAACTTGCCTATTCCACTGGGCTGGAACTCCCAGTATAATTTTGAATAGAAATGGTAATCGTAGATATTCTTGCCTTGTTCCTGATCTTAGAGCATTTTGTCTTTACTATTAACTGTGGTGTTAGCTCTAAGTTTGTCATAGATACCCTTTATCAACTGAAGAATGTGTCCTATTCCTAGTTTGCTAAAAGTTTTTATCAAAAATTATTATTGAACTTTTGTCAAATGCATTTTCTATGTCTAATGAGATGATTATATGTTTTTTTCTTGATTAGCCTACTAATGTAGTGACTTATATTGATTGATTTTCAGATTTTAAGCCAACTAGAATTCCTGAGATAAACGTTACTTGGTCATGATGTATTTGCTCCCACCTCCCATTATTTAGAGAATATTCGTTTATGCCGGGCACGGTGGCTCATGCCTGTAATCCCAGCACTTTGGGAGGCCGAGGCGGGCGGATCACGAGGTTAGGAGCTGATCAAGACCATCCTAGCTAACACAGTGAAACCCCGTCTCTACTAAAAATACAAAAAATTATCCAGGTGTGGTGGCGGGTGCCTGTAGTCCCAGCTACTCAGAGGCTGAGGCAGGAGAATGGTGTGAACCTGGGAGGCGGAGCTTGCAGTGAGCCGAGATTGCGCCATTGCACTCCAGCCTGGGCGACACAGAGAGACTCCGTCTCAAAAAAAAAAAAAAAAAAAAAGAATATTCTTTTGTATTAGTCTTTTTATATGTTGTTGTATTTGATTTGCTGAAATTTTAATATGTATGCATCTATATTCATAAGGAATATTAGTCTGTAGTTATCTTATAATATCTTTGTCTGGTTTTGGTGTCAGGGTAATGCTGACCTCATAGTTATGAATTGGGAAGTATTCCCTCCTCTTCAATTTTCTGGAAGTGTGTAGAATTGTTACTACTTCTGTCTTATATGTTTGGCAGAATTGTCCAGTGAAGCCTCTGAACCTAGAATTTGTGGGAAGGTTTTAAATTATAAACTTAATTTTGTTAATAGATATAGGATTAGTTAGGTTATCTGTTACTGAGTGAGCTTTGGTAGTGTATATCTTTCAAAGAATTTTCAGTCTCCTCTAAGTTGTCAAATTAATTAACATAAAGTTGTTTACAATAATTGACAAAGTTGTTCTGATAACTGTAGAATCCATAGAAATGTGACCTTTCTCATTCTTGATGTTGGTAATTTCTATTTTGTCTTTTTTTTTCCTGATTAGTCTATCATTTTAATTTTATTGATCTCAAAAACCTGTGTATGTTCTTTGTTGGGTTTTTTGGTTTGTTTTTTGAGACAGGGTCTGTCACCCAGGCTGGAGTAGGGTGGCACAAATATGACTCACTGAAGCTTCAACCTCCTGGGCTCAAGCAGTCTTCCCACTTCAGCCTCTCAAGTAGCCAGGACCACAGGCACACCGCCATACCCAGCTAATTTTTAAATTCTTTGTAGAGATGGGGTCTCATCGTGTTGCCCAGGCTGGTCTTGAACCTCTGGATTCGAGCAATCCTCTTGCCTTGGCTTCCCAAAGTGCTGGAATTACAAACGTTAGCCACTATGCCTGGCGTTGTGTATGGTTTTATACATTTTCTCTCTTGTTTTCCAGTGGTTTTTTTATTAATTGATTTCTACTTTGGTCTTTATGATTACCTTTCTTCTGGGTTTCATTTGCTCCTCTTTTTTAAATTTCTTAAGGTAGAAAGTGAGAGCATTTCTTGTTTTTTTTTTTTTGATTTTTTTTTTTTTTTTTTTTTTTTGGTTTGGTGTTTTTTGTTAGAGACCAAGTCTCACTATGTTGCCCCAACTGATCTTGAACTTTTGGGTTCAGGTGGTCCTCCCACCTTGGTCTCTCAAAGTGCTGGGAGTTAGTCTTTCCTTTCTAATATAGTGTAGTGATATAATTTCCTTTCTAATATAATGTAGTGATATAATTTTCCCCCTAAGAACTGCTTTAGTGGTATGACATGTGTTTTCATTTTTATTAAAAAGACATAGTCTTGCTCTGTTGCCCAGGCTGTAGTGCAGTAGCCTGATCATAGCTTACTGCAGCCTCGACTTCCTGGGCTTAAGCGATCCTCCTGCCTCATCCTCCTAAGTAGCTGGGACCACAGTTGCCTGCCACCACACCCAGCTAATTTATTTTATTTTTTGTAGAGACGTGGTCTGGCTATGTTGCCCAGGATGGTCTTGAATTCCTAGCCTCAAGGGATTCCCACACCTTGGCGTCCCAAAGTGCTAGGATTACAGGCATGAGCCAGCACACCCAGCCTCTAATTTCCCTTTTGATTTCTTCTTTGACCCACAAATTATTCAGAAGTATATTGTTTAGTTTATGAATATTTGGGGATTTTCCAGAGATGTTTCTGTTACTGATTTCTAATTCTATTTCATTGTAGTCAGAAAACATATTTTATATGACTTGAATCCTTTTAAAATTTATTGAGTTTTGTTTTATGACTCAGAGTGTGATCTTTCTTAGCAAATGTTCAGTGTTCACCTGAAAAGAATGTATATTAGTACTGTTTGGTAGTGGTCTGTAAGTGTCAATTATGTCAAGTTTGTTGGTAGTGTTGTTCAAGTGTTCTACATCCTCACTGATCTTCCCATTTATTTATTCAATCATTTATATCAGTATGAACTAATAGGTATTTATTATCTAGATCAGACTGTAATCCATTAATACTTTAGTTTTTTTGCTTAAGTTGTTCCGTTTTGGCCATCAAGGTCCTTTCAGTTGGCTCCTTTCCCCCCTTGACTTAGATCAATTTGGTGGTTTTTGTTTGGTTGGTTTTGGTTTTGGTTTGTTGTTGTTTTATCCCTTCCTTACTATCTGCGATTATAAGATATTCCAGGCTCATGTTGTATATTTCTGACCCCAGTCCTAGAATCAGCCGTTTCTCCAAGAGGTCTGGATTTTTAAATTGGAGAACAGTATTACAAATCAAGATCTGGGTTCTAGGAATGCTTGTTTCTACTGGGGTGTCCTTTTTCTAGTCCCTCTTAGCTGATTGACCAAAGACATATAGTATTAGTATGTATACTAACCTGTGAATATACACATATCTATAAATATTTTATATGTAATTGTCTGTATTTATATTAAACATGAATTCTTCTTGATGTCTCTGGCTCCAATTCAATATCACATGGATCATTCTAGCTTCTTCTTCCCTTTGCTGATCTGTAAATTTCCACTCCAACAATGAGAAACCTGGGTCCCATCATCCACCATCCATACACATAAACTACTCAGTTCCAGTGTACGTGTATAGCAGTATCAAAATTATTAACCCATACTCCTTGAGAAACAACTTTATCAAGTTGAGTTCAGTACTTACCTGTAGTTCCTTTGATCTTTAGTCTAACTGATTTCATTCATTTCCAAAGTTTCTTACGTCAGCACTTTTCCCTTCACCCTCTTCAGTGATGTTGTTTCATACATTTGTAATACAGTTAGATTCTCTTGTCATAGTCTGCATTCTTCTCTGGGATCCTCTGATCTCATAAGTTATTTTTTTTTAATTTGCCTTTAGAGGTGACAAACCAAGGCTTAAATTTTTTTTTCCCTTACATTACTCTCTAGGTTATAAAGTTCTGTATGTTTTGACAAATGCGTAATGTCACGTATCTGCCACTACAGTATCATACAGAGTAGATTTATTTCCCTAAAATAGTGCACAGTACTTCACCTATTTGTCCCTCATCATTTCCCGCTGGCACCATTGATTGTTTTACTGTCTCCATAGTTATACCTACCTTTTCCAAAATGTCACAAGGTCAGAATCTTATGACATATAGCCTTTCAAATTAGTTTCTTTCACTTAGCAATATGCCTTCAAGGTTCCTGTCTTTTCGTAGGTGGATAGCTTGTTTATTTTTATCACTAAATAATATTCCATTGTATGGATGTGCCACAGTATGTTTATCCATCATCTATTGAAGGACATCTTGGTTGCTTCCAGTTTTGGGCGATCACGAATAAACTTGCTATACACATTCATGTTCAGGTTTTTGTGTAGACAAGTTTTCAACCCAAGTAAGTAATTATTTAGAGCAATTGCTGGATTGTGTGGGAAGACTGTGTTTAGCTTTTTAGAAACTGCCAAACTGTCTTCCAAAGTGGCTGTACCATTTTGCATTCCTACTAACAATAACAAGAGTTCCTGTTGTTCCCCATCCTTTTTAGCCATTCTAATAGGTATGTATGAGTATCCAATTGTAGTTTTAATTTGCAATGTCCTATGCCAAATGATGTTGAGAATCTTTTTATATACTTGTTTGCTATCTGTATATCTTTGGTGAGGTGGCTGTTCAGATCTTTTGCTCATTTTTAAAATTGGGTTGTTTGTTTTCTTGTTGAGATTTAAGAGTTCTTTACACATTTGTCTTTTATCAAGTATGTGGGTTTTTGGTTTTGTTTTGTTTTGGGGGTTGGGGGTTGGGACTTGACTTTTCTTGTTTGTTTTTGAGACAAGGTCTTGCTCTGTCACCCAGGCTGGAGTTCAGTGGTGCAGTCACAGCCCACTACAGCCCAAGCTCAAATGATCCTCCCACCTCAGCCTCCTAAGTAGCTGAGACCAGGTGCGTTAGGCTGCCACACACAACTAATTTTTAAATTTTTTGTAGAGACAAGATCTCCCTGTATTGTCCAGACTGATCTTGAACTCCTGGGCTCAAGCAGTCCTCCATCTTCAGCCTCCCAAAGTGCTGGGATTACAGGCATGAGCCACCATGCCCAGCCAAGTATGTGTTTTTTACAGATATTTCCTCCTAGTCTATGGTCTGTCTTTTTCATTCTCTTAACAGTATCTTTTGCAGAAGTTCTTAATTTTAATGCAGTCTAGCTTATTAATGTTTTTTTTCATGGTTTTGCTTTTGGTTTCATATCCTAAAAATTCATCGCCAAACCCAAGGTCACCTAGATTTTGTCCTATGTTATCATATACAAGTTTTATCGTTTTTTGTTTTTACATTTAGGTAAATCTTACATTCGGATCATTTTCATGACCCATTTTGAGTTAATTTTTGTAAAAGGTTGTATCTAGATTCATTTTTTTGCATATGAACATTCAGTTGTTCCAGCACCATTCGTCAATGAGAATATATATTTTCTTCATTGAATTGCCAGTGCTCCTTTGTCATATATCAGTTGACTATATTTGTATGGGTCTGTTTGTGGAGTCTCTGCTTTGTTCTGCTGATTTATGTATCTGTTCTTCCACCATGTTGTCTTGATCACTATAGCTTTATAGTGAGTCTTGAGGTCAGGTAATATCAGTCCTCTAACCTTATTCTTCTTCAGTATTGTATTGGTTGTTTAGGTTATTTTGCCTTTCCATGTAAACTTTAGAATCAATTTGTCAATATTCACAAACTAACTTGCTTGGATTTTGATTGGGATTGCATTTAATCCGTAGATCAAATTGCTTATAATTAACATTTTAGTCATATTGAGTCTTCCATTATGATCATGCAAGTCTCATTTATTTAGATCTTTGATTTCTTTCATCAGAGTTTCGTAATTTACAGTGTATAGATTTTCAGTGTATTTGTTAAATTTATATGTAGGCATTTCAGTTTTTCTGTTAATGGTATTGTGTTTTTAATTTCAAATTCTGATTATTCATTTCTGGTATAAAGGGACACAATTGACTTTTTAATATTAGCATTGTATCCTGCAACCTTGTTGTAATTGCTTATTAGTTACAGGATTGTTGTTTGTTGATTCTTTAGAATATTCTACATAGACAATCATGTCATCTCTAAACATAAACACCTTTATTTCCTCCTTCCCAATGTATTTACCTTTTATTTCCTTTTCTTGCCTTTTTGGTTTTGTTTTGCTTTTTAATTTATGTATTTTTTTTAGAAATGGGGTCTCACTATGTTGCCCAGGCTGGTCTTGAACTCCTGGGCTCAAGTAATCCCCCCAACTCAGCCTCCGAAAGTGCCAGGATTACAAGTATGAGCCACTGCACCCAGTCGTCTTTTCTTGCCTTATTGCACTGGCTAAGACTTCCAGTATGATACTGAATAGGAGTAGTGAGAGGCCATCCTTGCCTTGTTCCTGTTCTTGGAGAAAAAATACCCGGATTCTCCCCATGAAGTATTATGTTAACAACAAGTATGTCTTCTGTAGATGTTCTTGGTCAAGTGAGGAAGTTCTCCTGTATTCCTAGTTTGCTGAGTTTTTATCAAAAAAGTTTTAAATGGGTTTTAGATTTAGTCAAGTGCTTTTTCTGTATCAGTTGATGTGACCATATGATTTTTCTTCTTTAGTATGTTGATGTGGTAGGTAATTGATTTTCAAATGTTGAGCCATCCTTGCATACTTGGAGTAAATTCTATTTGGTGATGGTATATAACTTTTTTATACATTGTTGGATTTGATATTTCTAATATTGAGAATTTTTGCATCTGTTTTCATAAGAGGTATTGGTCTGTAGTGTTTTTTTCTTACAATATCTTTATTTGGTTTGGGTAATAGAGTAATACTGGCCCCATGGAATGAGTTAGGAATCATGTTACAATCATCTTTGCTTGGAAGAGATTGTAGAGAATTGGTATCATTTCTTCTATAAATGTTTGGTAGAATTAATCAGTGAAACATCTGAAACAGGTGCTTTTTTTGGAGATGATTAGCTATTGACTCAGTTTCTTTAATGGAGTCTTTCTTTTTTTAAAATTCAATCTAACAAGCTCTACCTTTTAATTGGGGCATTTAATGTGGTTGTTGATGTGGTTTGTTTATGTCTACCACCTCCCTATTTGTTTCCTAATTATTCCACCTGTTTTTTTCTCCTTCCGTGATCTTTTGCTGCTTTATTTGGGGTTAAGTGTGTATTTTTATTCCATTTATGTCCTTTATTGGCTTATAGGCTATAACCCTTTATTGTTTAGTGTTTGCCTTAGCATTTATAGTGTATATCTTTAACATATCCCTCATATCAATCTTCAAATAATATTATACCACTTCACATACAGGATAAGAATCTTCCATTTCTCCCCTTCCAGCCTTTATATAGTTGTTTTCAAACTTTTGATCCTCATGTGTTGTAAATCCCACACTATTATTTAATAGTAATAATATTATTATTAATTAAACATTTACTGCTTTTTAAAGAGATTTAAATAATAAGAAAATGTCATGCATCTTTTTCCATGTAGTTAAGTTTCCCATTGCTCTTCATTCTTTTGTGCAGATCCATATTTCCACCTGGCATCCTTTGCTTCTGCCTAAAGGACATTTTTAAAACATTTTTTTGTAGTGTGGTTTGCTGTTGAGAATTTTATTTAGTTTTTTTGTTTGAAAAAGTATTTATTTTTTACCTCTGTCTTTTAAAAATATTTTTGCTGAGGCCGGGAGCAGTGGCTTTTGCCTATAATCCCAGCACTTTGGGAGGCTGAGGCAGTAGGATTACTTGAGGTCAGGAGTTCGAGACCAGCCTGGCCAACATGGTAAAATACCGTCTCCATTAAAAATAGAAAAATTAGCCAGGCATGGTGGCGCGTGCCTGTAATCCCAGTTACTTGGGAGGCTAAGGCAGGAGAATCTTTTGAACCCAGGAGGCAGAGCTTGCAGTGAGCCAAGGTTGCGCCATTGCACTCCTGCCTGAGCAACAAAATGAGACTCCATCTCAAAAAAAAATTTTTTTTTGCTGGTACAATGACTTCTGACACTAACTATCCCAAATTAGGCCAAACTTTACAAGGGCCCAGGCTGCTACAAAACTGCCCTCACTTTATACACCAAGCAGAAGTTTGGGGGTTCCCAGGTCACCCATACTTCTGACAAAATGGATACAAATTTGAGGTTTCTTACTACCTCCTGAGTTCAGTAATTCACTAGAATGATTCACAGAGCTCAGAAAACCCCTATACTTAGGTTTACAATTTTATTGTGGCAAAAAACATAAAAATCAGGTCCGGCCAAAGAAAACATGTGTAGGACAAGGTCTGGGAGGGTCCCAACACAAAGCTTCCAGTGCCTTCTCCCTGTGAAGTCAGGATGCATCACCCTCCTAGCACATGGATGTATAACAATACATACAAATTATTATTAAGCAGGGAAGCTCACAGGAGCTTTGTGTCCAGAGTGAGGTTTTATTTTATAAGCATGATTGATTGACTCATTGGCCATATGACTGAACTTAATCTCTAGCCCCTCTCCATTTCTGGGAAGTCAGGTTTATGTCAGACTGATAGCAAGTGGCTCAAAGCCCTAACCCTCTTTTTTTTTTTTTTTTTTTTTTTTTGAGAAGGAGTTTCACTCTGCTGCCCAGCCAGGCTGGAGTGCAGTGGCATGATCTCGGCTCACTGCAACCTCCGCCTCCTAGGTTCTAAGCAATTCTCCTGGCTCAGCCTCCCAAGTAGCTGGGATTACAGGCATGTGCCAGCACAGCCGGTTAATTTTTGTATTTTTAGTAGAGACGGGATTTTGCCACGTTGGCCAGGCTGGCCTTGAACCCCTAACCTCAGGCGATCTGCCTGCCTCGGCCTCCCAAAGTGCTAGGTGAGTGCTAGCACTCCCTGGTGCTAGGTGAGCCTCAAAGCCCCAACCCTCCAATTACATGGTTGGTCTTTCAGGTGTGGCCAGTCCCCATCCTGAGTTATATCATTAGCGTAAAGTATCAGGCCCTGTCATAAATAACAAAAGCACTCCTATCACTTGGGAAATTCCAAGGATTTACAGGCTCCTTCCCAGGAACTGGGTACTAAGGCCAGTCAAATTCTTTACTACACAACAGCTGGGTCTAGAATTCTAGGTTGGCAGGAGAATAGCCATATCTTCCATAATTTTTTTTTTTTTTTTGAGACAGAGTCTCGCTTTGTCACCCAGGCTGGAGTACAGTGGCACTGTCTCGGCTCACTGCAAGCTCCACCTCCTGGGTTCACGCCATTCTCCTGCCTCAGCCTTCCGAATATCTGGGACTACAGGCGCCCGCCACCACGCCCGGCTAATTTTTTTGTATTTTTTAGTAGAGACAGGGTTTCATTGTGTTAACCAGGATGGTCTCGATCTCCTGGCCTCGTGATCCGCCCACCTCAGCCTCCCAAAGTGCTGGGATTACGGGCGTGAGCCACCACGCCTGGCCCATATCTTCCATAATTTAAATATATTGCTCTGCTGTCTTCTTGCATTGTTTCCAACGAGAAATCTGCTATAATCCTTGTCTTTGTTCCTCTGTATAACATATCTTCTTCTCACTTTACTGAGCTCCACCAAGCTCTAGCCACTCTAAAGATTTTTCTCTGTATCTTGAGTTTTGAGCGATTTGACTGGGTATTCTTTGATGTACTTCTCTTCTTCTTTCTCATGTTTGGGATTCTTAGAGATTCTTAGATTTGTGATGTTACAAGAAAAACTTGGGACTGCAACGTCCCATCTAAACTGGGAAGGAGCCATGAGACCAAAGAATGACTCAGACAAATTTAACTTGATGAGTAGACGAGTTTATTCAACTTACATACAAGGCACTCCTGGACGGCAGCAGGACAGCTCTAGAGATCCACGCTGCCTCCTGTCTCTAAACCGCATTTTTTGTTTGTTTGTTTTTAGACATGGGGTGTTTTGCCATGTTGCTTAGGCTGGTCTCAGACTCCTGGACTCAAGTGATCGCCCTCCTCAGCCTCCCAAACTGGCATGACAGGCGTGAGCCACTGTACCCGGCTCCCTCTAAACTGCTTTTAAGCTAATTTTCTGGATCTTTGCCTACTGTGTTTGAACAATGATACTGTTTTTCTTGAGAGATTCTCAGATACTCTCTGGGATGTTTGGTTGGTTCTCAGGGATACCTGCTCCTCAGCTGGGTACCATTGCCATGGGCCTAGCCTTCAGGTTTCAGGCAGTGAACATATGTACCTTTAAGTAATCTGGTAAAGGACCCATCACACAACATGTGGGTATATGGTTTTTATCAAATTTGCAAAATGGTCCGCCATTATTTCTTCCTATCTTTTTTCTGTATCCCCTGCTCTCCCCTCCCCCTGCTTGAAGTTGTCCTACAGCTCAGTGGTGCTGTTTATTTAGTTTTTTTGCTGCTTTTTTTTCCCCTCTCGGTGTTAGCTATTTCTGACATACGTGTGTGTTATGTAACCCTAGCTGTACTATGCGCACCTGGAAGATTCTTTGTACCTCTGTAACCAGACCGATCCTTGGAAGGCTGGTCATTGTAGGATGCTCATGTCCAGGCATCTCCTTGAGGCTTTAGCTGGGTAGTTTTGGGAACCAACAAAGGGCATCTGACTTTGCATGTCAAGAATCAAACTGTGGGTATTTGTTAATCTTTGACATGAGATGACACTATCAAAAAAGAACAGAATTTTTTTTAAAAAAATAAGCTTTGATACTTCTGAGGAGGCCTGATCCTTATTAAGTCCTGGCTAAGGAAACAGCTACTCAGGATCACTTCCCTTATATCCTGGTGCCCACTAGCCAGAAGATGGGGAGAGGTCATAACAGATATCCCTGACACAGAGCATGGAAAACCCAGAGTTCATGCAATGTTGAGAGCAGATCCACTGGATGAAGTTGTATATTTTATGCACCTGGGGGTGAGAAGAACTGAAAATGCCTCTTATTATTTCAACCAAAAACAATGCCATTATATAATTGATACAGAGGTGCTGCTGCATAGGGTAGTAGGAGCACTGATTGAGAGGCTGGTTTCTACTAGATCAGTATAAAAAGACGTTAAGTGCTATATAAGCCCTATTGGATAGAGATAGTGGGAAACAAAGGGGTAGGTTTTTGGCAACTTGGAACATCCATACACTGTGCAGGAAACATACTATCCAAGAGAAAGCCAGCGCATGTTGAAGTACCAGGCCCCTGGGAGGTAAGCACAGAAGTGAGGAGGTGGACAGGGGTTAGAGGGGAGCCAGCACAGCATGGAGTATGGTGCTTACTTCAACATGGCCTTTTGAGTAGAGTCATATTAACAACTGCCAACAAGGGGCTCCTACGTACCAGTCCCCAGCTGGAAGATAGCCCAGAGAAGTATGGCAGGCTTAGGTTTAAGAACCATTGGGATTAATGCAAAGGTAAACTTACAGTTTTGTTCAAAGCTTCTGAGCTTTAAGTTAGCAAGTTACAGGGAACACGTGAATACTAATTAAGAAATGGCGGTATGCTTTGTAGACTTGGGGGCCTTGATTACGAACTATCTTAAGGTTTACTACTATCCTGAGTCCCTACCTGAGAACTTCTCTTTCCCCTTAAAACACACATGTTCCTGGTTTAGCCCTTGGATACAGTGCGCAGAGATATATATGCAAGAAACTTTTGGATTAGGGGTCCTGTTGCCCTTTGAGAAAGTGTGAACATTTGGCTATACCCTCTGACTGAATGAGCTCTTTAAGCCTTCTGAATGTTGGTTCACTTGACAAAGACAGATTGAAGTCTCAGGTGTGTTCCTAGGAGGGCAGGAAATAGTCAAGTTGCTGCTAGATCTAGAATGGTTATCTGAGAGACATGGGTTGTTACAGCAAACTTGGGAACAAGGGAGAAAACCTCTGGGCTATGAAACTTTTACAGAAAGAGACTCATTAAACTGATAGTGGCCCTGAGAAAATAACCATATAATTGCCAGTGCTAGGGGAATATTTCTTGCCCGAAAGTCATGTCCACCCTCCTCACAAGCAAACCTCACAGAGTTTTGTTTCTTTTCCCATCCACAGGTAACAGTCCTTTGGACAGCCCCCGGAATTTCTCTCCAAATGCACCTGCTCACTTTTCTTTTGTTCCTGCCCGTAGGTAAGTTGATAGGAAACCTCCTCTGGGACCAGCACATGTGGCACTTGCATGAGGGTTAATTGAATGTCAGATTCCTCCTTTAAGTGTCACTACTCTTTCAAGTGTATTACCTGAAGCTCCCATCCATCAAAACTCTGTCTTTGCTTTCCTCTCCTAGGTTGTAATGATCGTGTTCTGGTTTTGCTTTATAGGTGCCCCATGTATTTGTGTTTGAATGTTTAAACAGGAGAGTAGATATTAAGTAAAAGTAGATTTATTTGTATAATTCACTTTTTTTTTTAAGTCCCTGATGTCCTACGGGTATGTTCCAAAGCATTATACTCTCAATTTAGAACTGTCCTACAGTGATGAATGAGAAAATAAGCTCTCCTCCAGGAGGACCCAAAGTTATACTCTTTGTCCTCTCTAACTCAGCTAGTTTAAAGCAGCTGAAAGGGCTCTTTGTGCCTCTCTCCTTGACTTTGAGCTGGAGTTCGTTTGGGGGATAAAGACACTACAGGGACTTCACTTTTCCTTCTATGAATTTAGAAAGATTTGGTGCATACAGAGCCATGCTTACAGTCCTCCTCCCATGTTTCTTCCCTCTTGAGAGTGATAACAAACCTGTCTCTGGCCCATGGCAGCAACGCTGACAGCTCTGCCTGTGGCTGGAATATCATCAGGCCTTTAGAGAAAGCTGAATGAGATTAATCCATCCAAATCACATACCTAGGCTCTATACACACATGATTTCTTGTCAGAACTTTTCTAAGATTCTTTGCCAGAGTTTATATTTATTTTATTTTATTTTTTAATTTTTAAAATTGTTCTTGGTTAGAGTTAGTCCCTGGTATAAGACCTCCAGGAAAATTATGGTTCCAGATTTGTAACCTTTAATGGATGGAGAATGTAATATAGCTGGAGACCAGGACAGTTTTAATACTTAGACTACTTTTTTTTTTTTTTTGAGACGGAGTCTCACTCTGTCACCCAGGCTGGAGTGCTGTGGCATGATCTCGGCTCACTGCAAACTCCGCCTCCCGGGTTCACGCCATTCTCCTGCCTCAGCCTCCCGAGTAGCTGGGACTACAGGCGCCCGCCATCATTCCGAGCTAATTTCTTTTTTTGTATTTTTGATAGAGACGGGGTTCCACCGTGTTAGCCAGGATGGTCTTGATCTCCTGACCTCGTGATCCACCCGCCTCGGCCTCCCAAAGTGCTGGGATTACAGGCATGAGCCACCGTGCCCGGCCTACTTAGACTACTTTTTAAAAAAAGACATATTAGGAAAAAGAGAGGCTCCTGGAAATGGTGTTAACTCACTATTCCAATGATAACCCAAAATAAATCCATCCTCTTTCCAGGATTCTTTGCAGCTGAAAAGAACATGAACAGGTTGGGATAAGTTTGATAGCTGACGTGGGTTTCCTCCTTCAACCCACTTACCTTATTCAAAACAAATTTTATCCAGGTTTGTTCCACGGGCTCATCTCTCCTACCCTATGGAACTTCCAATTTGTTAAGCAAGGATCCAGATAAGATCACTTACAGTATAAGAATATGCTGGTTTGATGCATTTGTTTGTCCAACCCAGCTGGAAAGACTTATCCCAGACTTCTTGCCTGGACTATATATAAACTGTACTCTCAGAGTAGGTACGAGCTGGGACACCAAGACCTGTGGCTAGATCCCCATAGGTGGCATTGAGTTATTTCTCATTCATTTGATAAATATTTGCTGAGCACCACCAACTAGAGTCAGGCGCACTCGGCTGGGTGCTTAGTTATGTAGTGGTAACAAAATAGACATAGTCCCTACTTCCCTGAAACTCAGGATGTAGGAGAGTCTGTGTACTGGTTGTTTCCTCTGTAAGGAATGCTGTTCCCTCAGATCTTCATTTAGCTAACTCATTGTTATGATTCATATCTCATCTTAAATGTCACCTCCTCAGAGAGGCCTTCCCTAAACATTCAATCTAAAGGGGCCTTCTTGTCTTTCTCCATCAAATCATCCAATTTTATTTTCAAACTAGTACTTTTCAATTCCTGATATTATCTTATTTGCATATTTTCTGTCTCAATTCAACCACAGTCAAGTCACCTTTAATAGAGATACCTTCATTTGTTGAAAGCTGTGTCCTGGCGGGAAGACAAATGAGTAGTGGGAGAGAAAGACAAACAAATATATGTTTATAAATTATGACAAGCACCATAGAGGGAAAGAGCATGATGCTGCATGAAAGAACAGGAAGAGGGCCGGGCACAGTGGCTCACGCCTGTAATCCCAGCACTTTGGGAGGCCGAAGCAGGCATATCACTTGAAGTCGGGAGATTGAGACCAGCCTGGCCAACATGGTGAAACACCATCTCTACTAAAAATACAAAAATTAGCCGGGCATGGTGGTGCAGGTCTGTAATCCTAGCTGCTCGGGAGGCTGAGGCAGGAGAATCACTTGAATCCGGGAGGCAGAGGTTGCAGTGAGCCGAGATCGTGCCACTGCACTCCAGCCTGGGCGACAGAGCAAGACTCCATCTGAAACAAAACAAAACAAAAAAAGAACAGGAAGAGACTAAAGCCAGAGAACCTCCACTGGGTGGCTATGTAAAGCCTCTCTGAAGGATGAGAAGCAGCTGCCATGTTAGGTGCGAGGACCCAGGTGTGTGTAGACCATTCCAGGCAGAGGGAACAGCCTGTTCCATTGATACCATGGGTCTGTTTCATTGCCTGGGTTTAGGAGTAGGACCAACTAGGAGGCTTCAGGGCCTGGTTTTTTACCACTGAGACCCAAACAGGTCTATGCTAAGTGGCATGACATTTGAGTCATGTGCATGGAACATGGATCTCTGGGCTGTCCTCTTATACAACATAGTAAGAAAAGCTGCTGGTTATTGGTGGGATGGGGAGAAGTGTTTCAACCCTGCCAAACAGAGTATCAGGAATCGTTTGTTTCTGTGTTACTGGCTGGCGCTTTGGAGGATCACATTGGTTTGCAATGTCAAACAAAAGACAGATTGAATTGAACACTAAGGATAGACCCATTGGTCCTACAATTTCACTTCAAACTATCACACATTCCTAAACAGAAGGAATGTGCCAAGCTAGACCAAATACCAAGATTCAAAAAGATCACTCTCTCTGGTTCCTTTGGTTCTCACTATAATGTGTATTTTTTTACTACAGCCATAGCCACAGAGCTGACAGGTAATAGCGGGTATAATGGGGAGAGGGGCTGGGAAACTGCTATGCATGGCCAGACAATATGGTTTGTGATGTTGTGGTTGGTGAAAACTGGTTGTGATGATTCTTCTCTGACTGTGGGTATGAACATTGGGCCTTTCATGTCTTGCAAAGAGGCCCAAAGGGATCTCCCTCTACCTGCTGGAACCAAGGCTCAGAGCTCATATGCTTGGAGGCAGGAATTGCTGAATAGTTCCAAACTTCTGAGCTTAGGGACAAGTCACCCTTATTCCCACAGCTTTGCACAGTCAGATGACTGCAGTGACCAGATAGAGGAAATAGAGGCATCATGTGGTGGCATTTCTTCCTGACTCTGGTGGCCCCTGCTGTTCATTATACAGAGAAATTGCTGCCATGCAGCTAGTTTTCATTTCTATCTAAGGGGAGGAAAACTCACATGTACAAAAGTGTATTTGACAAGGGTTTGGGAAATCCATCCCTGAGTTATACTTGTCTCATCTTTGCTGAGCTATTTCCTGGAACCGACTTGTTTTATTGTGTGGTGCTCCCAGGACCCAGCAAAGAGGTCAAAGAGAACATCATGTCTGAGCACCTTCCTGGACATGTCTGAACCTCAGAGACTAGGTTCCAGCAGAGTTATAGCCTATATGTGCTGCTGCCAGGGTGGCATGAAGTTTGAGTCATGTGCATGTGGCATGGAACCTGCGGCTCACCCCTTACAGAACAGAGTAGAAAAGCTGCTAGGTATTGGTGAGGGTGGGGAGGAGTGCTTCGAAGGGAGAAGCCCCAGCAAGATTTATTCCTTTTTGCTTCTTCTTCTCCCTGTCCCTGCCATAACCATGAAGCCTTGAACAAACCACCCAAATCTCAGGATCTTAGTGTTTTCTCTGTAAATTGTAATATGAACTTATAAAGATCCTCCATTGCTGATAGTCTCAGGTTCTGTGAGTAACAGCAAAAAAACTTTGTATCTAACTTCAACCAGAGCAGGCTGTACCCTTAAGCTCTACAAAAAAGAATACACCACATCCCACAGTCCAGGCAAAGAATCACACGTTCATATTATAAAAGTTTCAAACTAGATCCCTGCTTGATCTTTCCCCTCTACAGTAAAGCAAATAACTGTGGCGGGGTGGGGGGGCATGTTTTGTTTGTTTGTTTTGATGAGAGCTGTGGGGAGCATCCTTTTGAGAGCAGCAGGAAGCCTCCCCCAAAGTCTCATATACAGCTAAGGGTATGTCACCTCCCTTCTCTTTCATAAAGTTACTGTCACTCTTCGACAGACATTCCCAAATATTGGTTTTATGAGTCCTAACGGCTCCTAGGCAGCCTATAACTGTTTCCCATTGATTAGCTCAGTTCAGACCCAGATGGTGGCCCACTTCTTCCTGTTGTCAGCCAGTGGCCTGGGGAAGACCAAAGAGCCCTTAACACGGAGCCTTCACAAATGGAAATAGCTGCATTTCAGTGGCAGTTCTATCTTGTAATGTTGCCTATAGCTGGAATCCTCTGTCATTGTTTCTATGAAAGTAAGTTGAGAGTATGAAAATATATATTCCAAAACCACAGTATTATATGACAGATGTTCTTCTGTTATACAAAGTTATGGACTATTTTATAGTCAGAGATGTCTGTCTTTGCAGGGAAAACAACAATAAGCCCTCTGTAGGGGAGAGATATAAAAGCATGTACTGGACTGAGCAGTAATGTCTTAAGGAGGAGCCCTACAGTGAATCAACTGCCCCCAAAATGCTGATGAACAGACAGGCAGGTTGTGGGTCAGGGTGTAGTCCTGCAGAAACTGCCTAATACTTTTTCTTGCATACAGGACTGATGGGCGGCGCTGGTCTTTGGCCTCTTTGCCCTCTTCAGGATATGGAACTAACACTCCTAGCTCCACTGTCTCAGTAAGTAGCCAAATCTGTGGCCATACTTCCTTCACCCTAAGGAAGTACTTCCCTTTGGGTTATCTAGTGTCACAAAATGGTTCTCAACTTTTTCTCCAAAGTCAAACTCAGAGAGGTTGCTGAGAGATGATGTTGGGTGCAACAGAGGGCTGGGGTCCCTTCCCAACCATAGCCAGCTCCATAAGTGCCTTCGGAAAGGATGACCAGTGCCCTCTCTGGGAATCAGTTACTTCTAGTGGAGGCAGAGGAGAGCTTGAGGATGAACTTTTGCTTTGACAGTGAGACCAGATATGGGGACTCCTAAGCACACTTCCCCTACTCCTCCATCCTTATTTCTAGAACTGGAACCAAGAGCAGATCACCTTTCTCATATCTGAAGCACTTGGTAGACTCTCCCCTCTTTTTCACCTTTTTCTTTCAAAAAAGAAGGGAAGAGTGATTGTTATTTGATATCCAAGTTTGATGCATATGAAGCAAAAAGCTGGACCTGTCTCTAAAACGTTTATTTCTTTTGGAGAATGTTTTAGCCTAAAACACAAGAGCTGTACTAATTGCTGCTATGCACAATTGACCCTTAAGCCCTCATTGAGCAACTTTTTTTTTTTTGAAAGAGTGTCACTGTCACCCAGGCTGGAGTGCAGTGGCGCAATCACGGCTCGCTGCAGCTTCAACCTCCCCAGGCTCAGATGATCCTCCCACCTCATTCTCCTAAGTAGACTGGGACTGCAGGGGCATGCCACCACCCTGTAGCAGGCTAATTTTTTGTAGAGAGGGGGTTTCATCATGTTTCCCAGGCTGGTCCCAAATTTCTGGGCTCAAGCGATCCATCTGCCTTGGCTTCCCAAAGTGCTAGGATTACAGGCGTGAACTGCCACACCCAGCCGAGCAACTTTTTATTAAAACCACAGTGACAAGGTTGGCCAACTTTTTCTGTAAAGAGCCCAACGTGGAGTAAATGTTTTAGTCTTTGAAGGCCATACAGAAGCAGGCCGTAGACCTGCTGACCCCATCCCCATTACTTGCAGCATTCTTCAGGTCTTCCCTGCTCAGTGTGCCTTTATTCCTGAATCTCGAGCAGGGAAAAGGAGTACATTTCCTCTCCCAACCTAGATACTACTATCACATTAATCCAAAGATGTCATTGGTCTTTGGCAACTGTTAAGTTTAAGATCTTTCTCTAATAAACATTCCCCTTCCCGGGCCAGGCGCAGTGGCTCACACCTGTAATCCTGGCACTTTGGGAGGCTGAGGCAGGCTGATCGCAAGGTCAGGAGATCGAGACCATCGTGGCTAACATGGTGAAACCCCGTCTCCACTAAAAATACAAAAAATTAGCTGGGCGTGGTGGTGGGCGCCTGTAGTCCCAGCGTCTCAGGAGGCTGAGGCAGGAGAATCGCTTGAACCCAGGAGGCGGAGATTGCCATGAGCCGAGATCACACCACTGCACTCCAGCCTGGGTGACAGAGCAAGACTATCTCAAAAAAAAAAAAAAAAAAAAAATCCCCTTTCCCATAACTCTTCACTCAAACAAGTGATTTTTTTAGAACCAAGGTAAGTCTCATCTGCAAATTTTAAGACTTAACTCATTGCTCCAGCTTATTAGGATTCTTTAAAATACCAGTTTTGCCCACTGTAGTTTACATTGCCTCACTAGTTTCATGTTAGCTATAGCTGGTAAGAATATTTTTTGCAACTTTGATCCAAATCATTTATTAAAATGGGGCCAAGAAATAACCCTGTGGAGACATCTCACTCGCTGTTTATAACTTCATGTATTATAGCATTCTATGAGAGAAAATGTGCACTGTTAGCAAAAAAGAAATGCTGATTTCTCACTTGTTTATTGAGCCTGTGACAACAGAGTTATCTCAGTGTGGTGCTTTAGCTTTGATTCTTAAATGGATTTAGATATTTAAACCTTGGCTCTGGGAGCAGTAGCTCAGGCCTATAATCTCAGCACTTTGAGAGGTCAAAGCAGGAGTTCCAAAAGACCAGCCTGGACAACACAGCAAGACCCTGTCACTTAAAAAAAAAATAGCTGGACATGGTGGCATGCACCTGCAGTTTCAGCTGCTTGGGAGGCTGAGGCATGAGGATCACTTGAGCCCAGAAGTTTGAGGCAGCAGTGAGCTATGATAACGCCACTGCACTCCAGCCAGGACAACAGAACAGAATCCTGTCTCTAAAAAAACAAACAGGCTGGGCGCGGTGGCTCACGCCTGTAATCCCAGCACTTTGGGAGGCCAAGGCGGGCAGATCACCTGAGGTCGGGAGTTCCAGACCAGCCTGACCAACGTGGAAAAACCCCATCTTTATTAAAAATACAAAATTACCCGGGCATGGTGGCACATGCCTGTAATCTCAACTACTCAGGAGGCTGAGGCAGGAGAGTCACTTGAACCTGGGAGGCGGAGGTTGCAGTGAGCCAAGATCGTGCCATTGCACTCCAGCCTGGGCAACAAGAGCGAAACTCTGTCTCAAAAAAAAAAAAAAAACCCCAGATCATTGATTAGTTTGGTAAATAGAACTTGGGCTGGCCCTGACTTGCCTGTTCTCTTTGTCAGTCTTGTCAGGTAATGGAGGGGGGAGTTCCCTGATCCTGGGACTGAATGGGTGCTTCAGCATTAGCTGCGCCTGTAGAAGTCCTGTGATAGCCGAGCACCCTCCCTCAGATGGCCTGTTGAGATTGGCAGTGCTGTTGTGAGGAATCCTCAGTCACTGAGCCATGTTTAGAATTCATGAGTGTTTTCAGGTCAAGCCTAATCTTCAGGTCCAGATGTAAAAGTAATTTTCTTCCCTGCTGGATTTTCTTGCCTGCTGGACATCAGGCCATAGTTGGTCTGCAGGCTGTAGTTTGCTAACCCCTGGCACAATACATTGGCCAGCTTGAGTGAGTCTGGGCACAGCCTTCACAGCCCCAGCAAAGGCACTTCTCCTCCAGATAGCAGCCAAAAGGAAACATTGCTGAGCTGCCCCCAGGGTGGCTCTCTCAAGATTGTGGAAGGGCGAACTTAAGAGGATGTTATTTGCAGCTGGGTACACCTAAAACATGTCCCAAGTGAGGAAGCATGATTTATTAACTACTTTTGCAGCTCTAAAATTCCATGAAGGTCTGGGCCCAACTCCCTGCACAACCCTTGAAGGACTCCAGTATATTGAATTCCTCAGGGCTGAGGGCTCTGAAGGGCTGGAGAAAAACAGGATCAAGCACAGGCAAGGCTAAGGGAGTAGGGGAAAGAAGACCTGCTTTGGGTTTATAGTGACTGGGAAGTTCCCTGACCATTTTCAGTCCTTCCCCATTCTTGGACTGCTCTGGGACATGTCTTTAATGCCACTTCTTAATGTTTTCCCCTCTAGTCATCATGCTCCTCACAGGAAAAGCTGCATCAGTTGCCTTTCCAGCCTACAGCTGATGAGCTGCACTTTTTGACGAAGCATTTCAGCACAGAGAGCGTACCAGATGAGGAAGGACGGCAGTCCCCAGCCATGCGGCCTCGCTCCCGGAGCCTCAGGTGAGGGTGCTCTCTGCCCACTGTTCCAGTGCATGTGGATTTCAGCTTGTTTGCATAACACAGAGGTGGGCACACTATGCTATAAGGGGCCAAGATAGTAAATATTTTTAGGCTTTATAGGCCATATATCTCTGTCACATTCCTCAACTCTGCTGTTGTAGTATGAAAGTATCCACAAATAATATATAAACTTTATTTACAAAAGAAAAAAAAAAAGTAGCAGGCCATAGTTAGTCTGCAGGCTGTAATTTGCTAACCCCTGGCATAATACATTGGCCAGCTTGAGTGAGTCAAGTTCAACAAAGCCCAAGCTATTTTTGGCTTCAGGTACAGCTCAACCCATCACCCCAGGAGGTATTTAACAATACTGTCAAGTGGTCCCTCTCTTTTTCTGTTTAAAGGTAGTTAGCAGCAGAAATATACTTTAGATTACATCTGGTAAAAGGAGAACAATGGTATCATCAATTCTGATGGTTATCTGGCTCCAGAACCCATTGGCCCTGGGTGTATGATCTAGGCCAGCTAAAAAAGTTGCTGCTGAAGACAGGTTGCTGGCGTGGGGAAGAAGCCCATTTCAAAAGCAGAATTAAATGTCCATTTGAATATGTCTTTATTCTGTGAATCACCTGGGCACATCTTCATCAAACCAAACTAACCTTAACAGCTGCTGATTAATTTTCGATTCTCTTTGGCATTAGCTGGTAAATCAGTGCCAGAATTTTAGGTTAAGGAAGGTGATGGAGATTAAAATGAACATGACTTTAATGACTGAGCTCAGTTTTGCAGGGTCCCTAAGAAGTAATTAATTGGCTAAGATGTGCAGGGTAGGATCCCAGAGGAGCAGCAGTTCCTCCCAGAAAGAATCCCCTCAGGTAATGCTGGCACTGCACCAGGAGTGACAGGGAGTAAGCTGGGCCAGACCACAATGACTGGTTCAGGTGTAGAGATTGATGAAGATGGTATCTGAGGCTCCAGTGCCTTTCTCTGTGTCACAGAGGAACACCTGAGTCTTGGTGTTCTCAACAACCCATACACAGAGAAGGGTACCTTTTAGGCCAGTTGAGATTGAGAGGCCCACAGTGATGCTCAGAGAAATCCATGCTATATTACTCTTAAATCCTTGGTAATGTGCAGCAGTACAGCAGGCAAAACATGGCACATTCCAGGGAAGAAAGACAGAGTGGGACAGTTGTGAACCTAGAACATCTGGGATCATGTGTCAGGGGCAGTAAACTGGGCAAGACCCACATACCCATTCAACTGTGTGGCTCCAACTTTGAAATTTTTTTAAGGAGATACAATGACACATGAGCCAGAGGGGGAGATTTAGGTTATCAGGGAAGACAATAAATTAAGGCAGAAAACATATCGGCTGCCTTCAGTAAATCACCCAGATGTATAACTCACAACAGTCTGGACTGGCCTCATTCATCCCCAAGTTAGGTCCATGGCTGCAGCTAGTTTGGAAAAAAAATGTACGTGTGCACCGTCTTCCTTTGGTTGCTTTGGTAGTTTTTTTATTTGTTTTGTTCCCAAGAATATGCTGGGGCACACCCAACCCTATTGACCAAAACTAAGAAGACACAGAGAATCCTACTCCAGGGGAGTTTATCCTGGGAAAGCCACCAGTGAGCTTAGGAGTAGGTCCCTTTCTAGGTCTTTCTAGCCTAGAAGAGGTCTTTGTGAAAACCAAGCCTAGCTCCATATAGTACCATTTTGAACTGAACAAGGTACACTGGAAACTCCAGGAATAAGAAAGGCTCTAGAACTCAGTACCCGTTAAAGTGGGAGTATGTAGCTGCTGAAGATGGTGGGAGGGGCAGGGTCTCTGGGGATGGCCATCTTTCTTCTTGATAGTTCCATAGCACTAAAGTAACACAATCATTTCTTTCTTTTTTAGTCCCGGACGATCCCCAGTATCCTTTGACAGTGAAATAATAATGATGAATCATGTTTACAAAGAAAGATTCCCAAAGGTAAGGATCCATTTAAAAGGAGAGTGGCAATACCCCTCCGGGTGGCTGCCTACAGCCAGCCCCAATGGGAGACTCTGGAGTGAAGGAATGAAGTGCTACCTCCAGAGATAACCAAGAAGAAGAACAGAAAGTCAGCCAGGAGGCTGTGGACACAGCAACAAGGGCTTCCAGACTGCTTGAGAAGGAGACAGCAGGAAGCTATGAGTTTGGGAACTGTATTTGCAGAGCCTTTGTTTCTTCACTACCCAGAAGTAGAGTTATCCAGAGGGGAATGTCAGAAAGGTAGCCCACCATATATTAAAGAGGAAAGAAAGAACTGGAGGCTTTACTTCTCACTGTGCACATGAGGATCCATGAGTCAGGGTTCACTCATTACAGGATTTGCCCTCTGGTGGCATATTCATTTGATAGAGATTTCTTAAGCAGCACCTCATTATCAGGTGTCAGAGAGTACACAGACAGAAGTAGGCTGCACTGGCAAGAAGGCCAGAGAGAGCAGTAGGAGTGGGAGACAGATCTCAGAGTTGCTTGCTAACATCTGAATTTTCATTTTCAAGCAGGAAAATGCTGAGGAAGGAAAGTAGGTTGTTATCCTGAGATAGCTGAGAAGTAGCATTCGTAACTCTGCTGCTTGGCTGTGAACCTCCTTGTATATGGAACTAGGATCTTGTTTCCCATTTGCATGTCTCTTTTTTTGTTAAGAGATGGAGTCTTGCTCTGTCACCCAGGCTGGAGTGCAATGGCACCATCTCGGCTCACTGCACCCTCTGCCTCCGGGGTTCAGACAATTCTCCTGCCTCAGCCTCCCGAGATGCTGGGACTACAGGCATGCGCCACCACGCCCGGCTAATTTTTGTATTTTTAGTAGAGATGGGTTTTGCCATGTTGGCCAGGCTGGTCTCGAAATCCTGACCTCAGGTGATCCACCTGCCTCAGCCTCCCAAAGTGCTGGGATTACAGGCATGAGCCAGCCACTGTACCTGGCCCCATTTGCATGTCCTTTTCAACACCACATGCCTGTACGCTCTGACCTGGCCTCCTGAAGATAGGCCCTGTTCCTGACTGAGAGGGGATACTGGACTGCAGAACCTGTGCCCTGTGGTCTGTGCTTTCCAGCTTTGGAGTGGGCACTAGACAATAAGCATGAAGAAGGAGGCAGAACAAACACCTAGCAATTCATTTTGACGTATATGGTGTTTATGAAGTTTGCAAGTATATAATGTTGAGAAATGTATCTCATGCTTGTCCTCCTCCTCCTTGTATGTTAGGTGTTTTTGTAGCATTGGATGTTTGTGTTTATAGGCATGTTTCCAGTTCCTTCCTATAGGATGAACTATTGTTGGAGAAAATGTGTTAAGATTCCTTCACTTCCTTCTTTCTCCTCTACTCCCACTTTTTCACCCTCTTCCTCTTTCATTCTCCATGTAGACACACCACATATATATGTATGTAGGTATACATTTGCCTAAACACACACTGGAAATCAGAAATCACCACCTGGTAGCAAAAGAAATAAGGCAGAGTCTTAGATAGACAGCTTAGATAGGCAGCTAAGAACTCGTTCACAGATGTGTATCTGTCATTTTGACATGACTGTGTAGTTAGGTCCCTAAGAGGTTTGGAGCCAGACCTCCATTCTCCTCTGCTGGGGATCCAGGCCAGGCTCATGTTCCTATCCACAGTCCCCCCATTCCAACTCACCATCTGTGACCAGACAGGTTCACTAAGCAGCTCTCCAAGCACCTGCCTAACTCCCTTGGGTCCTAAGGTTAAGTAAGAGGATCCTGAGTTAAATGAAACTCTCTCTCACTTAACAAACTTCCCGGTTTAGAAACCAGCAGTGCCCATACACTAAGTTTACACAGTTGGGAGGTCCAGTGGAAGAACAGAGGAATGGAAACCCATTTGCCTGGGGAAATGAAAGACTTCCCAGAGGAGACACAATATTTGAACTGAGATTAGAAGGAGAATTAGGAGTTTGTCAGGCAGGCTTGGCAGGGTGAAAAAGCCACACACTGGGAAGAGCATAAACAGACAGGCATGAAACAGCATAGTAAAGGAGGAAGATAGCAAACACCTGTGTGTCCGTACAGCAAAAGAGCTTGCCCTGGAGGGAGTTGGGGGAGATGGGCAAGACCAGGTGAAAGAGGGCCTTGAATATAAAGCTAAGGCATCTTGAGTTGACTTTACTTGAAGGTGATCTATTAATGTCTTCAGTTATCAGGTTTCCCAAATGGCAGTTTAAGGAAACCAGGATCAGAGGGAGCCCATTATTTTGCTATTTCCAGGTCCTTCAGGCTTAGCTCCAACTGAGCTGGAACTAGAAGGGAAGTGTTTCTTTCTTGCTTTTCTTCCCAGGCCACCGCACAAATGGAAGAGCGACTAGCAGAGTTTATTTCCTCCAACACTCCAGACAGCGTGCTGCCCTTGGCAGATGGAGCCCTGAGCTTTATTCATCATCAGGTGATTGAGATGGCCCGAGACTGCCTGGATAAATCTCGGAGTGGCCTCATTACATCACAATACTTCTACGAACTTCAAGATAATTTGGAGAAACTTTTACAAGATGTGAGTGTCCTTGTGCTGGGGTTCTGAAAAAACCTCCACCTGGTATTGGATTTGTAATCCCAAGCTAAGATTAGGGCATTAGTGGTATTCTCAGTCTTCACAGACTGCTTGTTACCCACCCTCAAAGGTAGAGCTGAGGGACTTAGATTCCTCCTCAGTCCCCTGCAATACTGAGAGAAGCCTGCTTGGTATCAAAGGAAGTCACTTCTGTTCCTTTTCTAAATCCAAAATTATATTACTTTGTTGTATTACGCGAAGCTCCACCATGGGTAGTAGTCATAAGTATTTGACTAGGAGGTTTGCTACCCAAAGCCAAAAAGTGGCTCCAGTGGCTGTGACGGGCTTTCTTCTACTGGAAATACTGGTTTAAGCAGAGCCTTCAGACTATTTATCCTCAGCCAAGGGAAAACAGGTATGAGGCTTGCACAATGGGTTTAGCCATTTGCATGGTGAGAAGTTCTCTAGTTGGGACTTACATGTTTTGAGACCTGGTCCTCGCTGGTGTGAAAAAATCTCTGGGAGGCTAAAGGTAAAGTAATCCAGAGATGGCCAAGACCAAAGCACATGAGAGTTCTTAAGCACTGCTTCCTGCACGAGTGCTTCCTTTGCTATCAGCCTCTTGATTAAGGTGGCCAGATGCCATCTCACTCAGACCACAGCGGCTCCATGTTATCCATTAATACAGTTTGGGAGAGAGAGGATATGCCTGTCCCCGCAGAGCTCATCACATCACTAGAGAATTTCCCAGTCCAGAACCCCTTATTACCTCCAGACCAAGACCTCTCTCTCTGGAGTAGTACCAACTGAGCTGAGGGCCCAGGGCTAATGATCAAAAGGACATCAGTGTGTTCGTCTAGAAATAAGAAGGAGCAGGGAGTTTAAACAAATTTTCAGAGAACAGTTGAATCTAGAGAAAGGGTGACTAAAGATGATCATGATTATTGTTGTCAAGTAGTAGAAAGTTTCTCACATATAAAAGAGAGCAGATTGTTCTTAATACCCCTGAAAGACATAATTAGTCCAGTGGGCAGAAGTTACAGTGAGAAAGGTTTTGATTTAATAGGTGAAAAAGTAGTTCCTTCTACAAAAATACCTTTTTGTGATTTCAAAAGAAATACTTAAAATAAAACATTGTAGAAGTATAACTTTAGAAAGCCAGAGTCCCATGAAAATCACTGGTAGCTGTTTGTTTCTGTTCAAGAAAAGGTTTCTGACAGTTTTCCAGCAATGGAAAGGGGTACCCCAGAGACATATAGGAATCAGGGATTACTGCATCAGGTAAAGGATTAATGTAGAGTAACTTCCAAGTTTCCTGGTATGTTTAAGATTTATCTTCTAAAATGCTAAAGTCAGAGCCTTGCCCAAAACCTTTAGGCATTTTCCCAGATTGACTGCTTGTGTGGTTAGGTTGTTTGATACAATAGGAAGAGCACTGAATTTGGAGCCAGTTTGTTCATCTGTTCCCTAATTTGTGAAGCCCTTGGAATGCAGAAAAGAATTCAGTGCAGGCTCTATCTTAGGGAATTTGCCATCAGTGAGGTTACAGACCCATCAACATGTACTTAATAAAAATAAGTTATTACTATACTGAATACTTTATATGAATTCTCTCACTTCCACTGACTGCAATACAATGTGATTGACGAGCACTAGAGATAAGTAGGTTCTGAGCACAGAGGAGGATATGCTGACTCTTTGTGGAAAGTTCAGGGAAGGCTAGATCTTAACAGGTAGGAGTTCACTGAAGCTAGAAAACAGCATAAACAACCTTTTGCTTGGGCACAGTGGCTCATGCCTGTAATCCCAGCACTTTGGGAGGCCAGGATGGAAGGATCACTTGAGCCCAGGAGCTTGAGACCAGCCTGAGCAACAAAGTGAGACCCCATCTCTACACTAGCCAGGCATTTCACCATGTTGGCCAGGCTGGTCTCAAACTCCTGACCTCAAGTGATCGCCCTGCCTCGGCCTCTCAAAGTGCTGGGATTACAGGTGTGAGCTGCTACAAATGACCAGCTGGCAGATGAATTTGAAGAGTTGGACTGGGGGCCAGATGCTGAACGGCCTTGTGAGGAGCTTAGATTGTATCGTGAAGGCAGTGGGTATCATCCAATGTGACAAATTGAAAAATGACCTGATCAGATTTTAGAATAATAAAAGTCAGTAACATTTATGGAGCATTTAATACATGCTAGACACTGCATTACCTCATTTAATTTATCTGGTTAAATCTTCACAACCGTGTAAGAAAGGTACTTAATATTATTTCCTAAATTTACAGATAAGGAAACTAAGTTAGCTCAAGATAACTGATTTTTTTAAGTAGCAAAACCAGGACCCAACCCAGATTTGGCTTATTCCAGAGCCTAAGATCATACATTTTCAAACAGTCAACAAACATTGACTGACATCTGCTGTATAGGAGGCATTCTGCTAGGCTTAGCATTTGAGGAAAGAAACAGGGCCAGGTGCGGTGGCTCACTCCTGTAATCCCAGCACTTTGGGAGGCTGAGGCAGGCAGATCACCTGAGGTCGGGAGTTCCAGACCAGCCTGATCAACATGGAGAAAACCCATCTCTACTAAAAATACAAAATTAGCTGAGCATGGTGACGCACGCCTGTAATCCCAGCCGCTCGGGAGGCTGAGGCAGGAGAATCGCTTGAACTCAGTAGGTGGAGGTTGCGGTGAGCCAAGATCATGCCATTGTACTCCAGCCTGGGCAATAAAAGTGAAACTCTGTCTCAAAAAAAAAAAAAAGAAAAGAAAAAGACACAGAGCCTCTTTACTCACTAGGCCCAGCAGTGTAGCTGTAGAGACAGACAGCTCATTATGAAACAGCATGACAGTACCATGTGGTATGCATGAACAGCCAAGAGAACATGTTAAAGACAGCAATTCTTTTTCTTCTCGTGTGTGTGTATATGTGTGTTGGGAACAGGAGACAGGTTTTAAAAGAATAAATGGGATTTCACCAACTGCTCAACCTTTCTCTTCATTTCATAACCAATACTTTAAAAGAAGAAAAGTCCTCATTTACTGTGTTTTTTTTCCGAAGAAAAATAATTTTAAAATAATTTGTAAGCAAAAATAATCCTAATTAGGCATTCATGGGAAGATATTTAGGAAAATGTGGTACAATTTGAAAATAATAGCCATTAGAATCTAAGATATTATTGGTAATTATATCTTCGTTTTCATTGATTTTTAATACTATTTAATTTGATTATGTATTTTTCTTTTTTTTATTATTATTATACTTTAAGTTTTAGGGTACATGTGCACAATGTGCAGGTTAGTTACATATGTATACATGTGCCATGCTGGTGTGCTGCACCAATTAACTCATCATTTAGCATTAGGTATATCTCCTAATGCTATCCCTCCCCCCTCCCCCCACCCCACAACAGTCCCCAGAGTGTGATGTTCCCCTTCCTGTGTCCATGTGTCCTCATTGTTCAATTCCCACCTATGAGTGAGAATATGCGGTGTTTGGTTTTTTGTTCTTGCGATAGTTTACTGGGAATGATGATTTCCAATTTCATCCATGTCCCTACAAAGGACATGAACTCATCATTTTTTGTGGCTGCATAGTATTCCATGGTGTATATGTGCCACATTTTCTTAATCCAGTCTATCATTGTTGGACATTTGGGTTGGTTAAGGGATCAATTCAACAAGAAGAGCTAACTATCCTAAATATATATGCACCCAATACAGGAGCACCCAGTTTCATAAAGCAAGTCCTGAGTGACCTACAAAGAGACTTAGACTCCCACACAATAATAATGGGAGACTTTAACACCCCACTGTCAACATTAGACAGATCAGCGTGACAGAAAGTTAGCAAGGATACCCAGGAATTGAACTCAGCTCTCCACCAAGCGGACCTAATAGACATCTACAGAACCCTCCACCCCAAATCAACAGAATATACATTTTTTTCAGCACCGCATCACACCTATTCCAAAATTGACCACATAGTTGGAAGTAAAGCTCTCCTCAGCAAATGTAAAAGAACAGAAATTATAACAAACTGTCTCTCAGACCACAGTGCAATCAAACTAGAACTCAGGATTAAGAAACTCACTCAAAACCACTCAACTACATGGAAACTGAACAACCTGCTCCTGAATGACTACTGGGTACATAACGAAATGAAGGCAGAAATAAAGATGTTCTTTGAAACCAACGAGAACAAAGACACAACATACCAGAATCTCTGGGACGCATTCAAAGCAGTGTGTAGAGGGAAATTTATAGCACTAAATGCCCACAAGAGAAAGCAGGAAAGATCCAAAATTGACACCCTAACATCACAATTAAAAGAACTAGAAAAGCAAGAGCAACACATTCAAAAGCTAGCAGAAGGCAAGAAATAACTAAAATCAGAGCAGAACTGACGGAAATAGAGACACAAAAAACCCTTCAAAAAATTAATGAATCCAGGAGCTGGTTTTTTGAAAGGATCAACAAAATTGATAGACCGCTACCAAGACTAATAAAGAAGAAAAGAGAGAAGAATCAAATAGGCACAATAAAAAGTGATAAAGGGGATATCACCACCAATCCCACAGAAATACAAACTACCATCAGAGAATACTACAAACATCTCTACGCAAATAAACTAGAAAATCTAGAAGAAATGGATAAATTCCTCGACACATACACCCTCCCAAGACTAAACCAGGAAGAAGTTGAATCTCTGAATAGACCAATAACAGGCTCTGAAATTGTGGCAATAATCAATAGCTTACCAACCAAAAAGAGTCCAGGACCAGATGGATTCACAGCTGAATTCTACCAGAGGTACAAGGAGGAATTGGTACCATTCCTTCTGAAACTATTCCAATCAATAGAAAAAGAGGGAATCCTCCCTAACTCATTTTATGATGCCAGCATCATCCTGATACCAAAGCCGGGCAGAGACACAACTAAAAAAGAGAATTTTAGACCAATATCCTTGATGAACATTGATGCAAAAATCCTCAATAAAATACTGGCAAACCGAATCCAGTAGTACATCAAAAAGCTTATCCACCATGATCAAGTGGGCTTCATCCCTGGGATGCAAGGCTGGTTCAATATACATAAATCAATAAATGTAATCCAGCATATAAACAGAACCAAAGACAAAAACCACATGATTATCTCAATAGATGCAGAAAAGGCCTTTGACAAAATTCAACAACCCTTCATGCTAAAAACTCTCAGTAAATTAGGTATTGATGGGATGTATCTCAAAATAATAAGAGCTATCTATGACAAACCCACAGCCAATATCATACTGAATTGAATGGGCAAAAACTGGAAGCATTCCCTTTGAAAACTGCCACAAGACAGGGATGCCCTCTCTGACCACTCCTATTCAACATAGTTTTGGAAGTTCTGGCCAGGGCAATGAGGCAGGAGAAGGAAATAAAGGGTATTCAATTAGGAAAAGAGGAAGTCAAATTGTCCCTGTTTCCAGATGACATGATTGTATATCTAGAAAACCCCATTGTCTCAGCCCAAAATCTCCTTAAGCTGATAAGCAACTTCAGCAAAGTCTCAGGATACAAAATCAATGTACAAAAATCACAAGCATTCTTATACACCAATAACAGACAAACAGCCAAATCATGAGTGAACTCCCATTCACAATTGCTTCAAAGAGAATAAAATACCTAGGAATCCAACTTACAAGGGACGTGAAGGACCTCTTCAAGGAGAACTACAAACCACTGCTCAGTGAAATAGGATACAAACAAATGGAAGAGCATTCCATGCTCATGGGTAGGAAGAATCAATATCGTGAAAATGGCCATACTGCCCAAGGTAATTTTTATAGATTCAACACCATCCCCATCAAGCTACCAATGACTTTCTTCACAGAATTAGAAAAAACTACTTTAAAGTTCATATGGAACCAAAAAAGAGCCCGCATCGCCAAGTCAATCCTAAGCCAAAAGAACAAAGCTGGAGGCATCATGCTACCTGACTTCAAACTATACTACAAGGCTACAGTAACCAAAACAGCATGGTACTGGTACCAAAACAGAGATATAGATCAATGGAACAGAACAGAGCCCTCAGAAATAACGCTGCATATCTACAACTATCTGATCTTTGACAAACCTGAGAAAAATAAGCAATGGGGAAAGGATTCCCTATTTAATAAATGGTGCTGAGAAAACTGGCTAGCCATATGTAGAAAGCTGAAATTGGATCCCTTCCGTACACCTTATATAAAAATTAATTCAAGATGGATTAAAGACTTAAACGTTAGACCTAAAACCATAAAAACCCTAGAAGAAAACCTAGGCATTACCATTCAGGACATAGGCTTGGGCAAGGACTTCATGTCTAAAGCACCAAAAGCAATGGCAACAAAAGCCAAAATTGACAAATGGGATCTAATTAAACGAAAGAGCTGCTGCACAGCAAAAGAAACTACCATCAGAGGGAACAGGCAACCTACAAAATGGGAGAAAATTTTCGCAACCTACTCATCTGACAAAGGGCTAATATCCAGAATCTACAATGAACTCAAATTTACAAGAAAAAAACAACCCCATCAAAAAGTGGGCGAAGGACATGAGCAGACACTTCTCAAAAGAAGACATTTATGCAGCCAAAAAACACATGAAAAAATGCTCACCATCACTGGCCATCAGAGAAATGCAAATCAAAACCACAATGAGATACCATCTCACACCAGTTAGAATGGCAATCATTAAAAAGTCAGGAAACAACAGGTGCTGGAGAGGATGTGGAGAAATAGGAACACTTTTATACTGTTGGTGGGACTGTAAACTAGTTCAACCATTGTGGAAGTCAGTGGGGCGATTCCTCAGGGATCTAGAACTAGAAATACCATTTGACCCAGCCATCCCATTACTGGGTATATACCCAAAGGACTATAAATCATGCTGCTATAAAGACACATGCACACGTATGTTTATTGCGGCACTATTCACAATAGCATTTACTGTTTTTCTTTCCTTGTATCCTATTTACTACTCAATCTTCTGCCTTCCAGTTTCCCTTCCCACCAGTCTACCAAAACTGTTCAGGCAAAATTCACCAAGGAACTCACTGGCCAATTGCCAAATCCTGTGGCCACTTTCAGTTCCCATCTTCTGCCACCTCTCGGTGGAGCACAGTGAATACTTCCTAAACTTCCTTCCCCAGTTGTCAATTCACTGTTCTCACCACTCTTGCTGCCTCTTCACAAGTTCCTTTGCTGCCCACCTCTTCCTACTGGTGTGTCACAGGGCACCATCCGGCATGCCTGGTCTCCCCTTTCTCTTTCCTCCACTCTCTCTCTGATGTCTTGCCACCTGCTCCCATGTCTTCAGTTGTCATCTCTACGCTGAGGACTCCCACATGTGGCTGCCACTCTTACTGTTCTCCTGAGCTTCAGATCAGTGCACCCAGCTGCCTGCTGGACTCCTCCACTTTGACTTCCCTATATTGGTTCTTATTCTTTGGTTGCACGTAATAGAAACTGATTCAGAATAGTTTAAACAGTAAAGGGAAACATTATAAGAGTAAAAGGAGTAGGTCTTAGAGAATTGAAGCGAGGGATATAACCAGGCCTTAAGAAGGAACCAGAACTAGAAACCAGAAGCTCCAGGAAGCTCAGGAAGTCTTCATTCTTCCTTTTTCTGTATGCATCTTTTCCTCTATTTCCATGGTAGGTATGCATCTCTTTTCACAGTTCTTAAACGGTTCTGCCACACTGACGTTAACAGTTGTCTTTCTATCCTTTTTTAAATTCCTAGGAAAGTGATCCTCTCTGGTCAGCTATTAGAGGTGGGAGGGAAGGTACAGACACACAGTACAAATGTGGCTCCTAGAAACCAGAGCAGTTCTCAGGAAAAAAGAGAAAGGCCCATCGGCCAAGCAGATACCCAAGAGACTCTCATATAGGTGCCTGAAACTGCACGCCCAGAACTGAGCTTATCTTTTCTGCCTAGCTGTTCTTTCTCTAAAACCAAATGCAGTACATTCTTTACCTATCACCTAAATGGCTTCTTATAGTTACTATTTCACTTATTCATTGTAATTTTCCTAAAATTGAAGTTGTAGTTGCCTTCTGTCGTGCTTCTTTCACCCCTTATCTGCTTCTGTAGTAACCCACGTCTATCCCCTTGTCTGCATTCTTCTGCCTTGACCTATGCCTTTTTCATCTGAATTATTAGAGTTGCCTGCTAATGGGTTTTCCTGCATTTAGCCTTGCCCTCTTTAGTGTACTCTCTACACTGCAGCCAGAGTGATCCTTCTGAAGTACTTTCTGGTCATATGACTCCTCAGCTTTGAGGTCTTTCTACTCCTTACAGTCTAGGGTGGAAAGTGAACATCAGTGAAGGCACCATTGAGAGCTGCCCCTTGAGCTAGGGTCTGGAGGGTAAGTGAGGCTTGTTGGATGGAGGAGCAGGTACAGCTGTATGTCTGTGTGGCATTTCTTGGTGTCATGTAGTGTTCTAAAGCAGAAATGGTTCCCTATGAGCAACTCGCTCCCTCTCACAGCCAGCCAGCCTTCTCTGAGTTCCTTGCTTTGCGGAGCTCTCTATGCTACCGAATTGTTTCTCCCTGGAGTCAGCTCTGCCCTGTCTGGTCCTGCTTAGCCCAGCCACACTGGGCCAATAGATTAAGCAACGCTTCTTTTCTCTATAGGCTCATGAGCGCTCAGAGAGCTCAGAAGTGGCTTTTGTGATGCAGCTGGTGAAAAAGCTGATGATTATCATTGCCCGCCCAGCACGTCTCCTGGAATGCCTGGTGAGTGGACTCTAGGAAAGTCAGGTGGGCAGATTTAGAGGAGGACTATAGAGGAAGTATCCTGATGACAGCAAAACTGTGGTGGTAACCACTGCCATTTCTGTTGCTTAGGTCCTTATTTAAATATGATTTGCCACCATTGGGGGACTAAACAGGTTTTTGTGAGGACAAATGTATGGTCCTGAGGGGATGCGGCAGGGAGAATTATTAGTCTAGGCCACCCCCACATGAGCAGGGCTCACATCAGTGGGGGTCTTGGGGGTGAGAAGCGTCAGGAGCATAGCCCAGTTTAGTTTGTACAAGTTGAGTCCTTCATTTTATCTTCAGCAATACTTGACTGAGTACCTACTTCCTGCTAGACACTGGAGATACAGACATGAATAAAGCACAGTCTCTGATCTTGGGATGTTTCCTCTACAGTGGAGTTGGGAAGCATGAGGCATGAGGACATGTAAATAGTAATTACAATACTGCAAGAAGTGTTGCAGTTGAGGTCAGTACACAGCGTAACGGGAACCTGGAAAAGGAAGTGCTTTAGTCTTCCCTGGAAGGAACATTCAGTGAATGCTCCCTGGGGGACGTGAGGCTTATTCAGCAAACTGAAGGATGAGTCTAAGTTTCCCAGATCGGGAGCATGGGAAGGAGCATTCAGTGGGGCACAGGGTGGGTTTGAAGAAGTGCTGAGGGGTAAGCCTGGAAGGTAGGCTGTGACAGGGTCATGGAGGGTGTCGGGTTCTCGGCTCTGGAGTTTTTCATTACCCTTACGGCCACTTGGAGACACCAGAAAGTTTAGGTAAGAATGTGACATGGCCGCATTTACTTTTTTCTTAAAAAATATTATTAAGGTATAATTTTCATACAATAAAATATATCCCTTTGATGGTACAGTTCATTGAGATTTAACAAATACACACTTGTAGAATCGTGGCCACAGCTGACATAGAGAATATTTCTGTCATATAAGTTCCCTTGTGCCCCTTTGAAGTCAGTCCTCTCTTCCTCCTGCTCCCAGACAATAACTTAACTGCTTTGTTTCACTAGGGATGGGTTTGCCTTTTGTACAGTTTCCTAGAAATGAAACCATGTTTCTGTGTGGTTTCTGTAGTATGTTCTGAATTCTTTCACTCAGCATGTTTGTAGAAATTCATACATGTTGTTGCATGTATCAGTAATTGGTTCCTATTTATTTCTGTGTAAATATTACATCAGATTTAGTCCTAAGAAAGATTACTTTGGCTGCAACATGGATAGTGAATTGGAAGAGAGGGCAGGATGAGCCAGGGACATCAGGGGAGAGGTACTCAAAGCAAATTCATGTGAGATGGGGTGGCCAGAACTCAGACAGTGAATGGTAGGATAATAGAGAGAAAGAGGTGGATTAGAGGGGTATTTATGAGAGAGACATTCTGACCAAATAGGAGCTAAGGAAGGATAAGAAGTTAAAAGGACTTCCAGGTCTGGCGTAGGTTATATCCAGATAGGTACAGTTCTCCAAAACAGTGAGGCCACAGGGAATGAGAACAGAGTTCAGGGCAGAGGCTATGCTGTGATAGAGCAGAGAGCCTCTCCCTCAGGAACATGAAGTCCTTGGCTAAGCAGGGGCTTGGAGTCAGACCTGGGCTGAATGCTGGTTTTCTGTTCCTTCCTACTACTGTGATTATGGACAAATCAGTGCATCCCTGAAAGCCTTGATTTCCTCAGTGAGGTCAAAGAGTTGCTAGAGGGTTTAACCCAGTGTGTGGCACTTAGTAGGCACTCAGTTATTATGTGCAGACAAGGATTGTGCTTTTCAATGGATTTCCAGCCTCTAGCACATAGGAGGTGCCCAGTAAATATTTGAAGGTATACATGCACCAGTAGGGCTTTGCCAAAGCTCTTGTGAGCCATAATTGAGTGTGTGCCAGGACAGCTGTGGACTGGGCATCTGAATACACCAGACAGTGCCACCTGGCTGATGGAAAGCATGGGACCAGATCAATAGGCTGAGCTCTCTTTAGAGTAAAACCTCTAGTTCTTACTGCCAGGAAGACAGCATATGCTTAGCATGTCCAATCTGGAGGTGACCTGTAAGACATCTTTGTCCCCATTCCTGTGATCCCTGAATCATGTTGTTTCTGAATATTCAGGGGTGGGAGTGTCCTATCACAGAGAAAGTCTTGTTCATCTCAGTCTACTATATGCTGTAAAACCAAAGATGCCAGCAGCTTTCGCTTATATCTGTCACCACTGACTATCTCTCTCCCTTGGTACAGGAGTTTGACCCTGAAGAGTTCTACCACCTTTTAGAAGCAGCTGAGGGCCACGCCAAAGAGGGACAAGGGATTAAATGTGACATTCCCCGCTACATCGTTAGCCAGCTGGGCCTCACCCGGGATCCCCTAGAAGGTGAGCATGCTGCCTAGTGGCTGCAAAGAGGCCCCACTGCTGCTGGCAAGCTCTAACAGCAGGGAAGCTGCTTGGAAAAGAGACTTAGCTTGGACATGGACACAACATGGCCCCGGGGGCCTCAGGATTTTAGGAGATACCCTGTGATCTCTGTGACAAAACAGTCTTTACTTTGGAACTGCTGTTCACATCTGCCTGATAGATCCCAACCTGGATTGCATTGGCCCGGCTGAGTTGCATTTAGAACCTCAGTTCCAAAGAGGTCAACAACAAAGGGCCACAATCACATTTGCAAAAATGGTCACCTCCTCTGCAACTTGCCTCTACTCTTGGCCACCTTACAGGTCTTCCTGTGTCTTTGGGGTAGTCCAACACAGGGCTTCAGAGGATACTGCCATTCTTCTGGGCTTCCTGCTGAACCCCTGCAGCAACCATGGGCTTCCAAGTCCCTGGTCTGTAGGTATCCTGCTCCTGCCTTCTGTGCTTCCCAGCCCCATCCAGTGAAGCAGTCTTGGCCAGCAGGATGGGAACTAGTAACCCAGTTTCAGGCCCTGTTTTCCAGGAAATGTCCCCAGTTTATAGAATTTGCCAGGCCCTGTGAATGGCAATGGACTTCTGGAAATGGGAGTAGCAGTAGGATTTGGCTTGTTTCCTGATCCAAAAGCTGGGACTACATTGGGTATAGTGCCATGGGACTGAATTCACATCCTAGGCTGATGCAAAAAGCATTAATGACTACCCTACATGCACCTGTTGTGTGATCTGAGGATACTGCTGAGATACCTGACATTGCCACGCACATTCTTCTCTTGTATCTTTGTTTCCAGAAATGGCCCAGTTGAGCAGCTGTGACAGTCCTGACACTCCAGAGACAGATGATTCTATTGAGGTAAAAACCCTGAGCTCCTACCCCATTCCTGGAGCCTGGGCCCTATGAAGCAAAGAGCTATGAATTCTCTTTAAGAGAATATCTGAGGAAGGGATGGGGGAGTTGGTGACAGCAAACACTGAGAAGTCATTCTACTCCCAGAAGAATGAGCAGGAGACTGCACTAGAGCTGACAGCTGAGAAGATGCTAGAGCCACAGCTTCTGCAAGGATATGGGCTCTGAGAAGCATGCCTGTCTCCTGCCTTTTCCCTTGTCTTCCAGGGCCATGGGGCATCTCTGCCATCTAAAAAGACACCCTCTGAAGAGGACTTCGAGACCATTAAGCTCATCAGCAATGGCGCCTATGGGTAAAGGCAGGGGTCAGGGTGTGGCCAGGACTGAAGCCGGGTCAGCCTTTGATCTCTTCCATGTGAGAGTGTATGCTGCCCAGTCCTCTGGGCAGATGCCTCGGGGTGGACCTTCTCACTCCCAGAAGCCTCCTGGGTGGGCAGGAGTTCAGATTCCTCTGACATCCGATCATTGTTCCTTTCCCAGACAAGATTCCCACGCCTCTTACTACCACGCATCCTCCATTCCCTGAGCTCTGGGGAAGCATTGAGCCGTGTCATCAGGACATGGTCTATCAAGAAGTTTAAGAGTTCTATGGACCAGGGGGTCCCAGACCCTTCTCACTGATATGCATGCCCTTGCCCCCTTGTTCTGTGCATTAATTAAGGTGTGAGAGAAGGCAGTTTGGGTGGCAGAGAGCACAGCTCAGGTGCTGAGGGTCCATGGGGGATGGGCCGGACTTTGTTTCCCAGGGCTGTATTTCTGGTGCGGCACAAGTCCACCCGGCAGCGCTTTGCCATGAAGAAGATCAACAAGCAGAACCTGATCCTACGGAACCAGATCCAGCAGGCCTTCGTGGAGCGTGACATACTGACTTTCGCTGAGAACCCCTTTGTGGTCAGCATGTTCTGCTCCTTTGATACCAAGCGCCACTTGTGCATGGTGATGGAGTACGTTGAAGGTACTGAGGCAAAGGTGGCCTGGCATGGAGGCCAAGGCACAGTCTGAGACTTAGCCTTAAACAGGGACCAGCAGCTTTGTACAGAGGTGAAGTTTCAGGGCCCAGCTTTCCAGTCCACCTTTGGCATTGGTTTCTGCCTCAGGATCACAGAGACCATTTGGCCACAGTGGGCACAAAGCTCCCTGCCTCTACCATGAGAGGCATTCTGGGATAGGATGTAGCAGGCCAGCAGCTATAGAATCTTGCACCCCAAAGCCTGCACGCTCTCTACTGCTGGTATCAGACAGCAACAGAGGAGGCAGCAGAGCTACAAAAGCCCAGGATTAGGTGCTAGGAGGTTTGCATCTGGACCCTCAGAAGAAAGGAAAGCCATTAATTACCCTGACTGGCTTGCAAAGGGGACACCCCTTAAAACCAAGCAAAATGCTCTGAGAATAGAACAGAAGAGCAACATGGGGCATAGTTCTGGAGGGAGGCAGCAGCTTTGCCAGTTTCCCTTCCCTCTCACCTTCTCACTGTGTGTACAGCCTCCAAAGATACTGTGCCTAGTCTTGAAGCTGAAGCTGAACAAAACTGTCCTTTAGTGTTTACTGGGTACATGCTGGGAGTTCATAGTGTTACTTTACTCAGAAACTAAAAGCCAGTAAGAAGGAAGTAACATGAACAGATGTTAACATCTCAGCCAGATGTGTTTACAGTATGCAGTATTCCTGTCCTAAAAAACATTAGGCTGGTACAAAAGTAATTGCATGTTTGCCATTACTTTTAATAAAGGCCTGGGTTCCTTCCCTCTCTGGCCTGAAAAATGTCCATGACAGCTATTAGCAGATTCACTTTACTTTCCACCCCCCTCCATACCCTGTGTATTTTCATGCTGCTAATAAAGGCATACCAGAGACTGGGCAATTTACAAAAGAAAGAGGTTTAGTGGACTTACAGTTCCATGTGGCTGGGGAGGCCTCACAATCATGGCAGAAGGTGAAAGGCATGTCTCACATGGCAGCAGACAAGAGAGAGCTTGTGCAGGGAAGCTCCCCTTTATAAAACCATCAGATGGGCCGGACGTGGTGGCTCATGCCTGTAATCCCAGCACTTTGGGAGGCTGAGCCAGGTGGATCACCTGAGGTCAGGAATTTGAGACCAGCCTGACCAACATGGCGAAACCCCGTCTCTACAAAAAATGCAAAAATTAGCTGGGTGTGGTGGTGCACGCCTGTGATCCCAGCTACTCGGGAGGCTGAGGCAGGAGAATCGCTTGAACCTGGGAGGCAGAGGTTGCGGTGAGCTGATATCACACCACTGCACTCTAGCCTGGGTGACAGAGCAAGACTTTGCCTCAAAAAAATAAATAAATAAAAATAACCATCAGATCTCATGAGACTTATTCACTATCACGAGAATAGCATGGGAAAGACCCACTTCCATGATTCAGTTATCTCCCTCCAGGTCCCTTCCCACAACACATGGGAATTATGGGAGCTGCAATTCAAGATGAGCTATGGGTGGGGACACAGCCAAACCATATCACCCTGTCTCCCACCCATGCCAGCAGCAAAGGGGCTAGAATCAGAGTCTCCAGCACCAGGATATTCCATGAAGCTGTCTCCTCTGGGACCTCAGAAACTGCCAGATGGGAGCTGGCTAGCTAGAGCAGGGAACTGAATCCTTTCCTCATGGTAGCCTGGGCTTGTTGCAGGGGGAGACTGTGCCACTCTGCTGAAGAATATTGGGGCCCTGCCTGTGGACATGGTGCGTCTATACTTTGCGGAAACTGTGCTGGCCCTGGAGTACTTACACAACTATGGCATCGTGCACCGTGACCTCAAGCCTGACAAGTATGTCCACAGTCTGTGTCCCTTGTCCAGGGTCTCCCTCTTGGGTCTCCAGATAAAATGTTGGCAAGCACAGTAGCTCTAAATCTATCCAGATGGCTACCGGGAAAACATGCTCCTGTGTGTGTCCATCTGGGCCTAGTTCTCTAGCCCCCCGACCACCCCAGATGCAGATCATTGCCTCAAGGTCTGGCTGGAACACTATAAGGCTTCGGTGACATGGAAGAGTCATTGAGGAGCCCCACTGAAGAAACCAAGCAAGAACAAAAGAATAAGCACATCTAGTAGATGGCTAAACAAGTGTCCTGACGTTTACTGACATCTACTCTGTGCCAGCACTATATTGTGGGTTTTTAAATGTAGTCCCTGGCATGTAGAACTTAAGTCTACAGTGGGAGACAGAAATATATGTATATAGGCTTCTTCTCAGAGGGTATTAGTCAAGTGGAAAAAGGAAGACCTGCTTTCTAAAGCAGGAGAGCAGAATGTGCAGAGTCACACAGGTGCAAGAGAACAGCACTTGTTCAGGAACTACAAATAGTGCAATATGGCGACAGCTTAGATGGTGAGAGAGTAGTAAGAGAAAAGGCTAGAGAGAGAGGCAGGAACTAGTTCATCAAGGGCCCTTTTGTTATATTTGGGTTTTATTCTAAAGGGGCCTAGAGAGTCTTGGAAGGGTCTGCTAACCAAAGATATGATAGAATGGCATGCCCAGATTATGGTTCAGGTTTAGAAAGCTCACTCTGCCGGTGAAAAGAGACACTGAGACCACTGCCAAAGAGATACCGAGACCAGGGAAAGACAGCAATGCCTGCAGCAGAACAGGGAGTCAGGATAGAAAGAAGAGGGGTAGTGTGGGGAAGTATAAAGGAAAGAGGATCAGGCTGGGGTGGGGGTAGGAAGGGAAGTGAGGGAACAGAAGAGGCTGGGATGTGTTCCAGATTTCCAGCTTGGGACTGGTGCAGGGTGATAAGCCTCTGTGGAAGAAAGTGGCTTTGACATAAGACAGACCTGAATTCAAATGGCCACTCTTCTGCTTATTAAGTCTGAGTTTGAGTCTACTAATTAAAGTTTCCCTGACCCTCACGTTCCTCCTTTCTAATATAGGGAATAATTACACCTACCTTTGATGTGTTACTCTAGAAAACATTTCAGGGGCCAGAATATTTTTAAAGCACTTAGCACAGAGCTCAACAGATAACCAAAATTATTGTTTTTCACTGAGGAGGGGAACCAGTTGGGAGGCATGACTTTGTTTTGGACAGGTTGAGTTTCTGGAGCCTGTAAGACACATGGGCAGTTGGGTAGGCCTGGAGCTCAAAAAGGAAGTCAGAGCCAGAGGTACTATTTGGGGAATCATTAGAATAAAAGGGTGGCAGGGTAAAGCCTTCAGCACAAAATGAGTGGCTCAGGCAGAGTATATAAAGGGATCTTAGTTCTAGTTTCTCCCAACTAACCCTCCTCCCAAGACCAGCCATGGACATGGAACAAAATTATGTGTGCCCCCTGCCCCTCTCCCTGAAACAGGAGTATTATGGGCCACTCAGATTGGGAGAGGGGACTAGGAATGGCTCCAGCAGCTGCCTTAGGATGAGGCTGATCTCAGCTCTGTAGAAGAAACTCTGTTCCTCAACTGAATGACTCCTGCCCCCAACATAGAATACAGTTAGGGCAATAAGCAGAAATGGAGTTGTGGGAATGGGCAAAAGGCAGGTTCGTTGCTTGTGCAGAATGCAGCACTCACACAGCCAGAGCGATTTACGTGTCCACACCTGCCTGTCCCCCCAGCTGAAGCTACCCAGCTTGTGTCTCACAGTACCCCCATGGAAGCCTGAGTGGGGAAACTGGGCATATACTAAAATCAGTACTCTCAGAAAACCAGGAATAACTTCTTAATTTTATTTCTTCGTTCTTCCAGCCTCCTAATTACATCCATGGGGCACATCAAGCTCACGGACTTTGGACTGTCCAAAATTGGCCTCATGAGTCTGACAACGAACTTGTATGAGGGTCATATTGAAAAGGATGCCCGGGAATTCCTGGACAAGCAGGTAAGGAAGGGTAGTTGATACACTGGGGGTTAAATTCTAGGCCCTTGTCCTGGCGCAGTGTCTTACGCCCGTAATCCCAACCCTTTGGGAGGCTGAGGCAGGAGGATCGCTTGAGGCCAGCCTGGGCAACATAGTGAGACCCCATCTCTACATTTGTGTACACATACATAGATTCCAGGCCCTAGAATAAGGCCTTGGGGCCATATGCCTACCTTGTAGCTAGATGTTAAGATTGGGAACCCCTATCTTTTCTACCTTTGGGTTCCAGAGAGGCACTGAGATAGGTAGCACATTTGGAAAACAGGATGAGCCTTGAGAATCATATGGATATAAAATCCAAAGTCATCTTCCTCCTCAGGGTTTGGGGAAAATAGGTCATATAACTGTTAGCACAGAGTTTCATATGAGATCAGTCCTGAATCTCCCAGCCTGAATCAAGGGCAAGGCTCTCCTGGAGCCTGAGGTTCTTGGAACACAGCTCTGAATTTCCATTGGGCTGTGGCCCAGTGTCCTGAGAGGCAGCCTCTGGATGTTCCCTGGTTTGACATTTCAGGTTGTGACTGTTCACCGGTCCCTGTAGTTGTTACATGACTGATAGGGTCTGTTTTGTTAGAGGCTGGAGTGCAGAGGCCCATTGTGGGATCACATGCCAGAGGTGGGTGTTGAGGGCTTAAGGGATGGTAGTTCCGGGCTAGAATGAGACATTTTTGTTAATTAGGAAATACCTACTGACAGTTCCGACTCTTGTTCCCTGGGGCTTCTGTTGATCTTGTTCATTAACTAAGGTGGGCTGAGTCTTCATTCAGAGATTCTTCTGCTCGAGATGGGAGCATCCCCCATCTCCGGCTGTCATGCCAGTCAGCAGCCTCAGGAGGCTGAGCCAGCCTGGCTTTTCTGTGCCCAGGTATGCGGGACCCCAGAATACATTGCGCCTGAGGTGATCCTGCGCCAGGGCTATGGGAAGCCAGTGGACTGGTGGGCCATGGGCATTATCCTGTATGAGTTCCTGGTGGGCTGCGTCCCTTTTTTTGGAGATACTCCGGAGGAGCTCTTTGGGCAGGTGATCAGTGGTAGGTACTATGCCCCTGGCCCAGTGGGGAAACAGAGTCTGAATCCACAAATATGATGTATGCAGGCAGCTCGTGAGGCCTGTGAGCTCTTGTTCTGAACTCATCATGTGTGTTTGTGATGTCTGCTGCTTTGGGGATGGGTGTCTCTGTGTTTCTGCATGTACATACATGTGCACACTGTGTCCCTTGGGGCTTCACATGTCTCTCATAGACACCTGGTCTCTCATATACACCTGGGTGTTCCTGTCTGTGTATGTGCACATCCCATAAGTGTGAGGGGTACGTCTGTGTATGTTTTGTGGAGTATAAAAGCAGGGTGAGCTAGAGCTTTGCAGTGCCTGCTGTGGATCAAAGATCAAGCTATGGTCTAGGAACCTATAGAATTTAAGGACTGGGGTCCCAGGCAAGGCTTTCAGGGGCTCCAGGCTGGGTCCTTTTTGCCTCCTTTCCTTTCACTGTTCTGGGACCCTCTTCTGCATCTCTCCACTCTACCCACAATTTCTCCTTTCCCTCTCACCCCTGATGACTTCAGATGAGATTGTGTGGCCTGAGGGTGATGAGGCACTGCCCCCAGACGCCCAGGACCTCACCTCCAAACTGCTCCACCAGAACCCTCTGGAGAGACTTGGCACAGGTAGGGCAGGCCCTGCTAACTTTTCTCACTACTTGGAAAAGGGGTAAGGGAGGCTGAGTCATGTACCCTGGAGGTTCAGGCTTCGGTTACGGGCAGCCCCTCTGGATCCTGAAACTCTGCCCTGCTCTGTAGGCAGAAAAGGGAAGATGCTTGAGCTGATCCCCTAGGTATAGCTTCTGAAGGTCTGGCTTCTTGCTAGATTTGCTGACCTAGACTCCATGCTGCTCATCCTACCCCCTTGCCCATGTCCTCCCTGTCCACAGGCAGTGCCTATGAGGTGAAGCAGCACCCATTCTTTACTGGTCTGGACTGGACAGGACTTCTCCGCCAGAAGGCTGAATTTATTCCTCAGTTGGAGTCAGAGGATGATACTAGCTATTTTGACAGTAAGGCCACCGATGGGTGGGGTGGAGGATGGGTCCTACCTGTTTGCCTAGAAACACCTGTGCACACTGAAATTGCATTGGGAGCAACTTCTCAGGGCTCTGCTGAAATCTAATGGGGTCACAAGGAGGCCACCAGCAGGGCTCTGAAGGAAAGTGTCCTTTATGTCTGGCCCAGCCCGCTCAGAGCGATACCACCACATGGACTCGGAGGATGAGGAAGAAGTGAGTGAGGATGGCTGCCTTGAGATCCGCCAGTTCTCTTCCTGCTCTCCAAGGTTCAACAAGGTGTGACTGAGGAGGCCCAGAATGGGCAGAACAGGCTGGAGGATCAGAAGAAGAGGGCCTGTCAAAGGGCACACCTGGGGCAGGCTCAGGGAGTTGGGGTTGGGGCCACCTCTAGAAAAAGAGGAGCTAAGGGTTGGGGCTACATATAGCTATATATAGGTGCTTCTAGAACCACTGCTGTCCCTGACATGAGATGCCAGGTCAGATCAGTGGAATAACTCCTTCCCCAAATATTCAGCAGGGGTGTGTGAAGGAGGGATGGAACCGACTGGTTCAAATTCCTAGGTTTCCGATGCCAAGGATGCTTTATGCCACTTGGGAGGTACGGCTGCCAGAGCCCATCCCCAGCGCATCCCCTGTGCCCACAGGTGTACAGCAGCATGGAGCGGCTCTCACTGCTCGAGGAGCGCCGGACACCACCCCCGACCAAGCGCAGCCTGAGTGAGGAGAAGGAGGACCATTCAGATGGCCTGGCAGGGCTCAAAGGCCGAGACCGGAGCTGGGTGATTGGCTCCCCTGAGATGTGAGCACCCAGAGTTCACCCAGGGTGGGCGACACAGCTATCCCTGCATTGTCACAGATCATGGGAGAGATTCCGATGCCAGGGAGGAGTGCAGGTGGCAGGGAGGGGGCATTCACAAGGGTGGCTCCTGGAGGAATGTCTGCGGAGGAAAGTTCTGTTACTATAACCCTTGTGTGCCCCTAAGGAGACCTGGCAGGAGGAGGGGGACCACCTGGGTCACTCACCCCAGGCCTTGTGTCTCATAGATTACGGAAGCGGCTGTCGGTGTCTGAGTCATCCCACACAGAGAGTGACTCAAGCCCTCCAATGACAGTGCGACGCCGCTGCTCAGGCCTCCTGGATGCGCCTCGGTTCCCGGAGGGCCCTGAGGAGGCCAGCAGCACCCTCAGGAGGCAACCACAGGAGGGTATATGGGTCCTGACACCCCCATCTGGAGAGGGGGTATCTGGGCCTGTCACTGAACACTCAGGGGAGCAGCGGCCAAAGCTGGATGAGGAAGCTGTTGGCCGGAGCAGTGGTTCCAGTCCAGGTATGGCCCAGTGGGCGGCCAAACGACCTAAGCTGGAGGATACTGCAGGGCAGGGAGGCTCAGCGGCATCGCGGGTCTCACTGCTTACTTGGGCCTACAGCTATGGAGACCCGAGGCCGTGGGACCTCACAGCTGGCTGAGGGAGCCACAGCCAAGGCCATCAGTGACCTGGCTGTGCGTAGGGCCCGCCACCGGCTGCTCTCTGGGGACTCAACAGAGAAGCGCACTGCTCGCCCTGTCAACAAAGTGATCAAGTCCGCCTCAGCCACAGCCCTCTCACTCCTCATTCCTTCGGGTGAGGCCCCTGGGGAGCTGGGATAAAACTCACAGGAAGGGCCTTGTAATCTCTAGGCCTTGGGAGGGTTCTGCACGTGGCAGGTGTGTGTGTGTGTGTTAAGCACAGATCTGACTGTGGTCTCTGAAGGTGTGTATTGGTGTCTGGGGTTGTGTATACATGTGCCAGAAAGCAGGACAGCACCATGTCACAAGTGCAGGCTTTGGGGTAGAGAGCTCACACTCAAATCCTGGCTCCATCACTAACAGGCTCTTGACCTTGAGCAAGTTGCTTAACTTCTCTAAGCCTCAAGTTTCTTATCCAAAAATGTGGATATAATAGAGGCCAGCTGATAGGTTGTGACATTTAAATATATATGACAAGCTTATATAGTCCCTGATACACACATAAATGCTAGCTGCCATTTCTCATCACCACCACCGTCTCTTGGGGTCTGGACACGGGAGAGGGCTTCACAGGTCAGGGGCTGTGGGGAAAATGGACCTAGGCTCAGGCTCTGTCTGTGACTAGAGTTGTGCTGACATCAACAGACTGGACCAGGGGCCAGGCCAAAGCCCTCTGACCCACTAAGTCCTGGCTTCTCCTTCTCCAGAACACCACACCTGCTCCCCGTTGGCCAGCCCCATGTCCCCACATTCTCAGTCGTCCAACCCATCATCCCGGGACTCTTCTCCAAGCAGGGACTTCTTGCCAGCCCTTGGCAGCATGAGGCCTCCCATCATCATCCACCGAGCTGGCAAGAAGTATGGCTTCACCCTGCGGGCCATTCGCGTCTACATGGGTGACTCCGATGTCTACACCGTGCACCATATGGTGTGGGTATGTCTGACCATCCAGACCTGCTGTCTCCCTGCTTCATCATCCTTCCAGCTTCCCCTTTGTGGAGCCCATCTGTCCCTGCTCGGGGGTCAAAGGGTGGTGGTGAAGGGGCTCACAGCTTAATGTCCAGAACCAGGCCCCATACTTCGTGTTCAGGCTCCAGTCTGAGTACTGTTCTCTTCCTGGCACAGCACGTGGAGGATGGAGGTCCGGCCAGTGAGGCAGGGCTTCGTCAAGGTGACCTCATCACCCATGTCAATGGGGAACCTGTGCATGGCCTGGTGCACACGGAGGTGGTAGAGCTGATCCTGAAGGTTAGTGCTGGGCGTGCTGCCTGCATGGTCCCTGAATGACCTCAGCCTGTGAGTCTGTGATGGCAGTTAGGGGAGTGGGTGAGTTGGGTGCACACACATCTACACCGAGTATGGATGTAGGTACACACAGGCCGGGCGCGGTGGCTCATGCCTGTAAATCCCAACACTTTAGGAGGCTGAGGCAGGTGGATCACTTGAGACCAGAAGTTTGAGACCAGCCTAGCCAACATGGTGAAACCCTGCCTCTACTAAAAATACAAAAAAAAAAAAAAAAAAATGCCTGGGTGTGGTGGCTCACGCCTGTAATCCCAGCACTTTGGGAGGCCGAGGCGGGTGGATCACCTGTGGTCAGGAGTTTGAGACCAGCCTGCCCAGCATGGCAAAACTCTACTAAAAATAACAAAAATTAGCCAAGCGTGGTGGTAGGCACTTGTAATCCCGGCTACTCGGGAGGCTGAGGAAGGAGAATTGCTTGAACCTGGAAGGCAGTTTGCAGTGAGCTGAGGTCATACCACTGCACTCCAGCTTGGGAGACACAGCAAGACTCTGTTTCCAAAAAAAAAAAAAAAAATTAGCCGAGTGTGGTAGCACATGCCTGTAATCCCAGCTACTTGGGAGGCTGAGGCAGGAGAAGTGCTTGAACCCAGGAGGCAGAGGTTGCAGTGAGCTGAGATCGCACCACTGCACTCCAGCCTGGGTGACAGAGTGAGACTCTGTCTTAAAAAAAAAAAAAAAAGATGTAGGTACACACAGAACTTGAATGTGGCACAACAGAGAGTTTTCTCCACAAGGCAGTACCCTCCCTGACTAAGGCCCAGGGATCCTTCTGAGCTGTGGGTAGGGCTGCAGAATGGGACGGATTAGCCTGTTTTCTACCTTCTTACCCCAAACCACTCTGGGGCTCCAATGGGAGCCATTTCCTCATCTGTAAAAACAATAATATAGGCCTGTGGTTCAGATGTGTTGGTGCAGGGACAAAAAGCTGGAGCTGTGGTATAGCCATGCCAGAAGGGAAGGATTGGGGGAGGGGAGGGGCAAGAATATGGCTCCAGCTTAGCCTAGGCCTCATGCTCTGCTCCCCAGAGTGGAAACAAGGTGGCCATTTCAACAACTCCCCTGGAGAACACATCCATTAAAGTGGGGCCAGCTCGGAAGGGCAGCTACAAGGCCAAGATGGCCCGAAGGAGCAAGAGGAGCCGCGGCAAGGATGGGCAAGAAAGGTGAGCCAGGCGCAGTGAAGAGGGTTTTCTCTGAGCCACATGAGTGCTGGTACGTGGTGGGTGCCTTGGCCCTGGGGGTCCAGTGTGTGCTGTGCTCACTGCACCGACTCAGCCTTTGACCCTTATCCCCGCAGCAGAAAAAGGAGCTCCCTGTTCCGCAAGATCACCAAGCAAGCATCCCTGCTCCACACCAGCCGCAGCCTTTCTTCCCTTAACCGCTCCTTGTCATCAGGGGAGAGTGGGCCAGGCTCTCCCACACACAGCCACAGCCTTTCCCCCCGATCTCCCACTCAAGGCTACCGGGTGACCCCCGATGCTGTGCATTCAGGTACGAAGGGCTCCCTGCAGATCAGTGACAACCCCTGGGAAATAGGAAAGTTCCTAGGCCCTGTGTGCTTCTGACAGATCCCACTCTGAGTCTCTCATTTAGCCCACCCCCTGAAAGATCCTGTAGTCTTGGGGAGGAATTAATTGATGGGGAAGGGGGTAGCTTGGTTTCTGGGACATAACAGGGCTAAGCCCTGTCTTGCCCTTGAGTCACTTCTAACAGCTAACACTGCTCTGCTTTTGTCTGTCTGTCTGTCTGTCTCTGTACAAAGTGGGAGGGAATTCATCACAGAGCAGCTCCCCCAGCTCCAGCGTGCCCAGTTCCCCAGCCGGCTCTGGGCACACACGGCCCAGCTCCCTCCACGGTCTGGCACCCAAGCTCCAACGCCAGTACCGCTCTCCACGGCGCAAGTCAGCAGGCAGCATCCCACTGTCACCACTGGCCCACACCCCTTCTCCCCCACCCCCAACAGCTTCACCTCAGCGGTCCCCATCGCCCCTGTCTGGCCATGTAGCCCAGGCCTTTCCCACAAAGCTTCACTTGTCACCTCCCCTGGGCAGGCAACTCTCACGGCCCAAGAGTGCGGAGCCACCCCGTTCACCACTACTCAAGAGGGTGCAGTCGGCTGAGAAACTGGCAGCAGCACTTGCCGCCTCTGAGAAGAAGCTAGCCACTTCTCGCAAGCACAGCCTTGACCTGCCCCACTCTGAACTAAAGAAGGAACTGCCGCCCAGGGAAGTGAGCCCTCTGGAGGTAGTTGGAGCCAGGAGTGTGCTGTCTGGCAAGGGGGCCCTGCCAGGGAAGGGGGTGCTGCAGCCTGCTCCCTCACGGGCCCTAGGCACCCTCCGGCAGGACCGAGCCGAACGACGGGAGTCGCTGCAGAAGCAAGAAGCCATTCGTGAGGTGGACTCCTCAGAGGACGACACCGAGGAAGGGCCTGAGAACAGCCAGGGTGCACAGGAGCTGAGCTTGGCACCTCACCCAGAAGTGAGCCAGAGTGTGGCCCCTAAAGGAGCAGGAGAGAGTGGGGAAGAGGATCCTTTCCCGTCCAGAGACCCTAGGAGCCTGGGCCCAATGGTCCCAAGCCTATTGACAGGGATCACACTGGGGCCTCCCAGAATGGAAAGTCCCAGTGGTCCCCACAGGAGGCTCGGGAGCCCACAAGCCATTGAGGAGGCTGCCAGCTCCTCCTCAGCAGGCCCCAACCTAGGTCAGTCTGGAGCCACAGACCCCATCCCTCCTGAAGGTTGCTGGAAGGCCCAGCACCTCCACACCCAGGCACTAACAGCACTTTCTCCCAGCACTTCGGGACTCACCCCCACCAGCAGTTGCTCTCCTCCCAGCTCCACCTCTGGGAAGCTGAGCATGTGGTCCTGGAAATCCCTTATTGAGGGCCCAGACAGGGCATCCCCAAGCAGAAAGGCAACCATGGCAGGTGGGCTAGCCAACCTCCAGGATTTGGAAAACACAACTCCAGCCCAGCCTAAGAACCTGTCTCCCAGGGAGCAGGGGAAGACACAGCCACCTAGTGCCCCCAGACTGGCCCATCCATCTTATGAGGATCCCAGCCAGGGCTGGCTATGGGAGTCTGAGTGTGCACAAGCAGTGAAAGAGGATCCAGCCCTGAGCATCACCCAAGTGCCTGATGCCTCAGGTGACAGAAGGCAGGACGTTCCATGCCGAGGCTGCCCCCTCACCCAGAAGTCTGAGCCCAGCCTCAGGAGGGGCCAAGAACCAGGGGGCCATCAAAAGCATCGGGATTTGGCATTGGTTCCAGATGAGCTTTTAAAGCAAACATAGCAGTTGTTTGCCATTTCTTGCACTCAGACCTGTGTAATATATGCTCCTGGAAACCATCTTTATGTCTTTTGCTTGCTTGTTTTCCTTCGGTCAACCCACATGTAACTAGGTCCTGTGTTGCTGCTGGGAATATAGTGGTGAATAAAACAGTTTCCACCACCAGGGGAGGGCCACCTAACCCAGCTTGACTTCCCAAAGGCTTTGACATTTGAGCTCAAACATGAAGAATAGATGATAGGTAGTAGTTTGCTGGGTGTGGAAGAGTGGAGGTTGGCATAAGAAAGGCTGTCCAGGCAACGTTTAGCACATGCAGTATACCTGGCATAGTCAAGGAACCAAAGATAATTCAAAGTAGAAACGGGTCTGGCAAGTGAGGCAAGGGCCATGTCTAATGGTCTTCCAGGAGATTTGACTTCGTGAAGGTGATGGGGAACCAGAAAATACCATGTAGCAACTAAAATTCCTTCATAGATAAGGGCACTAAGACTTTGATGCCCATGGTAATACAGTAGCTTGGGTAGAACGGGGGTTAGAACGTAGGTCTCCCTTGGACTCCGGAACTCACATCTCTCCTAACTAGGATTGCCTCAGCCAGGAAATGAGGAGGGGAAGAAGTGAGAGAAGGCAAAGAGTTTAACTTTGGGTGCGTTTGAGATAAAAGAGAAGACAGAAGCAGCAACCAGCAGAGTCATAAAGTCTATGGGAGGAGTTTTAAAATGGACAGAGAAGTTAACGATAAATGCCGAGGTGAGGGCGAGATTAAAACAGCTGCCAGTCGTATTTAGTAACAAGCCCTTCATAATTGTAGCCAGTGAGCTCTTCCTGGGCTGTTGTAGGTAGAGGCCTCAGCACTGGAGGTGGATGGACATCGTGTGTGTAGCCCGCATTGAGTAGAACTTCATTTGATGGTAGTGTGGGAGGAAGGGGGAGGACATAAGTGGGACCAGTGCCAGGGGAGTCAGGAGGTGGCATCACAGGGCAGGCAGTGGGGCTTGGTAGAGCACCAAGGCTTTGTCTCCATAGTGATAGAGGACTTGAGAAACTGTCTTGCACTGGTTGCACTGATCGTCCCACAATCCAGTGCCTAGGTCTGAAGAAGACGTGTTAGGAGGCCTGAAGACGAAAATGCCTCTGGGCCATTGCCTGGGAAGGCTGTGGCCACCAGAGGGCGCACTGTATCCACAGTGGCAGAGCCCATTTATGCAGATATTTGGCCCCTCAGCCTTCTAGTCCTCTCCACTTCTTCATTCATTCACAGCGGACCCTGGGCTAATGTACCGGGACCTGGGCAGACAGATCACAGGTTGTGAGCTGGAGAATGGCAGGGGCATGGCTGAGGTAGCAAGTGCCCCGTGCATGTAGGGATCTGGTCAGAAGCACCATACCACAGGTGAAAAGGATGTTGGGAACTGCCCTCCTAGAGGGTTGGAAATGGGGATGGGAGGAGGAAGCAGAGATGCTAAACATCCTATACCACACTGGGCAACTGCCCCAAGTGTCAGTGGTGTTCCCCTTGAGAAACTGGTGGGATTATCCTGAGGGTAGTGAAGAGTTTCTAAAAGGTAACTTCAGGGAAGTGGTATTATCATTTGCTTTAGGAAGATCACTCGCTGCAGTATAGAGAGGCTGGAGTGGAGTGAGCGTACCACAGAGGATGTAGTGACCCATTTTGGTGGTCTGAACTAGAACAGCAACAGTGAGGAGGTAAGGAAGGAAAGGGTGGGAAGCTGGACATCTAGATTTGGGAGCCATCAGGAAGTAGAGGGCAATGAAAGCCACAGGAGATGAGGACTGTCCAGGGAACATACGCAGAATGAGGAAGAAGTCCCGAAATACTGGCACTAGCTGAGGGGGATAGAGCCAGTGAAAAGTTGAAGGTGGGGATTGAGATCCTGAATCAGGGAGAAGCCAGACCATCTAATTTTGTAATTCACCCTAAGATCAATGGAGACTTATTTAATGTTTTACATCGGTTCAGATTTGTATTTTGAAAAGATGACTGGTTGCTATAATGAGAATGGATCTGAGGGGGACAAGAATGGAAGAAGGGGGGCCTTCCAGGATGAAGGGTGCAGATGGTAGTGAAGCAGTGAAGTTAGAAGTGATGTTTTGATTGACACTTGGTGAAGGACTTTAGGTATGAAGCAGAGGGCTATCAAGGATGATGACTGACTACATTTTTGACTTATATAACCAGATGAATTGTATTTCCATTCACCGAAATAAGAAACAAGGAAGAGAACCAGGGCTAAGTAGTTCAGTGCTGCATTCCATACGCTAAATATGAAGTAGCTTCCAATAGAGGTCTGGGCAAATGAAATAAACAGATGTAATCAGCCTAGAGATGGTAGGTGGATTCATGGCTGTGGATAAAACTGCCAGGTAAAATGGCATTGAGAACTGAAGGAATCCAGGAGATGTAAAAGAACAGTCAGATGTCAGAAGAATATTAGATTAGTGAGTTGTGATAGAGTCCATGAAGGAGCTTTCCATGGACAGGATAGTTAACAGCGATGGTTATTGAAGGCATCAAGAAAAGCAGTTTCAAACAGTGGTGGAACCAGTACTGAAATATTTGAGATGGGGAAATAAGGAAATTTAAGACAGTTCTTTCCAAAGGCTTGGCTTTGAAGAGGAGAAAAGAGATAAAGGTATATGGGATGATTGAGTAGGGATTAGGGGAGTAGAATGAGAACCAACCAACCATGTTTAAGTGTCAGTGGAAATGATCCAGTTGAAGTAGAGAAAGAATTGATCTTAATCTTGGGAGATTCCTGAGGTGGAAGAAAATAGATTCCAAAATACATGTGGAAGGATTGACTTTAGTTGGAGGGGACTATTGTAATTTAACAGATGGGAGGGAGAATAGTTATGTAGATATAGATAAGGTTGTAGGTTTGGTGGTAGGAAGGTGAGGAAATTCATAGCCAATCATACTTTTTCTGACAAGTAAACAAGTTTGCTTTTTTGAGACAGAGTTTCGCTCTGTTGCCCAGGCTGGAGTGCAGTGGCACGGCCTCAGCTCACTGCAACCCCTGCATCCCAGGTTCAAGCAATTCTCATGCCTCAGCCTCCCGAGTAGCTGGGATTACAGGTGCATGCTACCACGCCCAGCTAATTTTTGTACTTTTAGTAGAGACGGGGTTTCACCACGTTGGCCAGGCTGTTCTCGAACTCCTGACCTCAGGTGATCCACCCGCCTCGGCCTCCCAAAGTGCTGGGATTACAGGCATGAGCCACCACGCCCAGCCCCAAGTAAACAAGTTTGAAGTGTCGGTGAGATACCCAGGAGCCCAGTGGAAACATCCAGCCAGCGGGTAGAGTTCAGAAGAAAGAACTGGGAAGGAGCTAGGAATTTGAGCATCCTAAACACAGAAGTGCGAACAACTCTGGGATTAGGAGAAATCCATAGTTCCTGGCAGTGGTCTTGGGATGCTGTGTAGCTAAAGTGTAGTGGGGAGAAAAGACATAGGCAAGGTCACTTAGAACAACAGGCTGTTCCCTGCCCAATCTGACTTATTTATAATTGAGTACACATGGGTGGGGCCTGAGACATGGATGAGCGCTGCAATATCCTATGCAACAAGAGGTTATCGCATGTTGGCTCATTACGTTCCCAGAATACAGGAAGCTCAACAGTGTGCCTTGGCAGGAGATGACAAGGGCCTGGGGCAATAAGAGGATAGATTATAAAGCTGGGCCCATTTCCCCCTCCCCCAGAGTAGAATGTGGAAACACTTCATTCTGGGCAGAAATATGAGAACCAATAAACAGCTTATTAGGAGTGGGCAGTGAGGTGTGGAGGAAATGGCATTCAGTTTTAATTTTCTCAGAGTCAGTATCTAAGACTTCTGTGTCTGTGTTCGGTGGACAGGACTCTGGCATCATGCCTAGTTGGAGTCAATGTCCTCCCCTAGGAAGAAAAGAGCCTCTGGCTGCCCCAGTACTAGTCTTTTGGTGCTTACTGGAGAGAAGGTTTGGAAGTTTCAAGGGCTGTTCAACACCTGAGTACTCTTCTCTCTTGACCCCCACTCTGCCCCCAGCCCACCCCTTCATAGCATGAAGACAAAAAATTACTTTATTGCAATGTCTTTATTGCATTACTGGAGCAAGTTGGCCAGACTGTCCCCTCTTGGGGAAGGTATTAAACAAAAAGACCAATAAGTATCTCCTCTCGCCTTTCCCCCTACCCTCCCCAACAATTGCACAGCAATGTCTGAACACATCTGGTGACAAGAACAATTTGTAAAGTGGTCTAGCAACTACATTATGAACTGTCCCATCACAAGACATACAGTTGGCTTTCTTGTGAGTCAGATATTTTTACGTAAACTACACGAATTTTCTTGGACACATCAAAGACAACAGAATAGATTTTTCACAAGTAACGGCACCAAAGTCACATGCTGGAATTTGTAAGGAAACGAGGTTGTTTGCCACAAGTGGCTGGAGCTAAAGCAGGTTTGAGCAGTTGGCAGCAGAGGGCCCAAGCAGGCCCCCTATCTGGACCCTCTGGTTTCTGAGGCCACTGAAGCCTCACAGAGGCCTACTCTGGGTTGTTAAATAGCAGCAGAGACCACCTTAGAAAACAGGAATTGCCCAGGTGCAATTCTCAGTTTAAGAGAACACATGGGGCTGATTACTTGTAGCAAAAAAGAGACCCGTGGAAGACACATTGGCTCTCAAAGCTTCTTCAAAGCACATGAGGCCTAAATAAGTGGAGGTCCCATCAAGGCTTGGAGAGGGAGTGAAAGTGTTGGGAGGGCCTCATTCTTGGCCAGATCAGTGGTAAGGACGCAGGCAGTCTATCCAGGCCCGAATCATGGCGTGCCATCTAAGGCCAGGTGGAGACAACACTGTTCTGTGATGAAAGCTTCACCTGGAAACAATGGGCCTAGTACCTGTGTCCAGCCAGCCCCAAGCTGCTTGCATGTCAGTAGCTGGGTTCTCTAGCCAGGGGTATAATGAACCCCTCTGATCTTGGTCTCTCTTTGCCCTCTGCCTCATTGAAACTGCAGTTAAGATGCCAAGACAGTCCCAGGGTCCAGATCATGGGACAGGACATGGCACTAGACTCTCATGAAGGAGGCCAAGACCTGCTCCCAAGTCATGGGCGTAGAGAAGCACCTTGCTACCCTCTCCCCCTCTACACACCAGGCCCAGTGGGTAGTAGACTGGTCCCTATGCCATTTCCACAGGCTCAGGGTCAAGCAAGTCATGTGGCAACTGGTCAGAAAAGATACTGTCAAACCTCTCAAATGACCCCTGGGTCTTAGATCCCACAAAACAATGAATTCAAGAATGAAAAAAAAAATGAAGGAATGTAGGACTGAAAAAAAGCAGCCCTTCTCCACAAGCCAGCCCAAGTGTAGATAAAGATGGTACTTGGTCTCTCCCTGCACACCGCTGGTGTCTGCCCAACAAGGAGCAGACACATTACTGAATACTACAGCCCTGTATCTGTATTTCCATTTTGGTTTAAAAGACACTCAGAACACACTGAAATTTTAGTACCAGATGGGAGGGATTCCTTGCACGTAATCTTGAGCATCCACCTGCTTCAGCAGGTTCAACACCAGGTGCAAAGCCATCCAGGTGTGCCCAACAGCAATTAGCTTGGTATTATTCAGTAAAACTTTCAGTTAAGATTTCAATTGACAGTTTGGGGAAGGGATGTGCTGGCTATTAGTTAAATGACTTTAGAGGGGGGTTCATTTGTCTCTGTCTCACCCAATCCTGAAACTGCAGTGTAACCAAGAAAAAGCCAAAGAGAAGCACTTCCCTTTCTATCCTCGTCACTAGTAACTGGAGGTTTTTCCAAAATTAAAAATCTGTGTCTACATCATGGTCCATATTTTAGACCCTGTCATGGAAATAAGTGCTCAGGTAAACTAATATTTTTCTTTCACCCCCAGAACTAGAGCTTTCCTAGCTGTAAGCCTTATAAACCAAGATGCAGGTACTGGCTTCTCTAGCTCAGCCAGGGTGCCTGACTGCACAGCTTTGGGTTCAAACAGCTGACTCACTCTGAGCCTATTATGGTCCCAGGATTGGCTCAGAGGCAGCTGGACTCTATTTGTCAAATGAGTGTTGACTGATGGGTGTGGGGCATGATGGGGGCAGGAATAGATGCCTGCCCCCACTCCATTTGCCTAGCTTCACTCAGCTGGAAGGCTTAAGCCACATGGAGCAGAAGATTCCTGGCCTAAAATCAAGGCCACTGGAGCAGGAGGGCAGACTGCACATAGCCTTAATGGCAGGATCACAAAAAAAGGCAAAGAGAAAAGCTTCCAGATGGCTTCTACTAACAGTCTAAACACTAAGCCATCTTCTCTCCCTGCAAAAGCTTCAGAAACCACTGTATGGAAGCACATGTGTAATGTGGTGTGACTCTCACCCTGGACCACAGGGCCCCTGGGTCTGTGATTTACTGAGGCACCTGACCACAATCTGACTCCCCTCCTTAGCAACCTATAGCTCCCAAAACCCCATCCAGCAAAGGAGGGGGAAATGAAGGGAAATTAAACCATGTTTACTATTTCTGCAGGGCCTTTAAACTTGGGGAAGCACATATAATAATGTTGTTCTATATTGTTATTTGGTATATCAAGCCATCTAAAAGCACTGCATTGCACCTTTTCTTTACTCATACAAACAAGTTACAAAGGTTTCAAACAACAGATCATTCTTTAGGCTAAGGAAACACCATACAAGCACCAACTTCATTTTATGATTCAAAGCTCACCATCCCCACAAAAAGAATGCTATTCCTCATCTCAGAGAAACAGGCAGGAAGGACAGAAGGGGTTAGTTACAGTGATCAATTTTAGCGTTTGCTAAAACTCACAAATTCTAGTCTTTTTATGTTCAAGTTTTGGTACAGAAGTATACATTCAACTATGAGTGCCACGTTTTCCCATCAAACATTGGTCTGGCAACAAACTGTTTTGTTGGCTTCTGAACATAATACTTCTTCAGAGGGAGGGGCTGGTGAGATGCTGAAGCCTAAATTATGTTGGTAAGAAACAAAATACCTTCAGTTGAAGGTTTTTTTTATCATCTTGGCTTAGATTATTTAAATGAAATCCCAAGCCTCCCCATTTTCCTTTGGTTGTCTTTTTCATCAAATCCCATTCTATCACAAAACCTAAACAGCCTTCTTCGTGGGGGGAAGAGAGACTGCCAAAGCAAAACACAACTCCCAGCAGAGCCATGCCCCTGCTGCACTCTCAAGAGTTAGATTTTAAAAAGACATGGTCTCTTCAGAGGCTTCCAAATACAACCCCACCCGCTATAACCATCAAGCCTAATATTCTGTTGAGGGTGTCTGGCTAAACAAAACAAAAACCCCAATGAAACAGACTTTCAAAAAAAACATCTGCTTCCAGCTTAGTATGTCAGTGCAGCGGCATGGCTGAGTCCTAGAGAACCTCAGGCCTCTAATGCCCCCATCCCGGCCGGCTGCTGCTCGGCCTCTCCACTTCACATTCACAAAATCACTTCTTGTGCAAAACAAGCAGTCTATGTAGAAAGAATGCCCTCATCGTAGTCTAATAAAAACTGTAGAAAAAAATGCCAGAGAACCACCTCTCTTCCCACTTCCTCTTTATCTGCAAAGCGAGGGCATCTGTGCATGAACAGGGTAGGCAAGCCTGACGTTGAGGGAGTCGTTGTGCTGAACCAAGGATGTCTGCTGGTAATGGAGCACTAGCTCCTTCAGAGAGCTGTACAGGTTGTAGGGCTCTGCAAAGCCATAGCCCCGAGCAGTGCTGTAGATCACACAGTGCTTCACTTCCCCATCGGCCCTGCAATGACAAACCACAGAAGAAATGTTAAGGTAGGTAACAATAGATAAAAGGACACTAAATGGCCAGAAGTCTGAGAGCAATTGTTATGCAAACAAGTGTTTTTTGTTAACCAGGCAAAGCTTGTGAAATTGCGTTCCCATTCCCTACAGACTTGGCCACAGATACGGGTGTTAAAACAACCACAAATGTAAGGGTTTATTTATTTCTTTTTTTTTTTTTTAGACAGGGTCTCGCTCTATCACGAAAGCTAGGGTACAGTGGCTTGATTACAGCTCACTGCAGCCTTGAACTCCTGGGCTCAAGTGATCCTCCCACCACAGCTTCCCAAGTAGCCGGGACTACAGGTGTGAGCCACATGCCCAGCTACTTTTTTATTTTTAGTAGAAATGGGGTCTTGCTATGTTGCCCAGGCTGGTCGTGAACTCCTGGGCTCAAGGAATCCTCCTGCCTTAGCCTATTAAAATGCTGGGATTACAGGTGTGAGCCACCACGCCCAGCCAAGGGTAGTTTTTGATTAATCAGTTTATGTAAGGACTGCAGCCAAGTCCTGAACCTACAGGCTGCCACCCAATAACCTGAGTGACAGTGAGCGACTGGGCTTACTGCCTTCCTTCTTTTTATTATTCTTAGAAGATCCTAAGTCTTACAAGAACCATTCTCGCCTACATTTCCACTCAGATAACTTCAACAGCCCAAGTCAAGGAGAAATGAAATGTTGCAAGTAGTTCTATCCTTGGATAACAGTAATCCAATGCACTTTTCAACTCCTCCCCCATTTTCTGCCCATAAGACATCCCATTCATCTTTTTGAGGTCCATCTCAGATACCTTTTCCACAAAACCTCCCAATCCGCTCTTTCTCCACTAAAATTAATGCTTCCACATGTGCACAGCCTACTAATAATACTTATTTCACAGTGGTTCTATTCATTGTGGATATTTGGTGAAATGAAAAAAGCCTGGTGCAATAGAAAAATGTGGGTTTTGAAACCAGGTAAACTTGGATTCAAACTCTGACTCCATGATACAAGTAGAGCACTATGAACAAGATGATCACATAAAGCACTGAGCAGTCTGTTAATATGAATGCCTTTCGCCTACCTTCTCCACCTTGCCCTCTAAGGGCACAATCATTTTGTCACTTTGTTTGACTTCTGCCACATCCATCAGTAGCATCATCATCATATTAGTAGGTGACATTTACTTCTTATGTCCCTGCACTGTTAAAAGCATATTGTATTACACAGATTAACTCATTTAATCCTCACAAAAACCCTAAAGTAGGTATTATCCTTATTTTACAGATAAGGAAACTGGGCAAAGAAAGATTAAGTAATTTACCCAAAGTTACCCAGCTAGTAAGCAGTAGAGCCAGGAGCTGAACCCAGTATATCTGGCACCATCATAACTCTTTTCTAAGTGTGGCTTTTGTCAGTGAAGATGTTTGCCTTCTTAAAGAATATATTCCACACTCAGGCAAAAATCTGACTGAAGCACAGTTAGTTATCCCCAAAATTTCACTTTCCATTAAAAGGAAAATAGGCTTTTCTCAAAAAAGTCACGATTATCTTATGGAAAACACGCCCACATTTCCTGTCACTACATCAACAGAATAATATGTAATTTAAAATTTTAGATAGAGTTTTCCTTCTGAAGTAAAAACAGTTCTATTTAATCAAGCTTTTCCTAATCTGACACTGGAGACCATACTAGACATATAGGATACTACTAAACAATTAAGTGCTTTTTTTTTTTTTTTTTTTTTTTTTTTCAATTTAAGATCTCACATTACCTTTCACAGACACCTGAAATCCAACAGCAATACTGCGGGGCCTAATCTACTTACCACGTAAATTAAAACTCCAAGATAATTTCAGATATCATTTCTCATAAAGCTGGGTTTTTTTGTACTAATAGTTATGGTCCGAGCCATGGGTCCTCGTTACTGTACATTAACTAATTTCATCTGAATTTTATGAGGGGTTGATTTTATAATAATTGATGCAAAAGATTTCAAAAGGTTATATCCCCAGAGAAGACTTACACCACAGAGCAAGCATAGCATCCTTTCTTGCTACTCTCACGAATTAAGAATGCACCATCAGGTTTCCCATAAAGCAAGTCCTCTGCTTGTACTCGATTGATATCCTCAACAAACCAGGTTTTCTCATCATAATGGGGCAGGTTTTCATCTTCCTCATTGATAAAATAGTTCCTAAAAATTAAATATTAGTATATTATTCTAACAAGTTACTTCTATCTAAAAGCAAATTCATAAATAAAACACTCTTCTAAATCTTTAAACCACAAATAACAAAGCAAAATTGCAATTATTTGGGTGTTAACTTCATTACTTGCTATGGTGCATAAAGCAAAGAATTCATGTTTCATCCAATAAGCTGAAATATGAACATCTGAATAAAAGTGCTTTTACATCCAGATTTTGGGTAGCTATACTCAAAGTAGCTTACACATCCAGATTTTGAGTTCAGAAGCAGGTCTCTGAACTCCAGTGCCTATAGGGTACCTTCAGGCAATTCAATTCAAAAGATAGTCAAAGTTCTAGATTCAATGTCCTCAAGTGACAATGACAACCAATATTTACCACGTATAAACAAGGCGCATGTCTTATATTGATAACAAAGCCCTCTGACAGAAAGGTATAGAGAGAACTTACTCATCAGCATCCTCATTCTTAATTCCCAGCCAGACATTCAGGCGTTTCTGTCTCACTCCTTTGTGATTGAGCCATCTGCCAGAGGAAAGACACCAGTGTCAGTATCCATGCAAACTCTGACTGGACAAAGTAGGTATGTCTGAGCCAACTAAACTTCTAGAGTCTAGACACCTCTTGTTTTTCCTAATCCCACAGAATGGGCAAAGATTTCCCAAAATTAGTCTCTCGATTACTTTTCTTTCAACTACTATCAAGATGAACTGATCTTTTCCAGAAAAAGGCAGAAACATAGAGGGCTACTTGAAATTAGGCCCTTCACTTTTCATTTTTCTTTTCTGGAGGATGTGCCACCACAAGCACACACATACTCGCACTCACAGTGGGACATTTGTTTCTGAAAACATTAGGTTAGCATGGTGTCACATTTGCAATCTCCACTAAGCCTGAGGACACACTTCCTGTGTGACCTACTGAATTGAGTTTAATATTTTAACTAAAAACTTCAAGATCTATTTTTGCATTTAAGCAGGCCACAAGAAATTCAGGGTGGCAATCTGAGTAATTAATATGAGTGAACTTCATTACCAAGAAAATCATAGTATCCAAGCCGGGCGCGGTGGCTCATGCCTGTAATCCCAGCACTTTGGGAGGCCAAGGCAGGTGGATCACCTGCGGTCAGCAGTTTGAGACCAGCCTGGCCAACATAGTGAAACCCCGTTTCTACTAAAAATACAAAAATTAGCCAAGTGTGGTAGTGCATGCCTGTAATCCCAGCTACTAGGGAGGCTGAGGCAGGAGAATTGCTTGAAACCAGGGGGTGGAGGCTGTAGTGAGCTGAGATTGTACCACTGCCCTCCAGTGTGGGCGACAGAACGAGACTCCATCTCAAAAAAAAAAAAAAGAAAGAAAGAAAGAAAAGAAAAAATCATAGTATCTTAAAATGTGCTAGTATTTTAAATGTAAAATGAGGTAAACCAGCACACTTTGTTCCTTTCAGATGGCCAATAGTCTAAAACTAGAGTGGAGTGGAAAGCATCTTCGTTCATCATTACCCACCAAGCAAGGCTCCTATCATTCAGGTTTCATCATCAACACCATCCCCTCAGGGAGGACTATCCTAACTGTCCCAACTAAGGCAGTCCCCAGTCACTCTCTACACTTTACCTTGTTTTATCATCTTCATAGCACTTAGCTAAAATCCATTATTTTATATTTTTGTTTGTTTGGTTGGTTGGTTGGGGTTTTTTTGAGACGGACTCTCACTCTGTCACCTAGGCTGGAATGCAATGGCACAATCTCGGCTCACTGCAACCTCCATCTCCAGGGTTCAAGCAATTCTCTCACCTCTGCCTCCAGGGTAGCTGGGACTACAGTCACGCGCCACCATGCCCAGCTAATTTTCGTATTTTTAGTACAGACAGGGTTTCACCATGTTGGTCAGGCTGGTCTTGAACTCCTGGCCTCAGGTGATCCGCCCATCTTGGCCTCCCAAAGTGCTGGGATTACAGGCATGAGCCACCGTGCCAGGCCTATTTTATATTTGTATTTGTTTATGTCTGTCTCCCCAATAAAATGTAAGCTGCTGTAATGAAAGTGGTCTGTCCTGTTCATGGCTATGTTGCCAATTATTAAAACAGCACATGCACATAGACATTCAATTGTCAGTAAATATTTGCTGGTGGGCTGCTTTTAACAAAATCTTCACAACTCCAGGATCATCCTGTATCTCCCCAAGTATACAAGATAACTTGGCATCACACCTAATTTTAAAGTTCTGTTAGACAGATTTCACAGTCTTTCTCAGTAAGAATTGCCCTTTAGTTAACTTGGATTTCATTTTTTATTCTTAGCAAAACTGGAAAATAGATAATATGTGATCTTGATACAACTGATTTAGTAACAAACCCCCTCCCCCACACCATCGCGTCTGTCATCAAAATATCCAGATGCCCTCCTCTAAGCATTCTTATCACCCAAAGTTTTCTATCCTTAAAGAAACTGACCTTCTCTTTATCAAAGAAATATGCACACTGGGTAAAAAAGTGTGAGTTGAATGAATGCACGACATTTTCTCTTGAATCCCCATTTTCTTTTAACCACCAACCTCTTTAAACTGAGCCTCCCTTTCTGCCACACACAATGTTAGGAACTCATTTCCTAACACTTTCCTAATTGAAAAAAAAAAGAAAAAGAAAAATTGCTTTTGCTCCACCCTCCATTTATGATGGTGCCTACCTTCTGACTTAGGCAACTTTTCCAATCTCCTAAAAGTCCATTTCAAAGACTTATCTAGTTCTGAGTCCTTACAAACCTATTAACAATGCCAGGAGTTGATTAGATTTTAAAAACCATTTTCAAAAACCTCAAATAGCTTTAGTAAATACGTTAATTCACATTTAATGTTATCGAATCATGCACTGATCACAAATAGATGCAATAAATTCTACAGGAAAAATCTGAGGCAAAACATTCAAAGACCTAACATCCAGCTCTGATTCTGTTGGTGTGGTAATTGGGTTGTAAAACCAATTAGATTTTTAGAAAAGATACTATATATACATATTTTTTGGCATGGTCTTGGACCCATCTCTCTTTGGCCCAGCAATCTCTTCTTAAAAAAAAAAAAAAAGGAAAATACTACTTCCATAGATTAAAAATAGCTGGTGTTAGCATATCTTTTCCTAGCCCTACCCCAGCAAGTAAGGGAAAAAATATGTATTATATAGTGTCCTTTCTAAAGATCTAATTGGTTTTACAGCCCAACTACCACACTTTAAGAAGAGAGTTTGTGTTTCAGTCTAAGACAAAAGGATTAAGCTGGGAAGCCCCTGAGAGAGAAGGACAGGAGAAACGACTTTGAAGCTGACGCCTTCGTCCTGGAAGAAAGCAGAAGCTTAGAGCCTGGCTGAAGTAGAAAACGGGGTGACAGAAAACGGTGCCTCAGGCACAGGGCATCCTGGATGGAGAATGAGGTTTTAAGATGCAGCATCTGTTGGTAGCCAGTGATGAGATTACTGTGAAGGACACCTTGGAATTTTCTAAAATAGCCAGATGGCAAGACCCAATGATTAGGCAGAGGAGCACCCAATGACAGCAGTCAAGAGGGAGGCACAAAGGACTTTGTGCTCCTCTAATTTTCTGGCACTACTTCAGGATGACATTCTTACATGATCCAAGTGTCAGTCTGTGTAGGAGGTATGAATGATAACAGAGATCAAATATTTTTAATGTAACCAGGCCAGTGGGAGCTTGGAATAAATTTAATTAAAAAAAAAAATGAGGAATGGAGCTGGACGCAGTGGTTCATGCCTGTAATCCCAGCACTTTGGGAGGCCAAGGCAGGAGGATCACCTGAGATCAGGAGTTCGAGACCAGGCTGGCTAACATGGTGAAACCCCGTTCCTACTAAAAATACAAAAAATTAGCCAGGCATGGTGGCGCACGCCTGTAATCCCAGCTACTTGGGAGGCTGATGCAGGAGAAGTGCTTGAACCTGGGAGGCAGAGGTTGCAGTGAGCCGAGATCGTGCCATTGCACTCCAGCTTGGGCAACAAGAGTGAAACTCTGTCTCAAAAAAAAAAAAAAAAAAATGAGGAATGAAACTTGTCTTCCACCAAATTTTATGGACAGACATATTCTCTACATAAAAACAAAGTGGGATAACATATACAATACTTTAAAAAGAAAAATCACTTATAAAAATTTAGTTATCAGAAATATATTAAAGAATGAAGCCAGGTGCGGTGGCTCATGCCTGTAATCCCAGCACTTTGGGAGGCTGAGGGAGGTGGATCACCTGAGGTCAGGAGTTCGAGACCAGCCTGGCCAACATGGTGAAACCCCATCTCTACTAAAAATACAAAAATTAGCTGGAGGTGGTGGTATGCGCCTATAATCCCAGCTACTCAGGAGGCTGAGGCAAGAGAATTGCTTGAACCCAGGAGGCAGAGGTTGCAGTGAGCCAAGATTGCACCATTGCACTCCAGCTTGGGCAACAAGAGCGAAAATCTGTCTCAAAAAAAGAAAAGAAATGTATTAAAGAATGATTCATTACTTTAAGAAACCCCAATTATCACTACTGGTGTGAATGTAAAATAGTGCAACCACTACACAATGATAATTACCATATGATCCAGGAATTTCACTCCTCAGCATATACCCATGAAAAATGAAAATACACATCCATCCAAAAACCTGTACATAAATGTTCACAGCAGCATTACTGAAATAGCCAAAAAGACAGAAACAACCCAAATGTCCACCAACTGATGATGATTAAACAAAATGTGGTATAACTATACAACAGACTATTATTTGGCCATAAAAAGGAATGAAATACTGACATACGCAGACAAACTTTGAAAACACCATGCTAAGTGAAAGAAGCCAGTCACAAAAGAGTACATTTTACATTATTTTCATTCATATGAAATGTCCAGAATAGACAAATCCATAGACACAGAAAGTGGATTAGCGGTTGTTTAGGGCTAAATGAAAGAGGTGATAGGGATGTTAAGTAAACAGTGCAGGGTTTTTTTTAAGGTGATGAAAATGTTCTAAAATATGTGGTGATGACAAAATACCTGTGAACATACTAAAAACATTGAATAATACACTTTAAATGGGTGAACTGTATGCGATGTAAACTGTATCTCAATAAAGTTGTAAAAGCAAAAAATAAAACCAGAACACAGCACCCTCCACAGAACTTTTTTTTCTTTTTTTTTTAATACAGAGTCTCATTCTGTTGCCCAGGCTAGAGTGCAGTGGGGCGATCTCAGCTCACTGCAACCTCCACCTCCCGGGTTCAAGCAATTCTCCTGCCTCAGGCTTCCCACTAGCTGGGATTACAGGCATGCGCCACCATGCCTGACTAATTTTTGTATTTTTAATAGAGACAGGGTTTCACCATGTTGGCCAGGCTGGTCTCGAACTCCTGACCTCAGGTGATCCACCTGCCTCAGCCTCCCAAAGTGCTGGGATTACAGGTGTGAGCCACTGCACCCGGCCACATAGAACTAACTCCTTTATCTGCAAACTCCCCTATATATATATTACTCAAAACTCATCAATTCCCTAAGCAGAATATGCATCAAAAAACCCATCATCATTATGTACCTATATTGTTATGGCCGTTATTATTTTAAATTTATGAATTTTGGTTTATGAATACTGTAGCCCCTGCTTATCCATGGGGAATAGTTCCAAGACAACCAAATAGATGCCTGAAAGCAGACAGTACTAAACCCTATATATACTGTTTTTTCCTACACATACATACCTGTGATCATTTAATTTATAAATTAAGCATAGTAAGGGATTAACAAAAACAAATAATACACTTTGGGAGGCCGAGGCAGGCGGATCACAAGGTCAGGAGATTGAGACCATCCTGGCTAACACAGTGAAACCCCATCTCTACTAAAAAAATAAAAAAATTAGCTGGGCATGGTGGCAGGCGCCTGTAGTCCCAGCTACTCGGGAGGCTGAGGCAGGAGAATGGCGTGAACCCGGGAGGCGGAGCTTGCAGTGAGCTGAGATCGCGCCACTGCACTCCAGCCTGAGTGACAGAGTGAGACTCCATCTCAAAAAAAAAATTAAATAAAATAAATAACTAAGAATAAAATAGAACAATTATAACAATATGCTGGAATAAAAGTTATGTGAATGTGGTCTCTCAAAATGTCTTATTGTGCTGTATTCACCTATCTAGACTGTGGCTGACTGGGGATACCAGAAAACACGGAAAGCAAAACCGCAGTAAGCAAAACCATGGACCAAGGGGGACTACAATACCAAAAAAGGTAAATGGTAATCATGAAAGCTAGCCTTAACTCATGAGGAAAAAGAATTGCATATTAACAACAAAATTCCTTTTTTTGAAAAGGAATTTTTTAAAAAATTGATACCTAAGAAATTTTTAATGTATTTATTGAGTTATAATACACATAAAGCACATTAATCTTAAGTGTACTGATAAATTTCTACCTATGTATAAACCCATGGAACCCCACTCATATCAAGATTCGAACATTTCTAGAACCCTTAAAGGCTCCTCATCCCATTTTCCCATCAAAACCCCCACCATAAATAATCACTATTTTTAATTCTATCATCATAGATAGGTTTTACCTATTCTTGAGCTTCCAGTAAATGGAATAATATCCTAGAATTTTTTTTCTATATTTAAGCAATGAAATTCTGTATTTAAACACTCAAGAATATCCTACTAGTAGTACACCAAGCTCTCAGCAGACAATCACATAGAATCCTTGTGGGCTATGGAGTGGCCAGTCAAGGAAATGACCACATCCAAAGAGGGCTTAAAGAACTAATGACAGTCTTTAGGTAGGTATCACAGAATTCCACCCTATTCCTTTAAAACAAGACCAGAGAGAGATCATACTCAGTATCATGCAGCAATGCTAATATGAGACACGTATTTTACTACCAGTCTTCTTCAGGACCGACTATACAAATTCCAGCATTAGAATAGATCAAATCCACCAAGCCCAGAGACAATTCTCTGTTAGAAACATCAAAGCATGGACCATGGGACACTGAACTATTCTCCTGGAAGCAGCCCTTCCAAAAGAGGTAATGGCTGTCTGTGTCTCCCTACACTTCTGAGTTGTCCTTACTTGTAGGTTATGAATTTGTCATCCATGATGTTATCTAAACTCTTATATTTGTTGTTGTTGTTGTGGTGTCACTGTTTTGTTTTCTGTGGTTTTTTTTGGTGTGTATGGTTTTTGTTGTCTTTTTTTGCTGTTGTTTTCTTTCTGTCTTCTGTATTTAGTTTATACAACCCATTAAAGAAACTTCCAAGGTCTGGTTTGCCACATGCTATATAGTCTGAATGTTAGTATCTTCCCAAAATTCATAGGTTGAAAATCTAACACTCAAGGTGACGGTATTAGGAGGTGAGGACTTTGGGAGGTGATTAGGTCATAAAGGCAGAGCCCTCATGAATGGAATTAGTGCCCTTATAAAAGAGGCCTGATAGAGACCCCCTAGCTCCTTCTACCAGGACATAGGTAGAAGGTGCCATCTATGAACCAGAAAGCAGATCCTCACCCCTCACCAGACACCAAATCTGCCAGTGCCTTGAGTTCGGACTTCCTAGCCTCTAGAACTGTGAGAAATTTCTGGTATTTACAAACTACCCAATTTATGATTTTTTTTATAGCAGCCTAAACAGACTAAGACACCACACTTATTCACGCCCCTTGGGATGGTATATTCCTTGTATTTCTTATTGCTTTTCAGGGCAAAGAAGGACTTCCATTCATTGTTTTGGTGTATAGCATAGCCTTTTTGAGCCTTTCTTCAGCTTCATGATGTGACCAGAACCACGTGAGCATTCCAAGAGCAGACACACCCCATTTACAGATAAGAGCACCCTCCTTGCCTTGTTTACAAAGCTCTTCAGTATGCTATATACACTTGGCTTGACTTTTGGCCACAATAGCAAACTAAAATGATCTCTTGAGAGAGCTGGTATTAAAAACTACTCAGCATGGTGTAGTTGTAATTGTTTACCCCAAGAAATATCACCTTAGGCTGGGTACAGTAGCTCATGCCTATAATCCCAGTACTTTAGGAGGCCAAGGTGGGTACATCACCTAAGGTCTGGAGCTTAAGACCAGCTTGGTCAACATGGTGAAACCCCATCTCTACTAAAAATACAAAAATTAGCTGGGCATGGTGGTGCATGCCTGTATTCCCAGCTACTCGGAAGGCTGATGTAGGATAATCACTTGAACCCAGGAGGTGGAGGTTGCAGTGGGAGCTGAGATTGTGCCATTGCACTCCAGCCTGGGTGACACAGTGAGACTCCGCCTCACAAAAAAAAAAAAAAAAAAAAAAAATCACCTTAAATCTTCCTCTACTGAAACTCTTCTGCCACAGTTCCAATCTCTAGGTGTATATTTCATCCTCTCCCTCTTTCTCACACAAAGAACCCTGAAGTCTATGGAAAACCCAGATTCAGAGGTCTCTGCTCTGTCTTCTCCTGCCAGTAGTTTGAATTGAGTGGTGTTACATGCATCAAGGTCACCCATAGATGCATTTCAAAACAGTCTATTCGTTACCCAGAACTAAGCCCAATATCCAGGATCTTCCTTTCTCATGCATTCTGTCCTATGAAGCAGTTATTTATGTTTCTAAAAATATAATTCACACATTTTATTCTGATACTATCTTTCCATTTATATTTGTATATTATCTCTATTATGCCTATATTTGGCTAAATTATATAGTTTTCCCTCATACTAAAGAATTAGGTTTCACTACTCAAATTACCTCAAGTGCCTTCTATAGATACATTTCTGTTATTTAAATAAAGAATGTCATTTTGTTTTTGTTGTTGTTTTTGAGACTCACTCTGTTGCCCAGGCTGGAGTGCAGTGGCACGATCTCGGCTCACTGCAACCTCTGCCTCCCAGGTTCAAGCGATTCTCCTACCTCAGCCTCCCAAGTAGCTGGGATTACAGGCGCCCACCACTATGCCCAGCTAATTTTTTGTATTTTTAGTACAGACAGGGTTTCACCATCTTTTTTTTTTTTTTTTTCCCAGATGGAGTCTCACTCTGTCACCCAGGCATGGAGTGCAGTGGCGTGATCTCGGCTCACTGCAACCTCCGCCTCCAGGGTTCAAGTGATTCTCCTGCCTCAGCCTCCTGAGTAGCTGGGATTACAAGAATGTGCCACCACGCCCAGCTAATTTTGTATTTTTAGTAGAAACGGAGTTTCACTATGTTGGCCAGGCTGGTGTCTCGAACTCCGGACCTCAGATGATCTGCCTACCTCGGCCTCCCAAAGTGCTGGGGTTACAGGCGTAAGCCACAGTGCCCAGCCTAGAACCTACTTCCCCTCAGAGGAAATAGAAATTCCCCACTCAGTTCTAGTATGTAAACAAAGATTCTGATTTTTATGTTTTAGGCAAACATTAATCTGTTCTTGTTAAGATATAGCATTTTACTCATGCCACAGCCAGCCTCTGAGATTTCCAAGGCATTTGTATGGATCAAGAGTCCTACATTCTGGTTTGCTCCACATATTAACTTCAGATTAACTCTGGTACCCCCTACAACTACCAAGGACACTTTCCTAAATTCTTACCATCTTACTGGCCAATTCTCAATTACAAATCTCTAATCTCTTCTTCCACCTCTAGTGTCTCTAGTGCTGGTAGTAACCTGGCACTAACGTCTCCCTCCCCATACACTCCCAGACTACTTACACAAGGTGTTGATCTCGGATCTTTCGCAGCTGGATCAGGTCAGGTTTGATGCTATTCATTTTTTTATCTATTTCTCGGTTGTCCAAAGCTTGATTCTTCAAATCCTGCTCTAGACGCATTTTGCTATCATGAATCTCACCCAGACGTGATTTCAATTTATCATAATTCATCATAATTCTGTAAAAATATTTGACATGTTAAGGCTAAAATAGAAATCAAGCAGACAGATCCTACTGGGTGAGCACGGTCCTAATATCCTTTTTTTTTTTCCCTTGAGATTGAGTCTCGCTCTGTCACCCAGGCTGGAGTGTAGTGGCATGATCTCGGCTCACTGCAACCTCCGCCTCCCGGGTTCAAGCAATTCTCCTGCCTCAGCCTCCCCAGTAGCTGGGATTACAGGCGCATGCCACCACACCCGGCTAATTTTTGTATTTTTAGTAGAGATGGGGTTTTGCCATGTTGACCAGGCTGGTCTCAAACTTCTAACCTCAGGTGATCTGCCTGCCTCAGTCTCCCAAAGTACTGGGATTACAGGCGTGAGCCATTGCACCCAGTGAGGTCCTAATATCTTAAGCGTGGTGAACATTTGTTTTTGCCTGGCCCATATCCATTCCCATTTCTGGTATTAGCACCCTGATGTTCCCTGGAGGTAAGGATTCATTCCCCCGTCTCAGATCCAGGGATGGAAACACACATGGCCCAGACTGGCCAATAAGAATATTCCACTCTATCCCATCCCTACCCTCAGGCCACAGTGACGGTTCAGGAATAGGAATAAAACTCAAACTGACCCAATGAGAGTCAATTCTAGAACATTTGCTAGAACTGTATTGTTAAAATAAATTCTCTCTTTCCACACAAATTGCTAAATTATGAATATGCAGTTCTCATCCCAGCAGCTATACTGTCACTTCACCGGCAATGCCTGCCTGAGGATAAAATCAACCCAGAGAAAAACTGAGCCAAAATACAACATGAGAGAGAATCCCAATAACCTTGTTTGGGCCCTGAATCCAGCAATGACTGAACAAGTAAAGCTATACATTTGATATTCCAGAGGTAGCATAACACAACAGTTAAGAACAATGGTTTTGCAATTAGCCTACCTACATCTGAATCTCTGCTGTCACTTGCTGTGGGGCCATGGGCAAGTTATTTAACTTCTCAGTGCCTTCATTTCCTCATCTGTTTAAAATGGTGATATGGTTTGGCTGTGCCCTCACCCAAATCTCATCTTGAATTGTACTCCCATAATTCCCACATGTTGTAGGAAGGACCCGGGAATAGATAACTGAATCATGGGGGCGGTTCCCCCATACTGTTCTCGTGGTAGTGAATAGGTCTCACAAGATCTGATGGTTTTATCAGGGGTTTCTGCTTTTGCATCTTCCTCATTCTCTCTTTGCCTGCTGCCATCCATGTAAGACGGGACTTGCTCCTCTCCTTGCCTTCCACCATGATTGTGAGGCTTCCCAAGCCACGTGGAACTGTAAGCCTAATTAAGCCTCTTCCTTTTGTAAATTGCCCTGTCTTGGGTATTTCCTTATCAGCAGCATGAAAACGGACTAATTTAGTAAATTAGTACTAGTAGAATGGGGCACTGCTGAAAAGATACCCGAAAATGGGGAAGTGACCTTAAAACTGGGTAACAGGCAGAGGTTGGAACAGTTTGGAGGGCTCAGAAGAAGACAGGAAAATGTGGGAAAGTTTGGAACTTCCTAGTGTTGAATGGCTTTGCCCAAAATGCTGATAGTCATATGGACAATAAGGTCCAGGCTGAGGTGGTCTCAGATGGAGATGAGGAACTTGTTGTGAACTGGAGCAAAGGTGACTCTTGTTACGTTTTAGCAAAGAGATTGATAGCATTTTGCCCCTGCCCTAGAGATTTGTGGAACTTTGAACTTGAGGGAGATGATTTAGGATATCTGGCGGAAGAAATTTCTAAGCAGCAAAGCATTCAAGAGGTGACGTGGGTGCTCTTAAAAGCATTCAGTTTTAAAAGAGAAACAGCATAAAAGTTTGAAAAATTTGCAGCCTGACAATGCAATAGAAAATAAAATTCCATTTTCTGAGGAGAAATTCAAGCCGGCTGCAGAAATTTGCATAAGTAACAAAAAGCCAAAAGTTAATCCCCAAGACAATGGGGGAAATGTCTTCAGGGCATGTCAGAGGTCTTCAAGGCAGCCCCTCCCATCAAGCCCTGGAGGCCTAGAGGAAAAAGGAGTTTCGTGAGCTGGGCCCAGGGTCCCTGAGCTGTGTGCAGCCTAGAGACTTGGTGCCCTGCGTCCTAGCCACTCCAGCCATGGCTGAAAGGGGCCAACATAGGGCTCAGGCCATGGATTCAGATGGTACAAGCCCCAAGTCTTGGCAGCTTCCATGTGGCATTGAGCCTGCAGGTGCACAGAAGTCAAGAATTGGGAACCTCCACCTAGATTTCAGACGTATGGAAACACCTGGATGCCCAGGCAGAAGTTTGCTGCAGGGGCGGGGCTCTCATGGAGAACCTCTGCTGGGGCAGTGTGGAAGGGAAATGCGGGGTCGAAGCCGCCACACAGAGTTCCTACTGGGGCACCGCCTAGTGGCACTGTGAGAAGAAGGCCACTGTCCTCCAGACCCCAGAATTGTAGATTCATTGACAGCTTACACCGTGTGCCTGGAAAAGCCGCAGACACTCAAGGCCACCCTGTGAAAGCAGCCAGGAGGGAGGCTGTACCCTGCAAAGCCACAGGGGCGGAGCTGCCCCAGACCATGGGAACCCATCTCTTGCGTCAGCATGTCCTGGATGTGAGACATGGAGTCAAAGGAGACCATTTTGGAGCTTTAAGATTTGACTGTCCTGCTGGATTTCAGACTTGCATGGACCCTGTAGCCCCTTTGTTCTGGCCAATTTCTTCCATTTGGAACAGGTGTATTTACCCAATGTCTGTACCCCCACTGTATCTAGGAAATAACTAGCTTGCTTTTGATTTTACAGGCTTATAGGCAGAAGAGACTTGCCTTGTCTCAGATGAGACTTTGGACTGTGGACTTTTGAGTTAATGCTGAAATGAGTTAAGACTTTGGGGGACTGTTGGGAATGCATGATTGGTTCTGAAATGTAAAGATAAAGGATTTGGGAGGGGCCAGGGGCAGAATAATATGGTTTGGCTGTGTCCCCACCCGAATCTCCTCTTGAATTGTACTCCCATAATTCCCACATGCTGTGGGAGGGACCAAGGTGAAACAACTGAATCATGGAGGCGGTTTCCCCACTACTGTTCTCATTGTAGTGAGTAAGTTTCACGAGATCTGATGGTTTTATCAGGGATTTCTGCTTTTGCATCTTCCTCATTCTCTCTTTGCCTGCTGCCATCCATGTAAGACGTGATTTGCTCTTCCTTCCCTTCCACCATGATTGTGAGGCTTCCCTAGTCACGTGGAACTGTAAGTCCAATTAAATCTCTTCTTTCTGTAAACTACCCCAGTCTCAGGTATGTCTTTATCAGCAGCATGAAAATGGACTAATACAAATGGGTACCTACAACAGTACTTACTTCACTGGGTTTTTCTGTTAATTAAATGTGACAATACATGTAAAGGACAAAAACATTCCCTGACATTATCTTGGTAAGCACGCAACAGATGACAGCTATAAGCTTTTCCAACACACAACGTTTTGCTATACTCTGAACCCTTATGGTAATGACTGTCTACATTATTCCCTTGTCACTCAATATGTGGCTTTATATTACTATTAAAACTTCATATGCTGGACACACACCTGTAATCCCAGCACTTTGGGAAGCTGAGCGGGGAGGATTGCTTGAGTCCAGGAGTTCAGGACCCCATCTCTACAAAAAGATTTTTAAAAATTAGCCAATGCAGTGGCACTTGCCTGTAGTCCTAGCAACTCGGGAGGCTGAGGCAAGTGGATCCCGTGAGCCCAGGAGGTTGAGGCTGCAGTGAGCCATGATCATGCCACTTCATTCCAGCCTGGGCAACAGAGCAAAACCCTACCTCAAAAAATAAAAAAAATTAAAAATAGGCTGGGCGCGGTGGCTCATGCCTGTAATCCCAGCACTTTGGGAGGCCAAGGCGGGCAGATCACCTGGGGTCAGGAGCTCAGGACCAGCCTGGCCAACTTGATGAAACCCTATCTCTACTAAAAATACAAAAATCAGCCGGGTGTGGTGGCATGCACCTATAATCCCAGCTACTTGGGAGGCTGAGGCAGGATAATCACTTGAACCCAGGAGGCGGAGGGTGCAGTGAGCCGAAATCGCACCACTGCACTCCAGCGTGGGCGACAGAGCGAGACTCCGTCTCAAAAATAAATAAATAAAACAAAACGTTATCATGCTACTTTACTTCCCTCTGCAACAAAACTACAAATCCTTTTCTGTTTCTTCATCGTTAATAATAATTATAATTAGGCCAGGCGCAGTAGCTCAAGCCTGTAATCCCAGCACTTTGGGAGGCCAAGGCAGGTGGATCACCTGAGGTCAGCAGTTCAAGGCCAGCCTGGCCAATTTGGCAAAACCCCATCTCTACTAAAAAGTACCAAAAATTAGCCGGGCATGGTGGGGGGTGCCTGTAATCCCAGCGACTCAGGAGGCTGAGATACAAGAATCGCTTGAACCCAGGAGACAGAGGTTGCAGTGAGCCAAGATGGCACCACTGCACTCCAGCCTGGGCAACAGAGACTCCGTCTCAAATAAATAAATAAATAAATAATTATCATTTACTGAAAGCACATCATGTGCCAGGATATATATTACTTAATTCTCTAGCATTCCAACAAGATATTATTCAGTTTATGGAAGAGAAAACAGACTGAGAAAAGTTAAGTAATTCACCCAAGTTTATACAGCTAATAAATGGCTAATTCAGAATTCAAGCCCATAGTTTTAACCATTTAAGCTACACTGCCTCACAGCACTTAGCTCTAAACTCATGCCATTAAGCTACACTGTCTCACAGCACTTTAACCATTAAGCTACACTGCCTCACAGTGCTTAGCTCTAAACTCATGCACACAGAAATACACTAATACTGTGGTCCTAATATGAGAAATAATTTTGCTTTTCCATTGCATATTAATTACTTGTATTTATTATCCACTTTAGCACTCAACCCACTATAATCTAGCTTAGTCTTCCAATACTCCACTAAATTTGCTTTGATAGGATTTCAATATCCTTTTAGTTATCAAATCCATTACTTCTCCTGCCACATCCTTTCTGTGTAATTTCATTCTTAGCATCTACCATCAACTACACACCTATGCCTCCCAAATCCTTTCTATACCAAGTTCCAAATCCAAATAATCAGCTGCCTGCCCCCTAGTGAGCTCCATTTGTGTTCTCACAGGAACCTCAAACTCACTGGTTCCAACCCTAAACTCTCCTCATGTACTTCTTATTTTGGTGAAAAACACCATCTTCCAGTCTCTCACACCAGAAATCTAGGAATAATCTTTGACTTCTCCCACACCTACCATATCTGGTCAGGCATGAAGTCCTTAGCATTCCCATGACCTCCCGCTTCTTTTCTGCTATTTCTCTAGTCCAGGCCCTCATTATCGTTTAACCTGATGACCACAACTGTTGCAGTCATGTGCAAGTCAGGCTGGTGTTCCTGCCTACAGTCTTGTTCTACTACAATTTATTCTCAGACTGCTGCCAAAGTTGATATTCAATTCAAAAAAATATTCGATGAGCACCCATTATGTACTCCCATACATAAGTAGGTACTAGGGCTACCAGGGAAAATAAGCCACCATGCCTACTCTCAATGAGTTTACAGTTGAGTGGGCGTGGCATTCAGTAAATGTTACACTAGGGATCAGGACCAGGCACTGTAGGGACCCAAAATACAGCCCCTAAATTGGTCTCCGGAATCAGGGAACAGTTTCTAGAAAAGATGATATCTAACCTGAAGTCCTAACGGATAAGCAGGAGTTTATCCGTTTGGGAGAATGAACAAAGAGCAGAGGAGAGAGGAAGTTCAATTTGGTGCCATTAGTGGAAACAGCAAGTGGTTCCAATAGTAGGGCTGTGCAGTTTGAGGGGGTAAAAGAAAACAAGACAGAAATTATTGGGGAAGAAAAGAAATCCTGTCTCACTGATGCCCTTGGAGGTACTAAGTAGACTTACCGTTCAATCTCCTTTTCATTCCCCTCTCTGCGAAATCGCTCAATATATTCTTTGCTATGTTGTTCTTGTGTGTGACACTGCTCTTCAAATATTTTAATTGTTTCATTAAAAGCTTCTATTGCAGTCCTCTTCATCTGTATTTCCTACAGGAGAGAAAAAGAAAAAACACAGGCTTCATTATCTTTATTATTTTCTTCTAACCTTGGTCTTAAACAAATTTTGTAATTCCAGTTATTAATGTAATCCCATATAACACCTAGTCTTTCAAAAGTCTTCTCCTTGTTTAGGAGGACTAAAACAAGAGCTTTTATTCAACCCCTACTCTATTACTTGTATGTAAAATACATCATTTAAACTATAAAATAGGCCAGGCGTGGTGGCTTACACCTGTGATCTCAGCACTTTGGGAGGCCGAGGCAGGCAGATCACTTGAGGTCAGGAGTTCAAGACAGCCTGGCCAACATGGCAAAACCCCGTCTCTACTAAAAATACAAAAATTAGCCAGGCGTGGTGGCGGGCGCCTGTAATCCCAGCTACTCAGGAGGCCGAGGCAGGAGAATTGCTTGAACCCGGAAGGCAGAGGTTGCAGTGAGCTGAAATTGTGCCACTGCACTCCAGCCTGGGCGACAGGGCAAGACTTTGTCTCAAAAAAACAAAAAGGCATCTGAATCACAATTCCCCAAAAATCTTCAGGTTAAATTTTGTTCAGTTTGCTTTTTAGAAAGGCAATAAATATGCATAAGGGTCTAGAAAAACTGCTGTCCTGAATGTTTACAATTCTAGAAGTTTTGATGTTTATGGGATAATTCCTACATTATCTAGCACTTACTAGGCTGGGGTGTTTGGTTTTGGTTTTGGCTTTGGTTTCGGTTTCGGTTTCAGTTTTGGTTGGTGGGTGGGTGGGTGGATTGGTTTTTTTAAAACTGTTGCCTAAGCTGGACTTGAAATCCTGGGCTTAAGGGATCATTCCACCTCAGCTTCCCAACTAGTTGAGACTTTAGGGGGGCACCACACACCTAGCTTAAGCATTTGTCACTTTCGGCAATTGATTACTGAGAATCCACTATACAGAAATTACCATCTGGTGATAGAGATTTGTGAAACGTGAAGTCTGCCCTCCAGGACTCAGAATATACAGGTGGAACAGATTTCTGAACTCTAATAAGGTTTGGTTTCATGTCATGGAAGAGGCAACCAGTTATTTATTAACTAGTTATTTATTGCTTTACAGAGACTTCACAGAGGAGGTGACACTTAAGCTAGGTCTTAAAGAACTGAGATAGAGGAAGAAAATACAGCACTGCACAAAGGAGGCATGGTATAATGTATACATAAAATAACAAGGCATGTTCAAGGATTAGTAATTGCCCAGTAGGGCTAGAACATTAGAGGATTAGCAGATGAGGGAGGCTGGAACCTTGTGATAGTCCATACAGTTAAGATTACATCATATGTATCTTAATACTAAAAAGTAACTAGAATTCCCATATGCCAAATATCTTGGTACTAATTCTACAACTCTTAAATTATAGTGGAGAGCTTTAGCTCCCTTGCCAAGTTAGAAATTACCTATAAAGTTCTGGCCCTGGATCTTCAAAGAAAACACTAATAATTTAGACTTTATTAACACTGGTAGATATATTGGTAAGTAGAACAGCAAAGGGAAAAGTATTTGATATCACTACTAAGTCAGCACCTCCCCCATCAACAATGCCACTATACCACTACACCTGCCACCAAAACTATAAACCTACCTGTTCACCTCCTCTCTTCCTTCCCCTCCCTTTATTTACATGTGCTCTGGGTCTCAGCTCCCCTTCCTTTCTGGGTACTTCACTCTATCGTATCAGCTAACCCCTTTTACATCATTAACTCTCCCAGTCTAATGGTTCCTTCTTAGCAGCATATAAACAAGCTCTGGTAACAACACTTTGAAAAAAAAGCATTCTTATTCCAAAACTCTCTTCAAATCACAGATAAGCTTCTTAAAGAGTTGTTTATGGCTGGGCACCGGTGGCTTACGCCTGTAATCCCAACACTTTGGGAGGCTGAGTCGGGTCGATCACTTCAAGTCAGGGGTTCAAGACCAGCCTGACCAACATGGCGAAATCCCATCTCTACTAAAAATACAAAAATTAGCCAGATATGGTGGTGGATGCCTGTAATCCCAGCTACTCAGGAGGCTGAGGCAAGAGAATCACTTGAATCTGGGAGATGGAGGTCACAGTGAGCCGAGATCGTGCCACTACACTCCAGCCTGGGCAATAGAGTGAGACTCTGTCTCAAAAAAATAAGTAAGTAAAATAAAAAATAAAAATAAAAAAAGAGCTGGCCAGGCACGGTGGCTCACGCCTGTAATCCCAGCACTTTGGGAGGCCGAGATGGGCGGATCACCTGAGGTCAGGAGTTTGATACCAGCCTGGCCAACATGATGAACCCCTGTCTCTACTAAAAATACAACAATTTGCCGGGCATGGTGGTGCACGCCTGTAATCCCAGCTATTCGGGAGGCTGAGGCAGGAGAATTGCTTGAACCCGGGAGGCGGAGGTTGCAGTGAGCTGAGATGGTGCCACTTCACTCCAGCCTGGGCGACAGAGCAAGATTCTGTCTCATAAAAATATCAATAATAAAATAAAATTTAGGTCAATAAATGTCAAAAGAATATAACTTTAATGAATATATTTACTAACAACAAAACTAATTTAAATTAGAAATAAATATTTGAAAGTCCCAAATATTTAGAAATTAAAAACACAAGGGGCAAAAGAAGAAATCACAAAAAATAGAAAATATTAAAAACTGAATAATAAGGAAAACAGTATGATAAAATTTGTGAGATGCATATACACAGTGCTTAAAGGAAAATGTATTGCTTTAAATGCTTATTTTAGAAAAGAGAAAGTTTTTAAACCAATGAACAAAATTTCCACCTTAAGAAGCTAGGAAAAGAGAAAATTAAACTGAAAGCAAGCAGAAAAAAATTAGAAAGAGCAGAAATTCATGAAACAGAAAGTAAACACTAAAAAAATCCATTATTGTTATCTACTAGAAAGAGCCCAAGGTAAGTTATTGTTGCACTAAGAATTCACTAGGAATTAAGTCGAATCAACATAGACTAATGCTTCTATAAATCATTTGATATTCAAAATAATAACCTGTGTTCCAAGACAATGTACATGAGAAATACAGTTAAATACATTTTCCTAAGCCACTTCTACCCAAATATTATAAAAGGTAAACTTCTCTGAAGATATTCACCTTCATCAAAATTCCAAACACTTTTGACAAACTATGTAACAACTTAGGGCAAATTAAACCAATCCAAGTCTAGCTAAAAAACAATCTAAAAAGTAGTCAGGCCTAAGAAGTCCTAGGAAAGAAACTAGATTATTCAACAGAATTTTGCTCTATATCATAAATATGAAAAGTATTACTGGCTATTAAAGTTAATGATCTAAAAACTGTGTAGCTAACTAAGTCTACTAGTAAGCCCACAATTTCCATCCATCAGCTCCTTCTTCCTCAGTAAATCCCCACATTAGCTGAACACACCTGACCAAATAAAAACTAGATTTCTCAGCCTCCCCTACAGCTAGCTGTGACCTGTAGCTAGGTATGCCCATGTGACTTAGTTCTAGCCAGTGGGATAAAAGTGAAAGCAGAGTGTGCTCCTTCTAGGAAGTTGTCTTAAAGATAGAGAACCTTCCTTTCTCCTTCCTATTCTTACTTCCTGTTTACTAGAATATGGTTGTGATGGCTGATATTAGAGTAAGCCCTCTTCCACAGATAGCAAAGCATCAAGACAGAAAATGTCTATAAGTTCTGAGGATGGTGGAGTTACCCTAACACCCCTGTAGTGCCTATATACACATGAAAGAAAACTAAATTTCTATCTGAAGCCTTTGGTTTTATTTTGTCACTTGTGACCAGTTAATATTAACTGATACAAATTATATCCTTAACCAATTAAGAAGGGAGGGGAATTTATATCATTAAAGTTTCAAAAAGGCTGTTTAAGCCTTTAAGACATTAAAACAGCTAAAGATCATCAAGTGAATGATCGAAAATTTGATGTAACTAAAACATTGCACACATATTAGTCAAAAACAACATAATATACCAACCTGGGATGTTCTAGTATATTCTTCATACAGCCTATCATACTCTTTACTCTTCTCCTGATACTGAGAGTGGTATTCTTGCAGTTTTTTACCTACTGCATCAATATTATCTTCTTTTACCAACTGATCCTATACAGGTAAAGAAAAAAATAAAGAATGTTAACAATTCTGACATATGTGGAAATAGATTTTCCACATCTATTTTTTAAAGGAAAATATCACCTCAACCATCTATTAAACTATATTTCAACTGTACAACTTTAAGCCACTGTATTAATATCAAGCACACAAATGTACCAAATCCTTTGATAATATTAAGATCAGCCTTTAAGTCACATCAAAATGATTAATACTTTAAAAATTAAGAAATGAAGTGGGAGACATAAACATAAGTATTTTTATATAAAGGTAACAAGTACATGCAATAAGATATTACAGAAGGGTAGCCACAAAATAAGTTCCAAAAATATCTAAAATCTTAAGTATGCACTAGGCGCAATGACTCATGCCTATAATCCCAACACTTTGGGTGGTCAAAGTGAGATGACTGCTTGAGCCCAGGAGTTCAAGACTAGCCTGGGCAACATGGCAAGACCCTGAAGTTGTGGCATGCACCTGTGATCCCAGCTACCGGGGAGGCTGAGGCAGGAGGACCACTTGAGCCCAGAAGGTCAAGACTGCAGTGAGCCATATTCATGCCACTGCAATCCAGCCTGGGCAACAGAGACCCTGTCTCAAAGTAAATAAATAAATAACAAAATGGCTAGTTTTTTAAAACTGATAAGCCTGGTAAATAAAATCAAATAAGGCTGTTAAATAATCACTTGCTCAATAGCTAGCAAGGATTTCCATAATCATACCTGTTGGTATCTGGACACTGGGTACATCAGCTTCACATCAAGTTTGGGATTGTACTGAGCAAGAGATTCATGGTGATAGTGGTTAATGAGCTCCACCACGGAATTAAATGTCAGAGGATCAGAAAAGCCATATTTACCATCCCGGTGATAGATCTTTATTAACTTATTATTGCCTCCCTTCCTGTGAACAACAAGACAACAACTGTGGATTTTTTTCCCCCAAATTCAACTGAACTACTGCTTTCATATGGAGACGTGAAAGCTTGGTGTCACATGATAAACAAGTTTTACTATGTTAATGAGGCTGGAAGGAGTGAAAAGGCATGTTATTCTGTGTGTGAACATATATATATATATATATATATATAATTCATTTTGCATTGTTTTGTCCATAAAATACTTTGGTTATTAAAGGTCAACATATCTACACAGCATTCAGTATGAACAAATGTAGCAAAAAAAATCACTTAAGAAAAATAAAACAGAAGTAAATTCTATTTTTGTTTATATTCTGAATGAATTTTCAAATTTAAATTCTATCAATATTTTTATCAGGAAGAACAGAAAAAATCTCTTAAGGACCTAAAGATATGTGGTTGTATGTCTCTGTGGGGGGAGCAGAAGCCATCTCTATATGAAGGGAATGATAAACATTTGTCACACAATCACCAACATACTCAAGGTTTTGTTGTTAATGCACAAACATAACTGAGCTCCTTAATCTATGATTTATAGCTGCATAATTAATCTAGAACCTTATACTATTTTGTCTTTTACACTTGCTTATAATTCTCAGAAATGACTGTTCAGGCAATCACAACATGTAAATGATTCAAGTCATTCAACTGTTTTACAAAGTATAGCTTTTGAAGAGCTATGTATATTAGATGAATGTAATTTCATGCTTGGACAGTTCAGGCCACCTTTGTTTACTGAGTCATATCTAAATGGACCCTTAAAAGATAATTTATAACTAAAGTTTAAAATAGCAATGTTTTGCAAGTCCCATAAGGCATAATCTAAAACCACAGCAGGTTGATTCATAGCAAAATGCTGTACCATTCCCATTCAACCATTCTTACAGCAGCACGCAGGCTTATGCCCCTAACTCTCTTTATGCCATGCCATTTTATATAAATAGCATTTACATAAATGACCATTTTATATAAATGACCTTTTTGTAAAAGGTCAAACACAGTAAGATTGACCCTATAAGCTGATTTAAACAATGTTTAGGTCAGTTTTTAGATGGATGATAAATTATTTCTATTAAATATACATGAGAAGGACCATCTAATCATATACAGTTACTATAAATGTGTACACTCACACATACAATAATTGCAAGCTGGCCTCTCTGTTAAAGTTAAAAGACATTCATTCATTTAAAATTATGTGCTGAATATCTATGTGCCAGGAATTACACAATGCACTACAGATATATGATAAACAAGCCAGACACAGTCCATGCTCTCATGGAGCTTCCAGTTTAACAGCATAAGGAACATATCTCTGTCTTTCAGTTTATTAAGGAAGATAACAAACTTCTCAAGATAGAACACAAAAATAAACAACTAAATATACCAAATAGTAATAAGTCTGTTGGGAAAAAAAATAAAGCAGAGTAAAGGGAAAGGAGTTCTTGTGATGGAGGAATTGTTTGTACTGCTCAAGGAAAACCTCTCTGTTCAGGTGACATTTGAACAGAGTTCTAAGTGAAGTGAGGGAGCTAGTACAGCAGATATGTACGGGAAGTTTCCTAGAGAGAGGTGCGGTAAGGGCATGCTTGGCATGTTCGAGGAACAGCAAGAAGGCCAGTGATGCTGGGCCTGAATGACCAAAAGGGAGAGTAATAGGAGACTAGGTAAGACATGTAAAAGGAGCTTAGATTATGTAATAACAGTCTGTAGGTTACTGTAAGGGCTTTAGCTTTTACTGAGTGAGAAGGGGAGGCACAAAAAGGTTTTCAGTAGAATCATATAATCTATCTTGTGGCTTAAAAGATTCACTCTAGCTGCTGAGTTGAGAAAAGACTGTTCAAAGGAGGCAGCAGTAGAAGTGGAAAGATCACTTGTGAAACTTTTATAATAATCTAGGCAAGGCATGATGGTGTCTTGGATGAGGGTAGCAGTAGTAGAGGTCATGAGAAATAGTGAGATTCTTAACATATTTTGAAGATAGAGCTGACAGGATTTGCTGATGGCTTGGATACAAATATGACAGAGAGACAAGATAAAGATGATTTCAAGGTTTTTGTCATAAGCAATCAGAAGAATGGAATTGTCATTTATTGACATGAAGAAGGCTATTTAAAAAGAATGTGTTTAGACCAGGCACGGTGGCTCACGCCTGTAATCCCAGCACTTTGGGAGGCCAAGGCAGGCAGATCACTTGAAATCAGGAGTTCGAGACCAGCCTGACCAATGTAGTGAAACCCCGTCTCTACTAAAATACAAAAATTAGCCTGGCGTGGTGGAGGGCACCTGTAATCCCAGCTATTCAGGAGCCTGAGGCAGAAGAATTGCTTGAATCCAGGAGGCAGAGGTTGCAGTGAGCCGAGATCACGCCACTGCACTCCAGCCAGGGGTACAGAGTAAGATGCCATCTCAAAAAAAAAAAAAAGAATATGTTTAAAGGGGGAAAAAGTTTGGTTTTAGACACTTTAAGTTTGAGATGCCTCCTAAACATTCAAAAGCAGATGATCCAGCAGGCTACTTAAAGAATCTAAAGTTCAGGAGAAAGGTCTGGGCTAAAGATAGAAATTCAGGAGTTACCAGCCGATGTATGTTATTTGATGGTGAGCATAGCTGGACAGAAAAAGAGGTCCAAGGCCTAAGCACTGGGGTATGCCAATGTTTGGTGGTCAGAGACATGGAAGGAAGAATCAGCAAAGGAAACCAAAAGGGAGCAATTAATGAAGTGAGAGGAGAACTAAGAGTGTGATATCCTAAAAACCAATACGTACAAAAGCACTTCAACAAAGAGGAAATTATCAACCAAGTCCAATGATAATTAGGTTTGGCAAAGTAGATAGCACTAAATGAACTGACTAAATGGTTTCAGTGAAATGGTAAGGATAGAACCCTGACTGGAATGGATTCAAGAAAATGAAAGAAGATAGAAATGCCCATAGACAAGTGTCTCGAGGAACACTGCTATAAATAAGGGCAGAGAAATAGGGAAGTATCTAGAAAGAGATATAGGGTCAATTATTTACTATTCTTAAATGGGAGATAATAGAGTATATTTATATGCTGATGGGAATGACTCAATAGACAAAAATTGTTGATCCAACAAAGAGGACAAGATTATTCCTAGAGTGATGTCCTTGAGTAGATTAGAGGGATGGGATGGGATCCAGTCTACAAACAGAGAAGCAGACCCTGGACAAGGACATGAACAGTCATCCACTGGAACAGAAAAGCGGCAGACTATTCACATTAATGTGTAAATATGTTGATAGCTGTGGTAATAGGAGCATGAAGGAGTTCTCGTCTGACTGTGTCCATATATCAGTGAAATTAAAAGCAAGTTCTATAGTTAAAAGTGGGAAGAAAGGCTGTCCTTTAAAAGAGAAAAAAAGAACATGTGAAATTGTCATTTACGAAACTGACGAGGAAGCAGGATGAATGCATTGTGGAAATGCAGAAGTTAAGCTGGGCAGTTTTAAAGGTCACTTAAGGTTAGTGGTCATAATTAATGTGAAACCAGTCCATGTGGTCACGTCCCCTTCTCCACATTCAGCAGCTCAAGTATAGGGAAGGACTAAGTGGAGAACTGAATTTAATACCGTGTTGGAATTTAGTCTGGTGACTACACTGGAGGAAGAGAGGAGCAAGTTTGTTAAGGATATATTCACATGGGTAATTTTAATAATAATGTACATGGACTCTAAGCAGAGATGAGAGAAGGAAAGGAACTGAAGGTCATGCTAGTCCTCCTTGTATCTCAGCACCTAGTCCAATGCCTGGCAGATAGCAGATTCTTAAAGATTTGTTAAGTATCCAGATTTTCTACAACAAATACTATTTACCAATTTAAAAAATAAGAGCTATTGAACTGAAAAATCTCTATTTCTTCACTACCTACTACTCTCTGCAGTCTGGTTTTACTCTCATTCCTCTCATTTAAGAGTCACCAATGACTTTGAACAAATTCAGACTCTGTCCCCTTCCTTTATCCCAGGCCCTCCTTCTCCCTCACTCTCTCCCTTCTTAATATTTCATCCTTCCATAACTTTGATGAAATTATTATTTTCTTTCAACCTCTCAAACCACTCTTCCTGTCTCCTCCAACCCTAGTTATTCCCTAAAAAAAAATTTTGCCTTCAGCCTCCACCTTTTAAATTTTATATATTTTTTTCCATAAAAATCCCATTTATGCATATGGTAGCTTGACTCTTTCTCTGGTCCTGTACTCTCTCCTAAGCATTAAACCTAAATTTCTAGCTATATCCTAGATACATTTTTACCTTGCGGTTCTGGAGCAGCTAGAAGTCAACATCTATCCCCGCGGTAGCTCACGCCTATAATCCCAGCATTTTGGGAGGCCGAGGCGGGCAGATCACCTGAGGTCAGGAGTTCAAGACCAACCTGGCCAACATGGTGAAACCCTGCCTCTACCAAAAATACAAAAATTAGCTGGGCGTGGTGGCACACGACTGTAATCCCAGACTCAGGAGGCTGAGGCAGGAGAATCACTTGAACCTGGGAGGCGGAGGTTGCAATGAGCCAAGATTGCGCGCCATTACACTCTAGCCTGAGCAACAGAGCAAGACTCTGTCTCCAAAAAAAAAAAAAAAAATATATATATATATATATAGAGAGAGAGAGAGAGAGAGAGAGAGAGAGCGCGCGCCTGATCACAATTTCCCTGCCGAAAAAATGCAGTGGTTCTCCCCACCTACCTACAACATTAAATACATTAAATACAAACTCCCAAGTTTTGGAATTCAAGGCCCTCTTAAACATGACCCCTTTCCTACCTCCTATCCCCTACCACTTCTTCTTCACAAACTTTATCTTTTAGCCAAACAGGACTACATCTCACAGAAAGCAGCTATAAAATCTCACCTCCGTATATTTGCTCCTATTGTTATCTATTCCTGCTACTCCCCTCCCACTTTCTACATGTCCAAACCTATCCCCTTCAAGATATTCTGCAAATGTAATCTCTTCTGTGAAGGTCAGTTTTCTACATTCTCTTAACAAAGATATCTCTTTTCCTCCTTTCAGTCACCAAAGCATATTTTGTGAAACTCTCCTGCTATTAAACTTTCACTCAAAGCCATTTTCTCATTCCCTTTGTCCTCACTAGATTATACATTCCCAGAGACAAAAGTTTTAACTCATTGTTAGATACCCTGCAGAGTAATTAGCACTAAGTTGCAACTATTTATTAAATTGAATTAAGATCATCACTCTTCTGCCTTGCAAAAATCTATCAAGGCCTAGCTCAACTGTCATTTCCTGCGAGAAACTTTCTCTCTGTCTTTCTCTCATTAATTCTTTCATTCAAACATTTACTCAACACCTATCAAACACCTACTGTATGTCAGACCTTGTGATAGATACATGAAAACTTTCAAACATTCTTGCTAATGCTATCAAGTGATAAATGGATAAACAAAATGTAGTATATACATATAGCAGACTATTATTCAGCCTTAAAAGGAATGAAATTCCACAACTTAGTGTGGGATTAAAACCATTTTCCAGATAAATAAGAAGCATATTCATCTATTAAATAAGTATTTATAAGCTGGGCATGGTGGCTCATGCCTGTAATCCCAGGACTGGGGAGGCCAAGGTGGGAGGATCACTTGAGACCCTTAGCGTGAGACCAGCCTGGGCAACATAGTGAGACCTCATCTCTACAAAGAAATTTTTACAAAATTAGCCACCAGGCATGGTGGCACACCCCTGTAGTCTCAGCCACTCGGGAGGCTGAGGCAGGAGCCTCAAGGCTTCAGTGAGCTATGATCACATCACTGTACTCTAGCCTGAGTGACAGAGAGAGACCCTGTCTCAAAAATACAAATATAAATAAATATATATATATATATATATTAGGCATCCATTCTCTAATGCTTACCCAGTATCAGGCACTAATCTAGACACTGGAGATACAGCAATCATTAAACAAAATCCCCAACCTCAGATAATTTAAATTGTAGTAGGCCAAGACAGACTAGGTGGGAAGGGAGAAGAAAATAGACAGTGAGCTGCCCATACAGTGAATTAGTCAATGCCACAGGTCTACATGAGTCAGACTATTCTGACTGTTGCTTTGCTTCTGCTGTCTGTTATGATAACCATGTCCACCTTGCCTTTGTCAAATGAGTCCCTTCACTTGGCCTCTGCTACCCTGGAATCCAGTTATTCCCATTGCATTTAAATTTTTCAATTGAGTGACTGCAGTTTCCATTTTAAGGTCCGGCCTACAGAGAAGGGCAATCATGGCATTTAGGGATGATGGGGTTCTCCTCACAAATCTGTTTCTCAAAGTACTGCTGAAAAGTATGTGATCTGGACTCACCCAGTGTAAATAAGTAGATTTTAAGTGACAAATCCACTGTAGCAACCCAGTCTCCTGCCTAAGCCTTTGAATCTCTTCCTCTGTGTTAACCAAGGTAGATCAGACACTTCCAGCTGGCTCACAGTAGGCCATCTTTTCATCCATGTTTCAGCCAACTAACCAAATAAACCGTTGCCTTTCTTTTTTCTTTGAGATGGAGTCTTGCTCTGTCACCCAGGCCGGAGTGCAGTGGCGCGATCTTGGCTCACTGCAACCTCCACCTCCCAGGTTCAAGCGATTCCTCTGCCTCAGCCTCCCAAGTAGCTGGGACCATAGGCGCATGCCACCACATTCAGTTAATTTTTTTTTTTTTTTTTTTTAGTATTTTTAGTAGAGACGGGGTTTCACCATGTTGGCCAGGCTAGTCTCTAACTCCTGATCTCATGATCCGCCTGCCTTGGCCTCCCAAAGTGCTGGGATTACAGGAGTGAGCCACCATGACCGGCCAACTGTTGCCTTTTCTAACTCCCTGAGCCACAATATTAAATGCAGAATGTGTTTGGTGGGCCAAAAACAAATTCAGCTGGGCGCGGTGGCTCATGCCTGTAATCCCAGCACTTTGGGAGGCCGAGGCGGGCGGATCACGAGGTCAGGAGATCGAGATCATCCTGGCTAACACAGGTGAAACCCCGCCTCTACTAAAAATATAAAAAATTAGCTGGGCGTGGTGGCGGGCGCCTGTAGTCCCAGCTACTCAGCAGGCTGAGGCAGGAGAATGGTGGGAACCTGGGAGGCGGAGCTTGCAGTGAGCCAAGATCAGCCACTGCACTCCAGCCTGGGCGACAGAGCTAGACTCCGTCAAAAAAAAAAAAAAAAAAAAAAAAAAAAAAACCAATAAATTCAGCCTGACTCAACTTTATGTTCCTTCCACCATTATCTCACACCCTAAATACACCCTAAATATCTATTCCCATACATATTTTCCAGATTTCTCCTTGTATAAATTAGAAACCTCAAGTAGCTTTTTTACCATGTAGCACATCTCCTCATGAGTAAAACTTTGTACCTCATCTTTAGGGGCTGCTGGGACTCAAGTCTAGCTATAGGTCTAGAAGCAAAGAGGTGTGGTGGGGGTGGGTCCTGAGAAGACTCAGCATCCTCTGGCTTAGCAGCTGCCTAGAGGAAGGCCATTATGGTTTCCTCAGGCAATGCAGAGTCAATCCCCTCAGACAAAGGTGGAAAGGCCAGTGTAGGGGGGATGCTGTTACTGGGGGTGGGAGGCCATTTCTGCTGGCAAACAAGACTCATCAGAATTTAGGAGCTCAACGTCCCCAGCCTCATCAGGGTCTTCCCACACATCCCCATCCAAACGTATAGAATTCCATCTTTCCCAACCAATGCCCTCATTTTAACAGCAGATACCTTACAAGGCTGATATTTCACCTTTGATTGTAATTCAGCTAATCACATGATGAGAGTATGTGTTTGATTTTGTGCAATTTCAGACCTTTGGCAACAGAAGAGAAGATTCTGACTTAGGGCATATTTAGAAGCTCTTGGGCTATTTATGGCAGAGCTGGGGCCAGGAAATCAAAACCCTGAGCTCACCCTTTTCTTTCATCACTTCGTCCAGCAATATTAGAAAACCTTGGTTTTCTACAAACGTTTGACAGTATCAAATACAGGGTTGCCAAGTTCCTTGCCTCTTATAGGTGGTAAATTAGAAGTATCAAATGCAGATATTTAGCATATCGCTATATAAACAGTTCACAGCATGGACTGTCAGTGCTCTCTGTACTATTAGAAGTAGGGTCCTTAGCATTTTTAAGTCTCATCAAATTAAGAGAGCCAATTCCGGGAACCCCAAAATTAATTAAGGAAACTCATCCTTAAAATTCTCTTCCTCAGGCTGGGCACAGTGGCTCACGCCTGTAATCCCAGCACTGGAAGGTCGAGGCAGGAGGACTGCTTGAGCCCAGGAGTTTTGAGACCAGCCTGGGCAACACAGGGAGACTCCATCTCTACAAAAAATAAAAAACACAAAAACTAGCTGGGTGTGGTGGCATGCGCCTTTGGTCCCAGCTACCCAGGAGGCTGAGGTAGGAGGATCACTTAGGCCTGGGAGGTTAAGGTTGCAGTGAGCCATGACCATGCCACTGCACTCCAGCCTAGGAGACAGAGCAATAACCTGTGTTAAAAAAAAAAAAAATTACCTTCCTCTAGAATCATTCCTGGTACCAAATCTGTGTTAATCAGAGTTCTCCAGAGAGACAGAACCAATAGGAGAGAGACAAAGATAAATATGAGGGGATTTATCAGGGGAATTGGCTCACATGTTTATGGAGGCTGAGAAGTCCCATTACAGGCCATCTGCAAGCTGGCATGCCAGTAGTGTGGCTCAGTCCAATTCCTAAAGCCTCAGAACCCAGGAAGCCAATGGTATAACTCTCAGTCCAAGACTGAAGGCCTTGAGAACCCATAGGGGGTGAGGAGGATTGGTATAAGTCCTGGAGTCCAAAGGCTGGAGTTCTGATTTCCAAGGACAGAATAAGAGTGTGCTCCAGCTCCAAGACAGAGAGATAAAATTTTTTTCTTTCTTTTTGTTCTATCCTCAGCCAATTGGATGGTGCTCACACTGAGGGGCGATCTTCCTTACTCAGTCCACTGACTCAAATGCTAATCTGCTCTGGAAACACCCTCACAGACACATCCAAAATAATGCTTTACCAGTTCTCTAGGTAATCCAGCCAAATTGACACTTAAATTAATCATCACATATATTAAGGCCATGGGACAGGACAAGCTCACCTTAAGAGAATGAATACAGAGAAGAAAAAGAGGCCCAGGTCCCAAGCCCTGGAACACTTAAAATTTAGATATTGAGCAAAATAGCTTAAAGTTAGGAAGAAAATCAGGAAAGTGTGACGTCTTAACAGCCAAAACAATAAACTGCTTCTAAGAAGAAGTGTCTATGACCAATGCTGCTAAGAGGTCAAGTAAGGTAAGAAGAGAAAAGTGTTTAGCAGTCTCCGTGGAGTGGTGGAGACAGAAGCCTGAGTGGAGTAGAGGAAAAATTGTGTTCAATGAATTACTGTAGAACACTGATTAGTCAGCACAATTCAAGTGCAAAGGTATTAATTTCTTTAGCTCTTTACCAGAAACTAAAATAGTGCCTCCAAATTTATGCCATACTAGCATAAAATGAGGCATTATTTTTCCTAAAGATATTAGGCTGGAAAGGCAGCAAACAGCCAGATGAATCTGGATTTAAACTCTTCCTCTACCACTTTCTAACTATGTGACTTTAGGCAAGTTCCTTAACCATGTTAACCCTTAGTTACCTCATCTATAAAATGGGAATAGTAATAATACCTACCTCATAAGGTTGTTGTGAAGAATAAATGATCTATTGCATGTAAAGGCCTTAGTACAAGAAAGTTAGTCATTGTTATTGTTACTGTTATTTTCTTTTTGTTAAATATTTCCTTTTTAAAAAAAATCATAAGGCTTTATTGTAACTGGGCTACTTTAATTATTAAAATTAAATGTGGAAATTTCTCATGCAGTTTTCTTAACCTTTTAAAAATATGTGCAAATATTAAAAAATCATATATCCATCACTTAAAAGACTCTAAATATGCCCATATGAAAAGCATGATATACGCTAGGAACTGCTTTATCTTCAGCATATCCTCATCAACCAAAATTATGTTGAGTTCTGCTTTCTAAAGTCTGCATTAAGGAAGATAATAGGGTTATTCAAAGGATAGATTCATTTTTACCCTTAGAATATGCCCATGACTTCTACTTCCTTTATAAGGTCAACAGTATGCTTCCTACTCCCTTACATTTTGGGATTTTAACCTTTTCATTTTCTTTCTACATTTTTTTAAGTTGCCATTTTTATACAAAATGTTTAAATACTTAATGTATAGAAAAAAGAATTAGCCAGACTGGAAATTATGTACATAAATTAAATGAAAATATGAAAAATTGTATAGATAAAGATTTAAATACAGAAATATCTGTATACCCAGAACTAAAATAACATCAGTAGAGAACTAGCCAAAAGACTGAAAAGTACTTACCGCAAAGTCAAAGTATAATCTCCCTGCATTTTTGTTGAGGCATCTCGGACCAAGAAGGTCCCATCTGGCATATCCCGCAATTTGTCATTTACCTCCTCCCTGAAGAACAGAATTATAAGAAAAATGAAAAAATGTCAACACTGGTGGCTTCGGCAGTAGGTGTGCCTTCTTTACATGTTACTACTAAGGCAGCTTCGGCAGTAGGTGTGCCTGAGGTTATAGAATAACGGAGCCATTTAGAGGTCATTTAGTTCTTCCCTGCATTAAATATGCTCTTTCTGTTTTGATTTTTGGTGTTACGCAATCTACAGAAGAGCTATTTGATTTTTAAACTCTTCCAGATTTCAAATGTGTGTAAGAGATACTGTTTCCATCAAGCCTTTAAGGGTTTCCTTAGGCAGGTCTGAACTTGTAAAGTTTCAGGAAAAAAACAGTGGCTGTTTAGAAAGAAGGTTATATTTAAGCAACAGTGGCAGCTGTTTCTGAACAGAAGGGGGAAAATTCACTAAGTTCATAACCTTTCAATAGGATAGTCTCCTAGTTTGAATTTGTCCCGATAACAAATTCCTTCTGTAGAGTTGATTTAGGACTTTAAGGCACAACACTAGAACACTTAAAGGAAATGGCAGGGCATAAAAGACCCTTGAATCATATCAGAACCACATGATCTTAAAATTTAAAAAAAGACTTTTATTGTACAATATTAAAATAGAAATATTCTAACCAATTTTAAAATAAAATGGCTGGGTGCAGTGGCTCACGCCTATAATCCCAGCACTTTAGGAGGCTGAAGCAGAGAGGTCACTTGAGGTCACGGGTTCGAGACCAACCTGGCCAACATGATGAAACCCTGTCTCTACTAAAAATACAAAATTAGCCGGACGTGGTGGCAGGGCAAGCGCCTGTAATCCCAGCTACTTGGGAGGCTGAGACAGGGGAATCACTTGAACCTGGGAGGCGGAGGTTGCAGTGGGCTGAGACTGCACCACTGCACGCCAGCCTGGGGGACTGAACGAGACTCTATCTCAAAAAAAAAATTTTTTTAATAAAACATATTAAGTCCTCTTCAAAAAGTTAAACACAGAATTACCTACCATATGACCTGGCAATTCCATTCCACTACTGGGTATATACCCAAAATAACTGAAAGCAGGGACTCAGATATGTGTGCACCAATATTAATTGCAGCATTATTTACAACAGCCATAAATTAGAAACAATCTAAATGTCCAGATGAATGGATTAAAAAAATATATAACATATACATATATTAGCCTTAAGAAGGAATGAAATTCTGACACATGCTACAACATGAATGAACCTTGAAGACGTATGAAGAAAGTGAAATAAGCCAGTCACAAAAGTACAATTATTATATGATTACACTTATGCAAAGTACCTACAATTGAATTCATAAGACAGAAAGCAGAATGGTGGTTGCCATGAGCTGAGGGAGGGGAGAATGGGGGGTTATTGTTTAATGGGTACAGAATTTCTGTTAGGGAAAATGAAAAAGTTCTGGAGATGGATGGTGATGATAGCTGCACAACAATGCAAATGTACTCTTAAAATAGTTGAAATCGTAAGGGTAAAAAAAAATTAAATAAATACCATTTTGGTAGAGGAAGAGAACAGAGAAGAGAAAGGGATAGGTAAGTGTTCTGAGGAATACAGCATCAACCTGGAAACTGATTTGACAGAAATGGATAGGGCTTTAAAAAGAAAATACATCTGAGACCCACTAAAGCAAGTTTAACAAGAAAAAAATTTAGTAAGAAAATACAATATTCAAATTAAATGTATATAATTCCCTCTTTAGGTTCAAAATTACCTAAAACTACACTTTACCCAGAAAACAAATCTGTCCTAGAGTCCTGTTTATCAAACTGGGGTGTGTAAAGAGACTGCATCAAATTCACCCAGGGAATCTATTAAATGCAGATTCCTGGGCTCCACCTCAATTGATTTTTGTGCATGCAAAGACTTTGGAACCACTGGCTTAAGAGAAAGAAAGGTACAGAAATGTTAAGTACCCACAAATATTTTTAATTCTAAAACACATGTAACTATCCTAAATGTCTACATGTCACTTATTTAGAAATCCATCCTCAATATAGTATTAGAAGTAATAATCACACCCATAATTTAAAGATTTTCAGCCAGGTGCAGTGGCTTACACCTGTAATCCCAGCACTTTGGGAGGCCAAGGTAGGTGGATCACCTGAGGTCAGGAGTTCGAGACCAGCCTAGCCAACATGGTGAAACCCTGTCTCTACTAAAAATACAAAAACTAGCAGGGTATGGTGATGCATGACTGTAATCCCAGCTACTTGGGAGGCTGAGGCAGGAGAATCGCTTGAACCCAAGAGGCGGAGGTTGCAGTAAGCTGAGATCATGCCACTGCACTCCAGCCTGGGCAACAGAGTGAGACTCCATCTCAAAACAAATAAATAATGAAGATTTTCTTGTCACTTTTTCATGGGAAGAAAAGTATTAAGACACTAATGAAGCGTTCCCATGCAAAATTTTTTAAGTGAGCTTTTTCTTTTCTTTTTTTTTTTTTAAGAGACAGAGTCTCACTCTGTCGCCCAGGCTGGAGTGCAGTGGCACTATCTCGGCTCACTGCAACCTCCGCCTCCCAGGTTGTAGCAATTCTCCTGCCTCAGCCTCCCAAGTAGCTGGGATTACAGGCGCATGCCAACATGCCCAGCTAATTTTTTGTATTTTAGTAGAGACAGGGTTTCACTGTGTTGCCCAGGCTGGTCTCAAACTCCTGAGCTCGGGCAATCCACCCACCTCAGCCTCCCAAAGTGCATGGCTTACAGGTGTGAGCCACTGCACCCGGCCTTAAATGGTAATCTTTAAATAACAATTAGTAGAGCATTACAATGCTCTTTTTTTTTGAGAGTTGGGGGTCTTACTCTGTTGCCCAGGCTGGAGTGCAACAGAGTGCTCTCTACAGCCTCGAACTCCTGGTATCATGTGATTCTTCAGCCTCAGCCTCCTGAGTTGCTGGGATTATAGGCATGAGCCACCATGCCCAGCTTAAAATGGTTTACTTTAACTACTAATTCTCAAAAATGACTTTTTAAAAAACTGCATTCAATTACAGTAGCATTCTAGTTACCTTGAAATATCCCCCCAGTACCATTCTGCATCCTGAAGAGAAACAGAACTGTCCTTCATTCCATTTGGAACTGCTGAAGTCATTGGCTTAGGTGGCTTTGGTGGAAGAGCTAGAAGAGAAATGAATATTACTCTGTAGATGTAAATTATTTACTGTTTTCTAATTTCCTCAGGAGCAGCTCACTAACCAAGGTATGTTAAGATTCTAATAATTATCAATCAAATTGAGTATTATTTTATGTTAAATGTTAGCAACAGAAGGAATCCTTTTGATTGCCTAAAAAGTGAAAACGTCAAGATATTTGTTTTTTTCCTTCTTATGAAACATTGACTTCTAAGTCTGTAAAACTTCATTCACATCTCTCAAAAGACAACATGCAACCCCTTTTCCAAACAACTCAGTCCAAAAGCCACTAAGTGACCAATGTACAACATGAGGATTATAGTTAATAACATTGTATTATATACTGGTAATCTGCCAAGTGAGTAAATTTTAGGTATTCTTACTACCAAAAAAAAGGGTAACTATGAAATGATGGTTATGTTATTAATAATTTGCTCAACTGTAATAGAATGAACCCCCTTGTCTTGGACTAGAATTAGAGCTACAGATATCAACTCATGAATTTCAATGTATATAAACATAAATATGTAAATGTCTATACACAGAATACATATATTCCCTAGCTCTGTCCCGAGACAGAGATTCCCTAACCCCCGGGCTGCGGACTGGCACTGGTCCACGGCCTGTTAGGAAAAGCGCCACACAGCAGGAAGTGAGCAGTGGGCAAGTGAACATTACTGCCTGAGCTTCGGCATTAGATTCTCATAGAAGCACAAACCCTACTGTGAACTGCACATGTGAGGGATCGAGGTTGTGTGATCCTTATGAAAATCTAACTAATGCCTGATGATCTGAGGTGGTATAGTTTCATCCTGAAACCAATACCCCCAGCCTAACCCCACCCCAGCAATGAAACTGGTCCCTGGTGCCAGAAAGGTTGGGGACTGCTGCCCTGAGAGGTCCTGGGGGCAACAACACCCCAATATGTACACTGAGCACCTAGACCTTGCTTTCTAATACCATTCTCTACTAAAAGGAACCAGGGCTCTTTGAAGAAATTGCTGATTCCAGGGACAGAATAGAGCAAGTACCAAATGAGCCTGAACATCATCATGTGCCAAAAAGGAAGGAAGTGCTCAAAGAATGGGAGAGGCTATGTTAAAAGAACAAAACAGCGAACTGGAAGGGGCTCTCACTGACCAAATCTGGAACAGCTGGCATATCAATACAAATAATAATAGTAAAGAAATATAACTCATTAAACAAAATAGGAATATATGTGTTCATGCAGATATAAATAAATAAATAAATAAATAAAAGAAACAAAGATCGATGAGGACCAAGATTACTGTTATCTCAATATACTGTCCCACAAAATCCTAACTGCAAAAGGAAAAACAATAATAGTGAAAAAGCCTGGCAAATACCACCTTAATCAAGAATCAAGGTTAATATTAGAAATAATGGCAAAACTGTGGGCCCCAATACAATACACTAAAAAGGATGTAACATCACTTCTGTGACATTCCTGCCAAATATGTATAAACTGAATCTAATCATAAAGAAACATCAGACAAACCATGATTGAGGGGTATTCTACAAAATAACTTACCTGTAATCTTCAACAATGTACAGGTCATGAGGGTCAAGGAAAGACTGAGGAAATGTTTCAGATTGAAGAAGACTAAAGAATCCTGACAATTAAATGCAATGTGTAATTCTGGACTGGATATTTTTTGCTATTAAGGACAACACTGCGACAATGGGCAAAACTTGAATGGGATCTGAGTATGACATAGTAGTAGTACAGCAGTGTTAGTTTTCTGATTTTGATGGTTATATTGTGCTTCTGTAGGAAAATGTTCTTGTTTGTGGGAAATACACACAACATGGTCATCATATGGCATCACGTTGACAATCTACTTTCAAATGATTCAAAAAAATTATGTTCTTTGAACTGTACTTGTAACTTTTTTGAGATTGTTTCTTTTTTCTTAATTTAACCAAAAAATTGTAAGCAATCTTGGGGGGAAGGAGAACAATGTGAATATTTCCCCCCAAAGAGAAGTCCCTTAGTTGGCCGGGTACGGTGGCTCACACCTGTAATCCCAGCACTTTGAGAGGTGGAGGCGGACAGATCAGCTGAGGTCAGGAGTTCGAGGTCAGGAGTTTGAGACCAGCCTGGCCAACATGATTAAACCCCATCTCTACTAAAAATACAAATATTAGCTGGGCGTGGTGGTGCACACCTGTAATCCCAGCTACTCGGGAGGCTGAAGCAGGAGAATTGCTAGAACCCGGGAGGCAGAGGTTGCAGTGAGCCGAGATTGCACCACTGCACTCCAGCCTGGAGACAGAGTGAGATTTTGTCTCAAAAATAAACAAATAAAGAAATAAAGTCCCTTAGTCAACTGATTTTCAACATGGATGTCAAAATAATTCAATGAGGGAAAGAATATTCTTTTTAACAAATTGTTCTGGAACAAGCAGATATCCACATGCAAAAAGAATGAAGTTGGATCCCTGCCTCACACCAAAATTAACTAAAAATTGATCAAAGACCTAAATATCAAGACCTAAAACTATAAAATTCTTACAAGAAAAAATAGGCTTAAATCTTTGTGACTTTAGATTAGGTAATGGTTTCTTAAATATGACACTGAAAATAACAAACAAGAAAAAAATAGATTAACTGCATCAAAATTAAAAACTTCTGTACTTCAAAGGACATCACCAAGAAAGTGAAGAGACAACCTATAGCATGGGAGAACGTTTTTGTAAGTAGAAATGATAAAATATATTTTTGTAAATATTTGTAAATGTATCTATAAATATATTTTTGTACTTGTATCTAAATACATAAAAGAATCCTTTCAATTCAATAAAAGACAAATGACCCAATTAAATATGGGGAAAGGATCTGAATATATATTTCTCCAAAAGACAAACAAGTGGCCAATAAGCACATGAAAAGATACTGAACATAATCAGCCAACAGAGAAATGCACATCAAAACCACAGTGAAATACCACTTCACACCCACTAGGATGACTATAATAAAAAAGACAGATAATAACAAGTGTTGGTGAGGATGTAGAGAAATTGGAATACTCATAGACTGCTGGTGGGAATGTAAAATGATGCTGCTGCTTGGAAAACAGTCTAACCTCCTCAAAAGGTTAAATGCAGAGTTGCCCAGCAATTTCACTCTTACATATACCCAAGAAAAAAGAAGCATGTATCTACACAAAAACTTGCACATGAATGTTCATAGTAGCTTTATTTATAATGGCCCAAAAATGGAAAACAACCCAAATATCTATCAACAGACGAATAGATAAATAAAATGAGGTATATATCCATACAATAGATTATTCAGCAATAGAAAGGAATGAGGTACTGATATGTTACAACATGGACGAATCTGAAAACATTTTGCTGAGTGAAAGAAGCCTGTCATGAAAGGCCAAATATTATATAATCCCATTGTCCAGAATAGGCAAATCTATAGAGACGGAAAGTAAATCAATGGTTGGCTAGGGCTGGGGAGTAAAGTGGGAAATAGGGAGTGACTGCTAATGTATAAAGGATTTCTTTCAGGGTAATGAAAATATTCCAAAATTGGCTATCATGATGGTTGTACAACTCTGTGAAGATACTAAAAATCACTGAGTTATACAATGTGGGTGAACTGCATGGCATGTGAATTATATCTCAATAAAGCTGTTTTAAAATAAATAAATATCAGGCTTCTGACATTACCAGATGGGGGTGGATTTGCTATAATCCATACTTTTTTTCAAAGTAGCTAAATAACCATCTTGTTTGAAAAGGATTTTATGTGACTTATAAAAGTAGCTACAGTTTGAACTATAACTTAGCAAAATTTATAATTCTTCTACTTACCCACTTAACACAAGAATTAACAGTGTAAACTTGTGCTATACAAAGCACTGCACTATAGCTATGAAAAGTTACAAAGACAAGGTGTTCCCTGCACTCAAAAGAACAAATCCAGAGAGAATGACACATAGAAATACCTAACTATAATACTCATCAGAATGGGGTAAAAAGCAAATTGTAACAGAAACCCAGCAAAAGGGAAACTTTAAGGTCAAACACTAAGCTTCTCAAATCTAGTCCTTAGTGATTTGAGTACATGACCAACAGGGCTCAAGAACCAATGTGCTTCATTGTATCAGCAGGTGGGTTACACTCTAATCACCTTCAAACGGTGTTATGGAGACTTTTCTACATCCCTTCACTGGAGGAGCTCTATATTGAGATGAGTTGAGCTGACCAGACTGCATGAGGAAGCTGCTATTTATGGATAATGATAGTTCACAGACAGCTCTACCACCAACAAACATGTAATGACCATTTCACATCTATTACAGAGGGCTGCCTCCTTGTATCTTGCTGTTCTCAACTACAGAAATGTAAGAAGAATGAAATTATTATAAAGGCAGTTGCTACATAAAGTTGCTAAAAGAACACAATCATAAGATCTGAACTGAATGCAATACTGGCCTATTTCTACATTCCTACTATCTATAATCACTCCACACATACATAGGCAAATATGTATTGAACACCTCCCATGTTCCAGAAGCTGTGAACATAACAATGAACTAGATTAGATAGACACAGTCTCCATACATATGGACTTTATAATCCAAAAGGATAAATTTCAAGATAATTCATTGTTCCTAAAATTGTGAGTACACTCAAATGTAGCTCTATCAAACTAAACTGAATCTTCCATCTAAATGTTTTACCTTCTCTGAGAGTTGCTCCCCACCCTCCCATGTAGATTGTAGAATATACTGGGCAAATGTGAATAAAAATTTATCTCCTAATAACCTCCTAATTGCATGAAGATAAGCAGATTTATATCTATCTTCCAGGTTGTGATATTATAAATAAAGGTAAAATAATTCCAAATCATTAAGCTTTTAAGTAGTTCAAAAGGACTATCTTGAGGGAAAAACTGATTAGGATACATTAGTTATCTTTTCAACTCCTTGACAAAGTAGTTCTTGCATTAGGTGAGCACTGCAATGCTGAGTGATAAGTTAGGTGCACCTAAGCAAATACCTTCTGAAATGAGTATCCATAAAATATATAGCACTTTTATTTCCATTTAGTAGACAATGAAAAATATTTCTCTTTCCATTTTTAGAAACTATATTACAAGTTTGGGTTTTTTTCAAAATTGTGAGACAGGGTCTCATTACGTTGCCCAAGCTGGTCTCGATCTCCTGGCCTCAAGTAATCCTTCCGCCTTGGCCTCCCAAAGTGCTGGGATTATATGCATGGGCCACTCACGCCTGGCCTATATTAACAAGTTTTAAAATATTAGCAATACAGAAAGATATTTTCAATTCCGTTTTAATTAATATGTAGCTATATGAAGAAACATAGAGACATATAGATGTTTTAAGTGTGTGTATGTGTGCATATAGATATGTGTGCATAGAAACATATGAAGAGTACACAAACTGTTAATAGTGAATACAATAGGGATGGGGAACAGCAGAGAACACTGTAGGTATGTATGTATATTGTATATGTTTTCTTTATATGTTTTAACAACAAAAATGGTGCCAGGTGCAGTGGTGTGCACCTATACCCCCAGCTACTCGGGAGGCTGAGATGGGAGGATTGCTTGAAGCCAGAAGTTCGAACCCACAGTGTGCTATGATTGCACATGTGAATAGCCACTGCACTCCAACTTGTAATCCCTGAACTTTGGGAGGTCGAGGCAGGTGGATCACCTGAGGTAAGGAGTTTGAGACCAGCCTGGCCAACACGGTGAAACCCTGTCTCTACTAAAAATACAAAAATTAGCTGAGAGTGGTGGCAAGCACCTGTAATCCCAGCTACTCGGAAGGCTGAGGCAGGAGACTCGCTTGACCCCGGGAGGCAGAGGTTACAGTGAGCCGAGATCGTGCCATTGCACTCCAGCCTAGGCAACAAAGTGAGACTGTCTAAGAAAAAAAAAGCAATCTGATTCACACCACTGTACTCTGGAAAGGCCAGGAACTGGAAGCACAATGCATCTCTGAAGGGAGGATTGAGTCATGTGGCCAGAAACAGAAGAGTTGGCTGACAATCTATAGAAAGAGCAGTTAAGTCCTTAGTTCTCCTCCCTACCTGCCCAAGCAACCAGGCAACTACCCATCCTCCACCCTAGATAAAGGCTGCCTGTCAACTCACCAGTCCAGAGAAACAATCAGAAAGGCTCTGGACTCTTCATCCATGTCCCTACAAAGGACATAAACCATCATTCTGAGCGAACTATCGCAAGGACAGAAAAACCAAACACTGCATGTTCTCACTCATAGGTGGGAACTGAACAATGAGAATACTTGGACACAGGGTGGGGAACATCACACACCAGGGCCCGTCGTGTGTGGGGGAATGGTGGAGGGATAGCATTAGGAGATATACCTAATGTAAATGACAAGTTGATGGGTGCAGCACACCAACATGGCACATGTATACATATGTAACAAAACTGCACGTTGTGCACATGTACTCTAGAACTTAAAGTATAATAATAAAAAAAAGAAAGATACAGCATGCTCAGTGCTGTGTTTTAGAATGTAAAAAAAAAAAGAAAGAAAAAAGAAAGGCTCTGGACTCAGGGAACACCAAGCTCGCTGAGAATAGGGGTGAGCCCTATATTGAAAACGGCATAACTAAAGAAAAGTTTACCAAACAGGTAGATTCCCCTATCCCTTTCTGGTTACCTAAACAATGAGCTGTCAAGCATATACCCCCAGTCAGGAGTTGGGAGATTTTTTCCACAGAAACTGACAGGACCCTAAAAAGCATCTAAAAATACAGATATTCTAGGGTTACCCAATGAAAAACATATTCATCTTTTTTTTTTTTTTTTTTTTTTGGTAGACACAGGGTCTCACTATATTGCCAAGGGTGGTCTCGAATTCCTGGGCTCAAATGATCTTCCTGCCTTGGCCTCCCAAAGTGCTGGAGTACAGGTGTGAGCCACTGCACCTGGCAGGTATTCATCACCTTATCACTTCTCAGTGAAGGCCTCCAGTTAACAAGTTCCTGCCCACTCACATGGAGCTTCAAAATGGATGAACATTGAAAATATTATGCTAAGTGAAATAAGCCAGTCACAAAAAGACAAGTATTATGATTCTTCCTACATGAGGCTACTAAAGTGTCAAATCCGTAGAGACAGAAAGTAGAATGCTGTTGGCCAAGGGCTGAGGGAAGGATGGAATAGAAGTTAGTATTTAATGGGTATAGAGTTTCAACTGGGGAAAATGAAAAAGTTCTGGAGGTGGATGGTGGTGATGGTTGCACAACAGTATGAATGTACTTAATGCCACAGAATTTAAACATTTTTAAATGGTTAAAAACAGCTGAGTGTGATGGCTCATGCCTCTGATCTCAACATTCTGGGAGGCCAAGACAGGAGTATTGCTTGAGCCCAAGAGTTTGAGACCAGCCTGGGCAACAGAGCAAGATCCCATCTCTAAAATAAATAAATAAATATTTTAAAAGAAACAGATAAAATGGTTAAAATGATAAATTACATGTTACATATATTTACCACAACTTAAAATAAAAAAACAACAGACATTTGAGGAAAGCCATTACATTAAAGGTGACCAAAACAAGAAGAAACTTGGGAGTAACCAGAGAATTAAAGGGAAAAAAAACTTCACAGACACACAAAGACAGCATAATATCTCAGATATATAAAAGGAAAGACTGCATCTATGAAAGACAAACAAGATCTATATCAAAGTAACATTCAAAGAACAAGAGCCCTTATATATTAAAATTATGCTAGAAAAATTTTTAAGTTGTTCACAATCTGGCAGGTAAAGCTGAAATCTCCCAGGAAGTGGAACAAAGAGAGAAAGTAATGAAAAAATAGGAGAAAGATAAGAGAATCAGAGGATCAACTCAGAAGATCCAGCATCAAACTAATAGAAGTTCCAGAAAGCAGGAAGAGAAACATTAAAATAAATAAGAAAAAATTTTCAGAACTGAAGGACACACATTTCCTGAATGAAAATGCCCACAGAGTATGCCACACAATGAATGAAAAAGATCCATATCAAGCTACACCCCTGTGGAATTTCACAACACTGGGGGAAAAGAGAAGGTCCTAAAATCTATCACAAGGGGAAAAAAAAAAAAAAAGGTCACAAAGGACTAAAGAATGTCTTTGGGTTGCTCAACAACACTGGAGACTAGCAACACTGAAGATAAACCTTCCAAATCTGAGGGAAAATGATTTTTCAAGCTAGAATGATATATCCTGCCAAATTATCAATTACATATGATGGTAGAATAGATATTTTCAGATATACAAGATCTCAACCAACTTATCTCTCAGCATCCTTTCTTAGGAAGCTCCTGAATGATGTGCTCCACCAAAATGAAGAAATAAACTAGGAAACCAGGCGGTGTAAAATGCAGGAAAATGGATGCCAACACAAGAGAGAAGCAATGGCAATGCCCAGCATAATGCTGAATGCAGTACTAGGATGACAGCTGAAAACAAGTTAGAATTCAAACAGGAGGATGAAGGGCAGTTTAGAGGGTATGTTTAAGAAAAGAATGGAAATGGTAAATTATTTGATGTTTAACCATACTGTGATGAATTTTATGGTTCTGTTATATGGCTCTGTCAGAACCATAAAATTCTGTCTTTAAATTTATATAAAGAAAGGAAATGAGGCCAGGTGTGGTGGCTCACGCCTGTAATCCCAGCACTTTGGGAGGCCAAGGTGGGCGGATCACGAGGTCAGGAGATCAAGACCATCCTGGCTAACACAGTGAAACCCCATCTCTACTAAAAATGTAAAAAATTAGCCAAGTGTGGTGGTGTGTGCCTGTAGTTCCAGCGACTCGGGAGGCTGAGACCGGAGAATTGCTTGAACCTGGGAGGCAGAGGTTGCAGTGAGCCGAGATCACGCCACTGCACTCCAGCCTAGGCAACAGAGTGAGACTCCATCTCAAAAAAAAAAAAAAAAGAAAGGATGCAATTATAGTATACTAATGGCTTAGCTGTGAACACTGTACAGTAATAATAGTGTAAATATTGGAAGATAATTTAAGAAAGTTATAATTGTGATATAAATACACTGGAAAAATGCATAGAAGGAAAGAGTGTATGGCATAAGAGAAGTAAATCACTATCTTCCTTAGAAGGAATAAATAACATCAAAAAGTGAAAAATTATAAATAGCAGTATTACCGTATTACAAAAAATAGGGAGGTAAAACACCAGAAGAAAAGGCCGGAAGAGTTAAGTGTTGCCCCTAGGGGCTAGAAAGTGGCAGAAGAGAGGGTAGGACAGGCAACTGATGATTTTGTACTATAAACCTTGTAGTACTTTTTGACTTTTTAAACTATAAACCCATATTGTTTTAAGATAAAAATAAAAAGAAACCTAGAGTTTATTCTGATTCCACCACTTAAACTAGATTTGGTAAATTATCTCACCTCTCTGAACCTTAAGTTTCATGCTATGTTGAATTCAACTTGTACAGGCTAGTGAGAGCTGATTGTTGTATTTTCAGGAATTTTGCAAACTGCTGTTCTACGCAGTCTTTTTTATTTATTTATTTATTTATTTATTTATTTATTTTTTTGAGACAGTCTCCCTCTATTGCTCAGGATGGAGTGCGGTGGCGCAATCTCGGCTCACTGCAACCTCCACCTCCTAGGTTCAGGCGATTCTCCTCCCTCAGCCTCCCGGGTAGCTGGAACTACAGGTGTGTGCCACCATGCCCGGCTAGTTTTTTTGTATTTTTAGTAGAGATGGGGGTTTCACCATACTGGCCAGGCTGGTCTCAAACTCCTGACCTCATGATCCACCTGCCTTGGCCTCCCAAAGTATTGGGATTACAGGCGTGAGCCACCATGCCCAGCCTCCACACAGTCATTATTAAATATTAAACCATGTAAGTTCACAATTAAATTATATTAAAAATAAAGTTAAAAATACTCAAAACTCATTGCTTCATTAATACTGTATTTAACTATGCTTTTAAGAAACATCTATTGTATTTATATAATGGAAATACTGTGTGCTACTGAGGATTTCTTTCAAATTCTGCATTTGGTATGTCAGTCACACTAGTAGACTGAAATCAGCCACAGTGGGAGTATTTATACTTTGGAAATCAGCAAATACTACAAATCAGAGCTTGATTTATTGTGGTATTGATGATCTGCCTGGGGTTAGCAAACTATGGCCCTCTGCCTGTTTTCCAAGGTGCAAAAAATAGTTTTTACTTTTTTTATTATTTTGAGAGGAGGGTCTCACTATGTTGCCCAGGCTGGTCTCAAACTCCTGGGTTCAAGTCATCTTCTCGCCTCACCCTCCTGAGTAGCTGTGGAACTAAAGGCATGCACCACTGTGACCAGCATTTTAACTTTTTTTTTTTTTTTTTTTTGAGACAGAGTCTCACTCTGTTACCCAGACTGGAGTGCAATGGTGCAATCTCGGCTCACTGCAACCTCCACCTCCCGGATTCAAGCAATTCTCCTGTCTCAGCCTCCCAAGGAGCTGGGACTATAGGCACGTGCTATCACGCCCAGCTAATTTTTGTATTTGTAGTAAAGACGGGGTTTCCCCATGTTGGCCAGGCTGGTCTTGAACTCCTGACCTGAGGTGATCCACCTGCCTCGGCCTCCCAAAGTGCTGGGATTACAGGTATGAGCCACCATGCCTGGCCCATTTTTACATTTTTAAATGGTTATAAACACACACACACACATACACACACACACACACAGAGAATGTGAAAGAGACCATTTGTGGCCTGCAAAGCCTAAAGTAGTTACTATATGGCTCTTTACAGAAAAAATGTCAATTCCAGATCTAGACTTAAGGAAATGGTAGAGAAAATATTAATTCATTGTAATAATCTCCACTCTTCTGAATTCTATGGCTGTAGCTTTAGTGCAACGAGCAAATTTGAGGGTATTCAAAACCAAACATATATAATCATCCCTCAGTATCCTCATAGGATTGCTTCCAGGACCCCTGCAGATACCAAAATCCAAGGATGTTCAAAGTCCATTTTATAAAATGACGTAATATTTGCATATAGCTTATGCACATCCTCCCATATACTTTAAGTCATCTCTAGATTACTTGTATCTAATACAATGTAAAGGCTATGTAAATAATTGTTATACTATATTTTTATTTGTATTATTTTTGTTGTTGTATTGTTATTTTTATTGGTTTTTTTCACACACACCCTGAATATTTCTAATCCACAGTTGTTTGTTATTTCAATCCGAGAATGCAGAATCTGTGAATACAGCGGGCCCACCATATTTCCTCACCTGTCCTATCCACCCTATCCTGATAAAGGGCACCACTATGCATTTGTCAAAACTCAAAGAACTGTACACCAAAGAGTATAAACTTTACTGTATGCAAATTTTGAAGTATTTTTTAATCAGCTGTATAACATCTTAAATGAAGGCGCCTTAGCCCAACTCCCTACAGATTCTGATTCCATTGATCCAGAATGAGACCTGGGCAACTATGTTTTTTTAAAAAAGGCAATTGGTAATTCTGGTATAAAACTAGAATAAGAATCACATTCCTAACCTCACAAACGTACTCCTTGACTTCTGTTTTGTTTTGTTTTGTTTTGTTTTTGAGACGGAGTCTCGCTCTGTCGCCCAGGCTGGAGTGCAGTGGTGCTATCTCGACTCACTGCAACCTCCACCTCCCAGATTCAAGCAATTCTCCTGCCTCAGCCTCCCGAGTAGCTGGTACTACAGGCACGTGCCACCACGCCCGGCTAATTTTTTGTATTTTTAGTAGAGAAGGGGTTTCATCATGTTAGCCAGGCTGGTCTCCATCTCCTGAACTCGTGATCCGCCTGCCTCGGCCTCTCAAAGTGCTGGGATTACAGGAGTGAGCCACCGCGCTTGGCCCTCTCTCTACATCTTTACCACTTACTCCAATAATCCCAGTTCTTTCACCTCAATGAGACCTCCAATTTACAGCAATACTACCACTGTTCTTTCACCTCAGTAAGACCTCTAATTCCTCAAACTTAGTACTTTCTTTCTATCCCATACTGGTCTTCATTTCTCTCTCTCTCAACTAATACTATCATCTCTTTTGCTCTCTTATCCTCCCACTGTACCTGTCTGGCAAGACCCCGACTATAGCTCAATCCATTTTCATGCTTTTACTGCTCTCTCTCTCGGCTAATAAAGAGGGAAAAAGTTACATCATCTTCAATTGGTTTCACCAGTAATGGTCTCCAACCATAAGTGGACCCTCAAAACAATCCAAAAATCTTACCCTAAATTTACCTCTCTCCCATTCTTCACTATAAGCTACTTCAAAATCATATTCTACCTCCCTGAACCAGCCCTAAGTAACATATGTAGAACCAAAAACGGCAAACATAAAAGTATTATTCTTGTGTTAGGAAAAAGTCCCCAGTACTTCCAGCTTAATTAGCTGGTACTGGTAGTTTAGTATCCTAGAGATCATAAACTAGTAGATCAGAATTTGCCTTTAAGTTTCATTAGGAAGAAATAAAGACACTATTACTAATTCATGTTTCTGGTTTGCAGTTAACTCATTTAAGCTATATTTAGTTACTCATTTTGGTCAATCTACTGAAAAGAAATACTGTAAGGGATTTGCAATGCCCCCTAATTTCTCCTTCTCTGTCAACTTCTCACATTTGCTTTCTAAAAAATTCTTAATATTTACCTTCCAAATAGTAAATGCAATCTTCTACAAATATCTTTGATATGAAAATGCTCAGTTTAAGAAAAATGTTTCAGTCACATAAATCTTTGCTATATAGTATTGAGGGCATTTAAATACTAAGAACATAAATTATTATGTTAAATGTTGTCAGCCAAGTGTGGTGGCTCATGCATGTAATCCTAGCACTTTGGGAGGCCTACGCGGGCAGATCACTTGAGTCCAGGAGTTTAAGACCAGCCTAGGCAAATTAGCCATGCGTGGTGGCAGGTGCCTGTAATCCCAGCTATTTGGGAGGCTGAGGCAGGAGAATCGCTTGAACCCAGGAGGCAGAGTTTGCAGTGAGCCAAGATAATGCCACTGCACTCCAGTCTGGGTGACAGAGTGAGACTCCATCTCAAAAAAAAAAAAAAAAACATCCTAGGCAACATATGGAGAAACTGTCTCTACAAAAAATACAGCAATCAGCCGGGTATGGTGGTGTGTGCCTGTAGTCCCAGCTGTTTAGGAGGCTGAGGTGGGAGGATCACCTGAGCCCAGGATGTCGAGGCTACAGTGAGCCAAGATTGCACCACTGCACTCCAGACTGGGCAACAGAGTGAGACCCTGTCTCAAAAAAAAAAAAAGTGTCGAAGATGAACGATGTTATCAAAGACACAAAACAAACCTAAAATATTCCATCAGATATTAAATTCTGACTATCTGTTAAAGAACCAAGAAACAAGAAAAAAATCCCAAAGATATCTATTTGTGATAACTAGATATTATAAAAGGTTCAAAATACAAAATAAAACAAAATAATGTGATAATATATACTTCCTAAAATTCACAAATCTATTTTATTTTAGAGGAACAAAAAATGAAGTGAATTAGAACTATCTTGGATGTTAGGATATAATCTTAGATGCAGAATAATGCTTAGGAAAAAAAGACTAATCAAGCTAACCAAGGGGAAAACATTTATTTTAATTAAATCTTCAGCTTTTTGAAAGCCTAAAAATAAAATTATGGAAACAGGAAAAGAGAAAAAAGACAAAAAACATTTCATCTTTCTAAAAGGGAAAAAACTGACAGCTTTTACCAAGTTCATTTTAAAAGACAATGATTAAACAAAATTTCCCCCCAGCATCAGTGAGCTGCCACATCCAAATCCAAACTTCACTGACTATTTGGCATCCAGCATTGAATTACACAACAACTTTGCTCATGCATGGACAAATGCTATTTTTCCCCAGTGGAATGATTTCTCTGTAGTGTGCTCATTAGTAACACTAACCCCTTCCTATACCCCAACAACCAACTGCTTTGTGAGCTAAATCCCAATCCCAAATCAGACACTGTTGGCAAAACTAATCTCTGAATGAAAATGGTACAACAGCCAATCACAACGTAGAATTTGGATCGTATGTTACTGACGTTGAGAGAGAAAACTGTGCCATTTCCAGCAGGTAGTTTTAGTTGAGTTTCTTGGCTCAGCAAAATTAAACGATGATTTTATCTTTGGAGACACATATGATATTTTCATAAAATTATACTACTATTTCTCTCTGAAAATACATTTTTTAAAAACTGTTTCACAATCAAAATAAACAATTACTTCAACAACTAGAGTGTGGCGATTCCTCAAAGACCTAAAGGCAGAAATACTATTTGACCCAGTAATCTCACTACTGGGTATATACCAAAAAGAATATAAATCATCCTATTATTAAGATACATGCATGTGTATGTTCATTGCAGCACTATACACAATAGCAAAGGCACAAAATCAATCTAAATGCCCATCAATGATAGACTGGATAAAGAAAATGTGGTATATATACAGCATGGAATACTATGCAGCCATAAAAAGGAACAAGATAATGTCCTTTGCAGGGACATGGATGGAGTTGGAAGCCATTATCCTCAGCAAACTAACTTTGAGAGGCCAAGGCAGGAGGATCGCAGGAACAGAAAACCAAACACTGCTTATCCTCACTTATAAGTGGGAACTAAATGATGAGAACACATGGACAACATGGCAGGGAACAACACACTCTGGGGCCTGTCGCGGGGTGGTAGGGGGAGAGAGAGCATCAGGAGGAATAGCTAATGGATGCTGGGCTTAATACCTAGGTGATGGGATGATCTGTGTAGCAAATCACCATGGCACATGTTTACCTATGTAACAAACGTGCACATCCTGCACATGTACCCCTGAACTTAAAAGTAGAAGGAAAAAAACAATTAGAAGGGAACAATTAATTAAAAGTTAAAGGTTGACACATTTAGGTTGATATATTAGATTGATACATTAATGTGATTCTCCCTCTATATCTCTTTCCAAGTTGGAGACAGTTTCTTCAAGATTTCAATTCATTTTGATACCACCCACTCATATGATATAATTTGGGTAAATAGTTTCTTCAGTTAAAAGTTAATTGCTTTGAAGACTTCCCAAAATGCTGTTGATATTAATAATAAATTTCCTCCTGATAGCAATGAATTATATGTATATTTTTCATTTTTTATGGAGACAGGGTCTCGCTGTGTTACCCAGGATGGTATTGAACTCCCAGACTCAAATGATCCTCCTGCCTTGGCCTCCTAAAGCGCTGGGATTACAGGCGTGAGCCACCGTGCCCGACACAATGGATTAATTATATGTTCTAGGGCTTCTCCAGCTGGAGTATAGAATGAGTGGGCACGCATATACACTTACGTCATTCAAATAAATACTGTATTTGTTTCTTAGCATTGTTCACAAACACACAGATGAAATTAAACTTTTTTTTAAAAAACCTATCCTTTTCACACACTACTAATCATTGGTGAGTAAAAACTACCAAAGTAAAATCTCCTGGCTCAGCCAGGTAACCTAGCAGTGTAACTTTGGACAATCTGGTCCATTTATCTGTAAAATGGTTGATTATATCACCATAGTCTCTCTCATCTCTAATTTTTATGGACTTTTATATTCAGCCATCTGAAAGACAGTATACTAGGCAGATTTCACTGGAATACCAGAAATTTCGTAATATTCTGCTGGGTGCCACAAGTCATTCCTCACAGGTAAGCTAAATTAAATTAGAATCTAACAAAGTATTTCTGTGTGTTCTTAAAAAGAATAACTGGAACAAAAGAACAGCATTAATATATTTTTAGAAGGCAGTAATAAAACTGGCCAGGTGCAGTGGCTTACGTCTGTAATCCCAACACTTAGGGAGACGGGCAGGCCGATCACCCGAGGTCAACAGTTAGAGAGCAGCCTGGCCAACATGGTGAAATCCCAGCTACTTGGAAGGCTGAGGTGGGAGGATCGCTTGAACCTGTGAGGTGGAGGTTGCAGTGAGCACAGATAGTGTCACTGCACTCCATCCTGGGCAACAGAGCGAGACTCTGTCTTAAAAAAAAAAAAAAAGAAAGAAAAAAGAAGAGGAAGTCAATAACAAAACTGAAGAAAACTAAGATCAGATAAGTATTCAGGGAACTTCTCAACTCATTCTGTGAGGCCAGTCTTCCCGATACCAAAACCAGAAAAAGAAAACAAACAAAAAAAAAAAAAACAGGAGGAAAAAACTACAGGCCAATATCCTTTATGAACACGGACAAAAAAATCCTCAACAAAATACTAGCAAACCAACTCCAGCAACATATAAATAGGATTATATATCATGACCAAGCGAGATTTGCTTCCAGGAATGCAAGATTGGCTCAACAAACAAAAATCAATCAAGGTAACACACTGTATTAACAGAATAAAGGACAAAGACCAGCATAATCATCTCAACAGATGCAGAAAAATCATGTGACAAAATTAAACACCCTACCAGGTGCAGTAGCTCACATCTATAATCCTAGCACTTTGGGAGGCCATGGCGAGAGGACACCTTGAGGCCAAGAGTTCAAGACCAGCCTGGTCAACATTGTGAAACCCTGCCTCCACAAAAAAATAATAATTCAAAAATTAAACACCTACTCATGATAAAAATACTCAAAAACTAGATTAAAGGGAATTTCCTCACCTGATAAAGAGTATCTACAGAAAACCCACATCTAGCATCATAATTCATGATGACAAACTGAATGCTTTCCCCTACAATCAAAAACAGCACAAGGATGTCTGCTCTCACCACGTCTATTCAACACTATAATTAAGATTCTAGCCAGGGGCTGGGCGTGGTGGCTCATACCTGTAATCCCAGCACTTTGGGAGGCCGAGGCGGGTGGATCACCTGAGGTCAGGAGTTCAAGACCAGCCTGGCCAACATGGTGAAACCCCGTCTTTACTAAAAATACAAGAAATCAGCCAGGTGTGGTGGTGGACGCCTGTAATCCCAGCTACTCAGGAGGCTGAGGCAGGAGAATCACTTGAACCCAGGAGGGGGAGGTTGCAGTGAGCTGAGATCACACCATTGCACTCCAGCCAGGGCAACAAGAGGGAAACTCCATCTCAAAAAAAAAAAAAAAAAAGATTCTAGCCAGGGCTATTAGGGAAGTAAAATAAATAAAAAGCATCCAGAGAGAAAAGGAAAATGACGATCTCTATTTGCATACTCAATCATAAGAAATACTCAAAAAACTACTAAAGCTAATAAAAGAGTTCAACAAGGTTGCAGAATACAAGGAATATGCAAAAATCAAGAGTATTTCTACACACTAGCAATGAACAATCCAAAAATGAAATGTAAAAAAAATCCCATTCCAACAAGCACATGAAAAAGATACTCAGCATCATTAGTCATTAGGAAAATGCAAATCGAAACCACAGTGACATACTACCTCACATCCACTAGGATAGCTATAATCAAAAAGATACATAACGAACAAGTCTTGGTGACAATGTGGAAAAAGTGAAACCATAACACACTGCTGTCATGAAAGTAAAATATGACCCAGTAATTCTACTCTTACATGTATACGCAACAGAACTGAAAACTAAGTTCACATGAAAACTTGCAATGAATGTTCATGGCAGCATTATTCAAAATAGCTAAATGTGGAAACAACCCAAATATCCATTAACTGGTGAATGGGAAAACAAATATCCACAGAGTGGAATATTGTTTAGCCATAAAAAGGAATGAAGTAATGATACATACCACAATTGGATAAACCTTGAAAACATTATGCTAAGTGAAAGAAGTCAAACACAAAAGGCCATATACCATGTCATTCCATTTACATGAAATGTCCATAATAGGCAAACTTATAGAGACAGAAAGTAGATTAATAGTTGCCACAGACTGAGGCTAAGAAGAATGGGGAATGACTTTTTCTTTTTTTTGAGACAGGATCTTACTTATCCACCCAGGCTGGAGTGCAGTGGCACTATCATAGCTGACAACCTCAAACTACTGAGTTCAAGCGATCCTCCCACATTGGCCTTCCAAGTAACTGGGACTACAGGCACACGACACCATGCTTAGCTAATTTTTTTTTATTTTTGTAGAGACAGGGTCTCGCTAAATTGCCCAAGCTGGTCTTGAACTCCTGGCTTCAATTGATCCTCCCACCTCAGTCTCCCAGAGCTGGGATTATGGGCATGAGCCACCCCACCCAGCCTAGAGTGACTCTTGATGGTTACAGGACTTCTTTTGGGGTGATAAGAATGTTCTGGAATAAGATAGTTGTAATAGTTGCACAACTATTTGACTATATTAAAAACCACTGATGTGGTTAAAAACACTTTTAAAAGGTGGATATATGGCATGTGAATTATATCATAACAGAAAAAGTAGTCAAAGGTACTTTCAAAATTCTACCTAATTTAAAACAGAATTTTATCAGATCTTTTTAAGTTGTAATAAAACACAAAAATACATACACAAAGATCAATCAGAGAGAATTAGATGTTTCAATTCAGGACTTACTTCAACCTAGTACAATTTTTTATATGACAGAAAAACTACCTGGTTCTAATCTCTGGCTGCTCCTTTTTAGATTCCTTGGAATGCAAGGTTGGTTTTCCCTCAGGCTTTTCTTCCTCCACCACTGCTTTTTACCCCTCCCAAATTCCCTTATTTTTCCCCAGGGGTTCCATCTCCTAACATATTTTGTATCTTTATGAACTTTATACAGGAGGAATCTTTCCACAGCATTTCATTCTGCATTACATCTTTAGATTAATTTATGTTGATACAAGTAGGTATTTTTATTTTCTCACCGTTCTCTACCATTACATGAATATTCTATAATTTCTTCATTTTCTTAATGATGGACATTTCAGCTGCTTGTAGTTTTCTGCTTTTACAAACAATGTTGCTATGAACTTAACGGTACTTGTCCCAGGTACAAACTCTTGTCCATCTTCTAGAGTTTCCCTAGGGTATACACTTTACTAGATATTGCTAAGTTGCTCTCTACAATGAGGTTCTAGTTGATACTCCACTGTCCACTTAAGTATAAGAGAGTTTTCCTTATTCTACATCCTCACCAAAATGGTGAGTGTAAAATATTATTCCATTGAAGTTTTAATTTGCATTTCCATGGCTACTAAAGAAGTTGAACACCTTTTCATGTCTGCAGGACATTTGTATTTCATCTTCTATGAATTTCCAATCTACTGTCTTATTATTATTACTGGTTGGTAAAATATTCTTCATATATCCTGATTATTAATCCTTTTTAGTTATTTTTCCTGCAAATATTTTCTCCCAGATGGGTTATCTATCTCATGCTGAATTTCAATAACTGTACATTTTTTATTTTAATCTAGACATATTTATCAATCTTTTTCTTTTACAGTTCAAATTTCAAGTCTTGTTGAAGAAATCCTTTCTACCTTCCCTGCCCTAGTATCATAAAAACATTCTCCCACTTTTTTCTAAAAGTTTAACTTTTCACATTAACATCTTTAATCATCACATACATTTTTTAATATGGTAAGTAGAAATCTCATTTTATTTTCCATATAAATAACCAATTGTTCCATTATCATTTACTGTTTAGTCAGTCCATCATCTCCTTACTCATCTTCAATGCTCACTGTCATGTATTAAGTTTCTTTATATTCGGGGGTTCTATTTCTGGGCTCTTTATTCTTCCCAGAGGTTGGTCTATCCTGTGCCAATACCACATTGCCTTAAATATTAATAATATGGCTTTATAAATAATGCTATGTGAAAGACTAAGTGCTCCTTCCTAATTTTTCTTGACAGTTTACTCTCCTACATACATTTTAGAGCTTGTCAAGTTATATGAAATACCCTGTCATTATATTAAACAGAAGTGTATTGAACTTATAAATTAATTTGGAAAGAACTGACATGTTTATGTCACTGGGTCTTCCTATCAGTTAATATGGTATCCCAATTACATCTCTTCTCATGTCTTTTAATGGAAATTGTATACTTTTCAACATAAAAAGTCATGTGCATCTTTTGCTGATTTTGTTCACTGGTACCTTTCAATTGTTGTCATTGTAGCTGTTGCTGCTATAATGAGTATCTTTTTAAAAATATATTTTGTAGGCCAGGAACTGTGGCTCATGCATGTAATCCTAGCACTTTGGGAGGCTGAGGTAGGCTAGGAGTTCAAGACTAGCCTAGTCAACATGGCAAAACACTGTCTCTACTAAAAATACAAAAATTAGCTGGGTGTGGTGGCACATCTGTAATCCCAGCTACTCGGGTGGCTGAGGCATGAGAATCGTCTGAACCCAGAAGGCAGAGGTTGCAGCAAGCTGAGATCACACCACTGCACTCCAGCCTGGGAAACAAAGCAAGACTCCGTCTCAAAAAAAAAAAAAAAAAAAAATTTGTAAAAACATCCCAAGTGCGCTGGGCGTGGTGGCTCACGCCTGTAATCCCAGCACTTTGGGAGGCTGAGGTGGGCGGATCACAAGGTCAAGAGATGGAGACCATCCTCACCAACATGGTGAAACCCCATCTCTACTAAAAATACAAAAAAAGTAACTGGGTGTGGTGGCATGCGCCTGTAGTCACAGCTACTCGGGAGGCTGAGGGAGGCTGAGGCAGGAGAATCGCTTGAACCTGGAGGCGGAGGTTGCAGTGAGCCCAGACCACGCCACTGCACTCCAGCCTTGCAACACAGCAAGACTCTGTTTCAAAGAAGCAAACAAACAACAACACAAAAAAAACCCAAATGTCCACCAACAGATGACTGAATAAACAAAATGTGGTCTATATGTACAATGCGGTATTATTCAGCCATAAAAATGAGTAACGTTCTGATACATGCCGCAATATGGATGAACACCAACATTATGCTAAATGAAATAAGAAGACACAAAAGGACAAATATTGTATGATTCAATTTACATGAAATATCTAGAATAGGCAAATTCATACAGGAAGTTGAACAGAATTTACCAGGAGCTGAAAGTGAAGGGAGAATGAGGGAGTTATTGCTTAATGGTTATAGAGTTTCTATATGGAAGATGAATACAGCTGCACAACACTGTAAAAGTAATTAATGCCACTGAATTGTACACTTCAAACAGTTAAAATGAAAAATTTTGTCATTCGTATTTTATAACTTTAAAAAATTAACAATGTAATGTATCAAAACATTGAATTGTATACTTTTTTTTTTTTTTTTTTTTTTTTGAGACGGAGTCTCGCTGTCGCCCAGGCTGGAGTGCAGTGGCGCAATCTCGGCTCACTGCAGGCTCCGCCCCCTGGGGTTCACGCCATTCTTCTGCCTCAGCCTCCCGAGTAGCTGGGACTACAGGCGCCCACCACCTCGCCCGGCTAATTTTTTGTATTTTTAGTAGAGACGGGGTTTCACCGTGTTAGCCAGGATGGTCTCGATCTCCTGACCTCGTGATCCGCCCGCCTCGGCCTCCCAAAGTGCTGGGATTACAGGCGTGAGCCACAGCGCCCGGCCTGAATTGTATACTTAAAATTGGTGATTTGTATGGTATGTGAATTATATCTCAATAAAGCTTTTTAAAAATTACATTTGTTATCTGCTACTTGTATAAAGGAATCCAACTGTATAGTGGTCTTGGATCCAACAACCTTATTTCATATATATCAGCAAATTATCTTTAGCTTTTTATACAGTATTTATCTTAGAATAACCCATTAAATACTTAAATGAGAATGAGAATGTTTCTTCTTTTTCTTGATTTAGGAAGAATTTATATGAAATTATGATTGTCTATAAATGTTTGGTAGAACTCATTTATAAATCTATATGGGCCGGATTAAGATGGCTACTAAAAGAAAAAAGAAAGAAAAGAAGAGTGTTGGTAAGGAAGTGGAGTAACTGGAACCCTTGAGCACTGTTGGTGAGATTGTAAAATGGTGCAACTGCTATGGAAAACAGTATGGAGGTTCCTCAAAAAAAATTTTTAAAATACCATATGATCCAGCAATCCTTCTTATTCTGGGTATATATCTTAAAAAAAAAAAAAAAAAAAAAAAAAAAACCTGAAAGCAGAGTCTCAAAGAGACATTATAGTAGCAGACCTATGTTCACAGGAGCACCATTCACAATAGCTAAGAGGTGGAAGCAACCCAAAGTCTATCAACAGATTAATGGATAAACAAAATGTGGTATATACATAAAGGGAATATTATTCAGCCTTAAAAAGGAAGAAAATCCTTTCATATGCTACAATATAACTGAAACTTGAAGACATTATACTGAGTGAAATAAGCCAAAGACAAATATTGCATGATCCCACTTACTTATACGAGGTAACTGAAGTAGACAAAATCATAGAAACAAAGTAAAGGTTGGTTACCAGGGGTTGCGTGATAGGGGAAACGACGAGTCACTGTTTAATGGGTACAGAGTTTCAGATGTGCAAGATGAAATCTGGAGATCTGCTTCAAAACAATGTTAATATGCTTAGTATCACTTAACAATACACTTGAAAATGGTTATGATGGGCCAGGCACGGTGACTCACACCTGTAATCCTAGCACTTTGTGAAGGCAGACTGCCTGAGCTCCAGAGTTGGAGACCAGCCTGGGAAACATGGTGAAACCCCGTCTTTACTAAAATACAAAAAATTGGCCAGGCACAGTGGCAGGTGCCTGTAATCCCAGCTACTCAGGAGGCTGAGGCACGAGAATTGTTTGAACCCGGGAGGTGGAGGTTGCATGAGCCAAGACCGTGCTACTGCACTCTAGCCTGGGCAACAAGAGCGAGACTCCGCCTCAAAAAAAGTTTATGATGGTATTATTTATTTATTTACTTATTTACAGACAGAGTCTTGCACTGTTGTCCAGGCTTAAGTGCAATAGCACGATCTCGGCTCACTGCAACCTCCACCTCCCAGGTTCAAGTGATTCTCCTGCCTCAGCCTCCCAAGTAGCTGGGATTACAGGTGCCTGCCACCACGCCCAGCTAATTTTTTGTATTTTTAGTACAGATGGGGTTTCACCATGTTGGCCAGGCTGGTCTCAAACTCCTGACCTTGTGATCCACCTGCCTCGGCCTCCCAAAGTGCTGGGATTACAGGCATGAACCACCACGCCCGGCCATGATGGTATATTTTATATTATGTGAAGGTCTTTTTTTTGTTGTTTTTTTGAGATGGAGTCTCACTCTTTTGCCCAAGCTGGGGTGAAGTGACGTGATCTCAGCTCACTGCAACCTCTGCTCCCCGGGTTCAAGCAATTCTCCTGCCTCAGCCTCCTGCATAGCTGGGATTACAGGATGCACCACCATGCCTGGCTAGTTTTTTTTGTATTTTTAGTAGAGGCAGAGTTTCACTATGTTGGCCAGGTTGGTCTCAAACTCCTGACCTCAGGTGATCCACTCGCCTCGGACTTCCAAAGTGTTGAGATTACAGGCGTGAGCCACCACGCCTGGACATGAAGTTTTTTAAAACTGCAATGATAAAAAAAAGGAAATCGTACGGGCCTAGAATTGTTCTGGTAGATTTTTTAAATCACTAATTAAATTTCTTTTATGGTGACAAAATTAAAAAGATTTTCAACTTCTTTTCAAGTCAGTTTTGGTAAGATTTGCTTAGTTATTTTTAAAAAGTGCTTTCCCTATTAAAGCTATCTTTTCATAGCTCACTAAATTGTCTAATATTTAATTCTGTGTAGTTACCATGTAAATCCTATCAGAAAGTATCAAATACCCATTTGAAGCCATAATCCATTAAATGAAACATCTACAAACGAGACAGATTACAATCATAAGAATTTGCACCAAAGCAGCAGTTGCATTACCACAGTTCTATCTTCACCTTCACAATGTTTCCCTTGGTTGAAAATGCACTAATGGCCAGGCACAGTGGCGCACACCTGTAATCCCAGCACTTTGGAAGGCTGAGGCAGGTGGATCATTTGAGGTCAGGAGTTCGAGACCAGCCTGACCAACATGGAGAAACCCTGTCTCTACTAAAAATTACAAAAAAATTAGCTGGGCATGGTGGCAAGCGCCTGTAATCCCAGCTACTCAGGAAGCTAAGGCAGGGAACTTGAACCCGGGATGTGGAGGTTGCAGTGAGCCAAGATTGCGCCACTGCACTCCAGCCTGGGTGACAGAGTAAGACTCCATCAAAAAAAAAAAAAAAAAAAAAAAAACACACACTAAGTCATCTCCAAGTTCAAAGCATTCTGCAAACAATCGCAAGGCAGAGCCACCAGAAACATACACCTGATTTTCATGACAAATACAGTAATGCTGTATTAGCTAGTGGAGCCACTTTCTCTATTGCTGTATGGACTTATGTAGCAACTCAAATTGGAATAGAATGGAACCTGTCCCCTGATGGGAGAGTCACTCCGAAGGAATGGAGAGATCAGTAATCATCCCAGCTGGTGTAATACTGAATTGTTTAAAAAACAGCTCATCAGCTGGGCACGGTGGCTCACACCTGTAATCCCAGAACTTTGGGAGGCCGAGGAGGGCAGATCACGAGGTCAAGTTCGAGACCAACCTGGCCAACATGGTGAAACCCCGTCTCTACTAAAAATACAAAAATTAGCTGACATGGCGACTTGCACCTGTAATCCTAGCTACTTGGGAGGCTGAGGCAGGAGAATCGCTCGAACTGAACCCAGGAAGCGGAGGTTACGGTAAGCCAAGATCACGCCACTGCACTCCAGCCTGGGTGACAGAGTGAGACTCTGTCTCAAAACAAAACAAAACAAAAAACAGCTCATCAGCTGGAAACAGTGGCTCATGCCTATAATCCTAGCACTTTGGAAGGCTGAGGCAGGTGGATCACCTGAGGTCAGAAGTTCGAGACCAGTCTAGCCTGGCCAACACAGCGAAACCCCATCTCTACTAAAGATAGAAAAATCAGTAGGGTGTGGTCACGGGTACCTACAATCCCAGCTACTCAGAAGGCTGAGGCATGAGAATCGCTTGAACCCCGGGGCTGGGGTGGAAGGGGGAGGTGGGGGCAGAGGTTGCAGTGAGCCAAGATTGCGCCACTTCACTCCAGCCTAGCCAAAAGAGCAAAACTCCGCCTCAAAAAAATAAATTAATTAATTAAATAAAAAACAGCTCATAATTGAAGCCAAGTAAAAGCACTGTGTACCCATTAAGATATGGCATAAATGAAGAAATAAAGTATATTTGAAACCTTCAAAAAAATTACAATGATGACTGCTTCTTGTGGAAATTAACTTACACATGGCAATTATAGGCATCTCAAATATAAAAACTGATGAATAATAAATCCACATACAGCATTCCCTATTTTAACCTTGAGTACAGGGCAATCATTTGTTTATTTATTTATTTATTGAGACACAGTCTTGCTCTGTTGCCCAGGATGGAGTACAATGGACGACTATGGCTTACTGCAGCCTTGACCTTCCAGGCTCAAATGATCCTCCCACCTCAGCCTCCCTAGCAGCTGGAACTACAGGTGCATGCCACCACACCCAGCTAATTTTGTGTGTGTGTGTGTAGAGACAAGTTTTCGGTATGTTGCCCAGGCTGGTCTCAAAATCCTGGGCTCAAGTGGATAGACCCACCTTGGCCTCCCAAAGTTCTGGGATTACAGGCATAAGCTATCATACCAAGCCTCAACCATTAAATCCTTTCTGATATATTCTTGATGATTATCTCCCTGCCCCCTCAAAAATCTCAATCTTTGGTTTCAATGGTTTTTAGTAGTTATTTCAAATTGCTTTTCTTCCACTAACCATAGTAAAAAATAATAATCAAATATAAACGACTTAGCAGAAAAATAACTTTAGATAATGGATGGATAGATACATTATATTTACACTTTAAATATATTCTAGAAGGCCTATCAAGGAGTTCATGACTCAACTTGGAAAGTTAGTTGGAACTCATATTTCTTCCATTCCTTCCAAAGCAATCTTAAATGATACCCCAGGGATCAGCAAATAATGTTGAGTCCTTTATGATATCCACAGATTGATTGCCTTAGTCTTTTTTTTCTTTTTTTGACAGAGTTTCACTCTTGTTGCCCAGGATGGAGTGCAATGGCGTGATCTCGGCTCACTGCAACCTCTGCCGCCTGGGTTCAAGCAATTCTCCTGCCTCAGCCTCCCAAGTAGCTGGGATTACAAGCACGTGCAACCACGCCTGGCTAATTTTGTATTTTCAGTACAAACGGGGTCAGGCTGGTCTCAAACTCCTGACCTCAGATGATCCACCCGCCTCAGCCTCCCAAAGTGCTGGGATTACAGGCGTGAGCCACCGTGCCCGGCTGCCTTAGTCTTTTAAAAACAATAAGCAGCTCATGCCTGTAATCTCAACACTTTGGGAGGCCAAGGCGAGTGGATCACTTGAGGTCAGGAATTCCAGACCGGCCTGGCCAACATGGTGAAAGCCTACTAAAAATACAAAAATTAGCCAGGCATGGTGGCAGGTGCCTGTAATCCCAGCTACTCCGGAGGCTGAGGCATGAGAATTGCTTGAACCTGGGAGGTTGCAGTAAGCCTAGATTGCACCACTGAGATCATGCCACTGCACTCCAGCCTGGGTGACAGAGTGAGACTCTGTCTCAAAAAAATAAAATAAAAAAGCAAGACTTTTTATCTAAGCAAAGGCTCCAGATACATGAGATACTAGACTATTACAGAGTACTATTATTTTTTTAATATGGAAAGGAATAAATCAAAGAGACCAGGAAGCGGAGGTTACAGTGAGCCAAGATCACGCCACTGCACTCCAGCCTGGGTGACAGAGCGAGACTCCATCTCAAAACAAAACAAAACAAAACAAAAACAGAAACACAGCTTTCTATATGACTGTATCATCATTTACTTAAAAAGACCATCCTACCTATCCTTCACAGTCCAAGTTCAAATATGATTATCTCCAAAGTCTTTCTTCGACTCTAGCCTACATCTTTCTTTTGAACTTCTCTAGCACTTGGTATCACTCTTTGCAACTTGCAAAGTTAGTTGGAATCCACTATTTAGATAATTCATACTTAGTTATCTATTGCTTATATTGTTACTCTCCTTTGAGTGTGCTTTTTTAACTAAAAATTAAAATTAGAGCAATATGTGAGAAAAATATTAATACTACATAGATAAAACAATGCCTGACACAGTAACTATTCCATAAATTATAATAGTTCTCTTTGCCATTTACCAAATCTGTGACCCTGAACAATTCACCCTTACTAAAGCTCATTTTCTTCACCTATAAAGAAGAACTAATAATCTCTGTCAAATAATTGTCTTCATGTGAATAGGTGTGACCAATACAATGGTTTTGTATCTTTTCATCATTATGCCCTAAACAATCTCTTGAATATTACAGTTATTACTAACCCTTTGTACAATATACAGCACTTTTATTACCTTAACATTATAAAATAAGTACTTTTATAAACTCTTCATAAACATAAATGTTAATAGCAGAAACACAGCTTTTTATATGAATGTATCATCATTTACTTAATTATTCACTTAATGTTGAACATCACCCACTCTCTTGCCAGGATCTCTCCAGCTCCCTATGGTTCTTTTGCCACACTAGCTAGTAAATCTCTGAACGAGGAGGATCAATCCAACTGCCTGCTTCCTCTATTCCCATACCACAGCTACTGAGTCCTGCTGAAGAAAATCATAACAGGTTAGGAATTCATTCCACTACAAATTTACAGTTTCTAATCCTAACTGAGATTACTATCCTGTTGGTAATTCATCCACATGCCTCAGGATCAGTGACCTTTTCCATCCCAGACAGTAATCAATGGGTACTCTAAATCTCAAGCCAAACACTCTATACATCTCTTCTCTCACAATTGCCCTTTACCAGAAAAAATAAATCTGACCTCACCCCATTTTCCAGCCTACACTCTTCGTCATACCCATATCCTTCATTCTAAATGTTAGGCAAAGGTTTATCTCCTCCTTCCCTGAGCTAGCACAGTAATCCCTTCTTGCCTCCACACCCACCACCTTCCTGTTCCATCAAATCACACAGCCCTAAATATTCAGTCTTAACTCTATTCTACTCCACCAAAACATAACACATGCTTAACTTTCATCTTCAAAAAAATTATGTTTCTCGGCCAGGCGCGGTGGCTCACGCCTGTAATCCCAGCACTTTGGGAGGCCAAGGCGGGCGGATCACGAGGTCAGGAGATCGAGACTATCCTGGCTAACACGGTGAAACCGTGTCTCTACTAAAAATACAAAAAATTAGCCGGGCATGGTAGTGAGCGCCTATAGTCCCAGCTACTGGGGAGGCTGAGGCAGGAGAATGGCATGAACCCGGGAGGTGGAGCTTGCAGTAAGCCAAGATCACGCCACTGCACTCCATCCAGCCTGGGTGACAAAGCGAGACTCTGTCTCAAAAAAAAAAAAAAAAAAAAATTATGTTTCTCTGCTCTACTTCTCTAACTACCTCTTACTTTTGCTTCACAGCAAGTTTTCTAAAAATGGTCTACATTTGCAGTCTGTTTTCTCACCTCCCAGTTACTCTTCTATTGGAATTTGGCTTCTACCCTAATCACTACATAAATATGTATCTTGTTAAGGTTGTCTCAATAGCAAAGTCCAGCAGTAGCTTTTGTATCATTATTTCACTTAATCACTTTAAATTGTACACTGTTAGCCATTTTTTCCTTCTTGAAAAATCTCTACCCGGCTTACCAGAGACCAATGTGCTGGTTTTTTGTTTTGTTTTTTTTTGAGATGGAGTCTCCGCCTGTTGCCCAGGCTGAAGTACAGTGACGCAATCTCAGCTCACTGCAACCTCTGCCTCCTGGGTTCAAGCGATTCTCCTGCCTCAACCTCCCGAGTAGCTGGGATTACAGGCGCCCGCCAACACCCCCGGCTAGTTTTTTTGCCTTTTTAGTAGAGATGTGTTCACCATATTGGCCAGGCTGGTCTCGAACTTCTGACCCCATGATCCGCCCACCTCAGCCTCCCAAAGTTCTGGGATTACAGGCGTGAGCTACCACGCCCGACCAATCTCCTGGTTCTTTTCCACCCTTCTCTGCTTCTTTTGAGTTTCAAATCTAACCATAATGGTTTAGCACACTATGTTTCAAGAGTTCCACCACCACATACAGGATAAAGTTCAAACTCTTCAGCATGGCATAGAAGGCCCTACATGGTCCAGTCTCTGCTTACTCTTCCAAGCTCATTTTCCTATTACTTTCCCACAGGCACCTTTCACCCTAGATACACCAATACCTGCAGCTCATCCAAACACACAACTCTTTCTCATGCCTTTGCACATATCCTGTACCTCATAAAATGCCCATCCCTATCTCTTTTACCAACCTGCCTCATCCACTTTTTTTTTTTTCTTTTTGAGATGGGGTCTCACTCTGTTGCCCAAGCTGGAGTGCAGTGGCACGATCTCAGCTCACTGCAACCTCTACCTCGCAGGTTCAAGTGATTCTCCTGGCTCAGCCTCCCGAGTAGCTGAGACTACAGGCACATGCCACCAGGCTTGGCTTTTTTTTTTTTTTTTTTTTTTTAGTAGTAGAGTTGAGGTTTCACCATGTTGGCCAGGCTGGTCTCGAACTCCTGACCTCAAGTTATGCACCCACCTTTGCCTCCCAAAGTGCCGAGATTACAGGTGTGAGCCACCAGGCTCAGCCTGAGCCACCACGCCCAGCCCAGCTACTTTTTTTTTAAGACTCAAATTATGCATGTTTTTTTCCATGAAACTTTCCCTCATATTCTCAGGCCTTGTTAAGTAATACCTCTTCTTTGATTCTACAGAGCTCTTCTCAACCTTCTAATCTAAAGTTTAGTGATTATAGTTTAGTTGTTGAACCCTATCTTTGTACTCAAAGACTATGAGCTCCTTTAGGGCACATATTTTCTTACCCATCTTTGTATCTCCAGTGCCAAGTGTTTCACACATAGAAGCCATTCAATAAATATTTGTTGAATTACTGCTTGAGATGGTCAGCATTTAGGCTTACCATAGAGAGGAAGTGAAGATCCAAGAAGTAATTATGCTGAACAGCAGTGGAATTTTACTGAGACACAAAATGAAAAAAAGCGGAGGGGGGAGGGTCAGCCTGGGAACAGAAAAAGTTGGTTTTTTTTTTTTAATTTTCCCATAGAAAAAGTTGAAATGACCCATAAAAAAAGAAAGATGGTCACTCACACTTGCTACATTGCTTCTCTTGTCCCAAGATTTTACCCATCCTGATCTTAGAGCCAAACATACTAGAGCCAAGTAGCCTCTAGCAAGTAAGATACGTAGCTGCCTCTAACAAAATCTCTAGCACAAGCTCTACACATTTCCCTATTACTATATCACGAAAACACTGACCTTCACAAAAGATGTATAGAGTACCTGCTATATGCCAGATACTGGGTGTTATTTCATTACATATATATGTGAATATATATATATGGGCACATAAATATTATAATTCTTATTTAAAAATCCTTGTGAATTAAGTATTATTACTTCCATTTTATATGACAACCATTCAATGTCACATAGTTGGTAAGCAGACCAAATTCAAACCAGTCTTCTAACAATACTTCTTCCTCTCAAGGCAGCATGTACACAAAGCTTCTCAGAAACCCAAAACATGCCCCACCGCTGCCTTCTTACCTCTGGGGGTAAGAAGGGGAATATAATTAGAAAAGGGCATGTTTTAGGCTCCATGCAGTGCTCATACCTGTAACCCCAGCACCTTGGGAGACTGAGGCGGGCAGATCACTTGAGGCCAGGAATTCAAGACCAGCCTGGCCAACATGATAAAACCCCATCTCTACTAAAAATACAAAAATTAGCCGCGTGTAGCTGTGTGCACCTGTAATCCCAGCTACTCAGGAGGCTGAGGCATGAGAATTGCTTGAACCCAGAGGCAGAGATTGCAGTGAGCTGAGATCACACCACTGCACTTCAGCCTGGGTGACAGAGCCAGACTCTGTCTCAAAAAAAAGGGTGGGGGGGCATGTTTTGGGTCTCTGAGAAGCTGGCTATCTATAAAATCTTTATCTAGGTGGTGGTTAAGTAGCTGTTCAATTTATATGAAGTCAACAAACTGTATGTTTATGTTTCCTACACTTTTTAGTATTATTGTATTTCACAAAAAGAAAGTTAAGTCACCATATCAGTGAGGCCTCCTCTGACTACCCAAAATAAAATAGCAATTCCATCTCTGTCCTCCATCCCCCTTAAGCCAGTAGTTGTTTTCTCTATAATATTTATCTCCACCTAACATACTATATATTCACTTCTTATTTATTGTCACATGTCCTCCTACGTAAAACAAGGACTTTGTTTTGTTCACTGTGATATGCCATGGAAAGAGAACCTGAAATAAAATACACCTTTACACCTTTCTTCAGGTTCCTATAATCCTAAAAAAGAATGTGAAACATTGTTTTTGGTTTTTTATAAAAATGGGATCTTATTATACACATTTCTTTATAACTTGTTTGTCTTACTCTACAATCTATTACAGACATCCCTCCAGGTAAATACATACAGACTTATAACACATTCTCTGAGTTGCGAAATATTCCACAGTACAGGTAAATGACAATTTATACTTCCTACTATTGATGGATATTCAGGCTGTTTTTAGTAGCAAATATTGGAAACATTATAAAAATATCCATACATATACCTTTATATGTTGATACTTTTATTTCTACAGAACAGATTCCCAGAAGAGCTATTTTACTATATATTGACAAACTTTCCAAAACAGCTGCAGCAATTCACATCTCCACCAATAGTGAAGCTAATTCATGAATCTTAAGAGTTAATTTTCTTATAATTTATACACTTGCTTTCAAAAAGGATGAGGCAGTTTAAACATCTGAAAACTAAAAATTACTTTAGCAACTAAAACCTGGAAGCATTCCATTCTCACTGTGATCTCTCCCCCACCCTACGAACTCAGTAATATCTGATTTACTATCATCCGCTCTAGTCCCCAAACCTAGAAGTAGCAGAAGCCACTCTCCTCTCCTGCCCAAGTGAAGCCTAAGAGAAAAAGAATCCCACCAAAAGGAGAGAACCTGGGCCATTTCACCATTCCCTCATTTTTATGTAAGAGGCCATATAATCCAAATCTGTCCTTCTTCCTCAACTTGCTTCTCTTGGTTTATACTACCACCATCTACCAAGCTAGAAAACCAAAAGTCATTCTAGATTATTTCATTTTCCTCAGAATAGCCTCGAAGCCCACCAATCCTACTTTTTAAACAACTCTACTATTCATTCTCACTGCTACAATCTTAGCCTTAGGCTTTCATAACATCTTTCTTCTGTACTAAAATAGCCTCCTAACCAGTTTTCCTTCTTTAATCTTATTCTCCTCCAATCTATTTTTTACCTTACAGCCACTGTACTCTCTTCCCTACTTAAAACCAATCAGTGGCTTCCCAAATGCCTGCAGGATAAAATTCAACCCCTAAATATAGCCTTCGGGGCCTTTCATGATCTGGACCGCACCTAGTGGTCCAGATTCATCTAATACCACTTCCTATCTCTCAATTTTTTTTTTTTTTTTTTTTGAGACAAGGTTATGCTCTGTTGCCCAGGCTGGAGTGCAATGACCCAATCATAGTTCACTGCAGCCTCCTGGGCTCAAGGAATCCTCCCACTTCAGCCTCCCAAGTAGCTGGGACTACAGTCATGTGCCACCACACCCAGCCAGATTTTTTTTAAAGAGATGGGGGTCTCACTATGTTGCCCAGGCTGGTATCAAACTCCTCAGCTCAAGAGATCCTCCCACCACAGCCTCCCAAAGTGCCAGAATTATAGGCATGAGCCACCATGCGCAGGCCACGTCCTATCTCATACATTGTCTTCAACAAAACTTAAGGTGTTTTAATAACTTTATGCATTTATTCAGGCTGTTACGTCTCCTACTCCACCAGTAAACCAATCATTCCCTATTTCATTTATATATTCTTCTATTGCTATACTTTGACATTCATTCAATCAATATTTACTGAATACTTTGTATGTGCCAGAGACAGGGCTAGGTATTGAAGATCCAGCAACTAATTATGGACTCAGTCCTTATCCTGATGGAATTTATAATTTAATGAGGACTAAAGACACTAAACGATAATAAGTATGGTTAAGGATTATAAAGGTGGTAGGTAGTACAGTATCTATTAAAAATATATCTTAGATGACAGGAGAAAGAGAAGGAATTATAAAGAGGAGCGATGCATGGGTATATTTACAGATATGTCTTTCATAATTACAGTCTGAGCTTCTTGAGGACAGGGATTATGTAATCTTCATATCCCTAGCCAGGACAGTAAACAGCAACGTATAGTAACGTACACTGACTAAACTACAAAGATCACTGCCCTATTCACTCCTGGGCTGATCACTGTGACTATGCAAGTGCTCTCATTGACGAGGCCTAGATCACGTGCCCACCCTTAAACCAATGGGTTAGGCCAACCACCCAAGCCACATCATTCCAAATGAAGGAGGAGTGGTTCCAAGAGAAAAATCAGGAAGTTCTTACCTAAATAAGAGGGAAGAGGGAAGAGAAAGTAGATATGCAAAAAAACCAGCAGTCCTCTCTTCAGTGGACATTGTTGTTATCTTCCAAAACATCTTACCGCCTCCCCTCACTGGTAAAAAGTTTAAGTGGGATTGACCCCTTCCTCAGCTCCAGAAGTAGGCCCTGATTTGACATAACAGTGGTTCTTAAAGTGTGGTTTGTGACCAGCAAAATCAGTAACATCTGGGAACGTGTTACAAATATAACTTCTTGGAACCAAGCCTACGGAACCTACTCAACTAGACATTTTGGGGGTAGGACCTAGCAATTTGTGTGTTTTGTTTTTGTTTTTTGAGATAGCATCTTCTCTGTCATCTAGGCTGGAGTGCAGTGGCATAATCACAGCTCAGTGTAGCCTCGACCTCCCAGGTTCAAGCAATCCTCCCATCTCAGCCTCCCAAGTAGCCGAGACTACAGGCATACACCACCAAGCCTCACTAATTTTTTTTTTTTTTTTTTTTTTTGGTAGAGACAGAGTTTCACCATGTTGCCCAGGCTGATCTTGAATTCCTGGACTCACGTAATCCTCCCGCCTGGTCCTCCAACAGTGCTGGGATTACAGGCATGAGCCACAGTGCCTGGCTGCAATCTGTAATTTAACAAGTCCTCCAGGTAGTTCTAATGCACACTCAAGTTTAAAAGCCACTGGTCTAGACACAGAAAGCTACCCAGATTTTAAGACAGTGATCCTTTGGAGCACAAGATGGTTCAATTAGTGTCAAGCTTAGGATTTTGCACTGTATTTGTAGGAAGCATCTACTTTCTCTCCAGGAATGAGGAAACATACAAAGGCAGCCATCTTGTACTACTGGGGAAGCCCGTTTGAGAAAAAAAAGCTAATACAGGGTAAAGCCAAGAGAATTATAGAAAAACAGGGCCAAAGCCTGTACCCTTCATCAAACCATGCCAGGGGCCCTCACTCCCTTTGGTCTTTTCAATTACATAAGCGTATGTAATTCAAATTCAAATTCCCTTTGTTTTAACTAATTTGAGTTGCATTTTCTGTTATCAAAACTGAAAGTATCCTCATATCCACCACATCAAGTTACACATGTACTCTTAAACACCATAGAAAATGTACTAGAAAATACAGCCTAGTCAGCATCCTCTCTCTAAATTAAGGTTGCTAGATTTAGCAAATAAAAATATAGGACACACAGTTAAATTTGAATTTCAAATAAACAATGAATAATACTGCATGGTCCATACTGCATATATTTTATCTGGCAATACTAAATTTCAAGGGCTGAACACTAGGAACCAGTCCCAGTTAGAGAGATATGATAGCAGCTCTTATATAGTTTATGACTATCTGGAGAAAAACTAAATTCCAAGTCCCGAATTAATGTCCTGCAACAGGTCTGAACCACCTCGTTGTCCTTCTAAAACTAAACAGACTTTTTTTCCAAAAGCCAAAACATATTATATCCTCTACCACAGATAAGTGTGACAGAAACAAAAATGTTGCTATATTTGAGTATTCATAGCTTCTTTTCTTTGCTCTCTTGGTTCCTGGCCCTTATTGTACAGATCAGAATAATGACACGGGCAAAGGAGAGAGTTTAATGGGAGACAGGTACTCACGGAATAGAAACTTAATAGGTTTGAGAAGGGTTACAAAAGAAACGCAAAAATAAGACTGCTCAAGTTGTCATGAGTTGGTAAGTTTTAAGAGAGAAGAAAGTTTGGGATTAACCATGCCAAACATGAAGAAATAGGATTTTAAGTAGTATTGTAGTTTTATGAATGTAAACCCCTTTGGCATTTTTGAGAGGATGGAATAAATACTTAAATTACTTTTCAATTTAATTTGAATATTAGGCTGGTTCTTCCTCTGAATGGGACGCTATGGAGATGAGCCACAAAGCATCCCAGTTTTATCAATAATAATGAAAATAGGCCAGGCACAGTGGCTCATGCCTATAATCCCACTGCTTTGGGAGCCTGAGGCAGGAGGATCACTTGAGGACAGGAGTTTGAGACCATCCTGGGAAACACAGTGAGACGCCGTCTCTACAAAAATTAAAAATAAAAAAAATTAGCCAGGCATGGTAGTGCATACCTGTAGTCTCACCTACTTGGGAGGCTGAGGGAGGAGGATCCCTTGAACCCAGCAGCTCAAGGCTGCAGTGAGCTATGATCAGGGCACCGCATGCTAGCTTGGGTGACAGAGTTAAAGCCTTATCTCTTTTTCAAAAATGTGTTTTTGCAGTCCCAGCTACTCGGGAGGCTGAGGCAGGAGAATTGCTTGAACCCGGGAGGCAGAGGTTGCAGTGAGCCGAGATCACACCACTGCACTCCAGCCTGGGTGACAGAGCGAAACTCCATCCAAAAAAAAAAAAAATTTTGTTTTAAATAAATAAATAAATAATAAAAATAACAACAACAATAACAGATACCTGCCCTAAGTGTCTTATGTGTACTATTCCATATAATTCTCACAATAACCCTACAGCAGGATTAATATTCTTTTCTATGCTATACAGATTAGAAAACTGCCCAAGGTCACAAACTAGAAATAGGCAGGGCTAGAATAGGAAATCCCAACAACCTGAGTCTGGAGCTCTTAAACACAGATACTTTACCCATTTTATATCAATATCTATCTATACTCAAGCACTTAAACATTATGCCAAAAAGAAAATAACATAAATCTCTATTAATTATTCTCAGAAAGCAAGAACTTCAGCACATAAAGTAAAATGAAACATGTATGGCATGGCTTCGTTCTCTTTAGTTTCTTCTCCCCTTCACAGCCCACCAAAAAAATTAAGAACATCAGGAAATTTTCTTTTCCAAAGTTACTTCTGAAAGTAAATTGGCTGGGTGTGGTGGCTCACATCTATAATCCCAGCACTTTGGGACGCCAAGGCAGGAGGATCCTTTGAGCTCAGGAGTTCAAGACCAGCATGGGCCACACAGTAAGACCTCATCCCTACAAAAAATCAAAAAATTAGCTAGGTATGGTGGCACGCACCTATAGTCCTAGCTACTCAGGAGGCTGGGGCAGGAGGATCACTTGAGCCCAGGAGGTCACGGCTACAGTGAGCCATGTTTGTGCCACTGCATTCCAGTCTGGGTGACAGCAAGATCTTGTATCCAAAAAAAAAAAGTAAATTATAGTACAATCTAAATTTATCAACTAATGTTTATTTAAAAAGTAACTCATGAACAAGCTTTCATCAAACAACTAAGGCCACATATACTGTTAGTTGGCAACTGGATGTCAGAGATCTGAATCACTTAACACTTCAAAAAAGAGAAAAATTAGCTGGGCATGGTGGCATGCACTTGTAGTCCCAGCTACTCGGGAGGCTGAGGTAAGAGGATTGCTTGAGCCTAGGAGGTTAAGGCTGTAGTGAACCAAGATCATGCCACTGCACTCCAGCCTGGGCAACAGAGTGAAACCTGTCTCGAAAGAAAGAAAGAAAGAAAGAGAAAGAAAGAGAGAAAAATAGGTCAGGCATAATGGCTCAGGCCTGTAACCCCAGCACTTGGGAGGCCAGGGTAAGGGAATTGCCTGAGGCCAGGAGTTCAAGGCCAGTCTGGACAACACAGCAAGATCGTGTCTCTACAAAAATAAATTTGTTTTAATTAGCCAGGTGTGGTAGTGCACGCCTGTAGTTGGTCCTAGCTACTCAGAAGGCTAAGGTGGGAGGACCACTTGAGCCCAGGAGGTCAAGGCTACAGTGAGCTGTTGGTGACACTGCACTCCAGCCTGGGCAACACAGCAAGACCCAGTCACGCACACACAAAAAAACCCACACAGAAAAATACATCAAAATATATATAAATAGCTTTGGCATTACTTTAAAAGTTAGACTTATTAATTATTAAAGCATATATAGCATATGGAGAAATACAAAGCTAAGAAATTAGAAAATAAAGTGAGTAAGTCAGTTTGGAAATGACAAGCTATATAACTAGTAACATTCAGAACGCAACCACTTTTTACAACCTCACAGCTTCTACCCTTGTCCAAGCCACCATCATCCCCTCAGCTTGACTGTTGCAATAGCCTCCTAACCAGTTTCTCTAATTCTACCTTTCCCTCTTTCCACCAGCAGCCAGAATGATTCTTTAAGCCAAGAATCATAGTACATCACTGTTCAATACACTTTGATGGCTTCTCATCTTATACGAGTTTTAAAAGCCAAAGTTCTTACAATGGCTTACAATGGCATACATGGTGGGAAAGCCCCACCACCCATACCATTACTTGTCTTTTTTTTTTTTTTTTTTTGAGATGGAGTCTCCCTCTGCCACCCAGGCTGGAATGCAGTGGCACGATCTCAGCTCACTGCAACCTCTGCCTCCCGGGTTCAAGCGATTCTGCTGCCTCAGCCTCCCAAGTACCTGGGATTATAGGCGCCCACCACCACACCCAGCTAATTTTTATATTATTAGTAGAGACAGGGTTTTGTCATGTTGGCCAGGCTGGTCTCAAACTCCTGACCTCAGGTGATCTGCCCACCTCGACCTCTCACAGTGCTGGGATTACAGGCATGAGCCACCACGCCCAGCCACTTGTCTTTTTTTACTACTTTCCCCTCATTCCATTCTAGCCATACTGGCCTCCTAGATGATCCCTGAATATATCACAGAGATGCTCCTGCCTCAGGGTAGGTCATCTGATATCCTCTACCTGGAACCCCCATCCTCACACCTGTTATATTTCCATATGACCTGCTCTCCCATTGCTTTAGGTCAGGCCCTCCCTGGCCTCCTATTTAAAATAGCAGATCTCTCACCCTGTACTCTATTTTTATCCTCTGTTTCTTTCTCCACAGCATTTAACACCATCACTAGGTATTTTACTTATGAATTTGTTTATTCTCTGCTCTCCTCACTCCCTTAGAAATGTACAGTCCATGAAGCATTTTTGCTGTTTTGTTCACTACTACACTTAGAATAGTGCCTGGCAGTCAAATATTTGTTGAAAAACATGAATTAACACACAAACAAAAAAAATTTACAGGTGTTTACTATGTTCTAGGTACCACACTAAGTACTTGACAGTTATTAATCTACTAAATCCTCATAACCCTATTGAATGACCATTATCACCCTACTTTTTGGGTGAGGAAACCACAACACAGAAAAGGTAAGTAAATTGCCAAAGGACACATGTTAAGAAGTGGCAGAGGCACAATCTGAACTCAGGCGTTCTGATTCCAGAGACCCCTCTCTTAACTACTCCACTATACTGCCTCTAGATTTCTAACATACTGAGAAAAATCAATACTTAGGCACATCATACATTTTAATTGAAAGATATAATCTACAGGTTACTTTAAAGTAGTATTCCATTTTTTTGTTTTTTTTGAGATAGCCTCACTATGCTGCCCAGGCTGATCTCCAACTCTTGGTCTCAAGCAAAACTCCACCTTGGCCTTGTAAGTAGCTGAGACTACAGGTATGTGCCATTGTAACCAACTCCTAATTTTTTTTTTTTTTTTTTTTTTGAGACAGGGTCTCGCTCTGTCACCCAGGCTGGAGTACAGTGGTATAATCACAGCTCAGCGCAGCCTCGACTTCCAGGGCTCAAGTGATCCTCCCACCTCAGCCTCCCAAGTAGCTGGGACTATAAGAATGCACCACCATGCACAGCTAATTTTTGTATTTTTTGTAAAGACGAGGTTTCTTCATGTTGCCCAGTCTGGACGGCTCCTAATTTTTCAGGCTAGCTTTCAAATCATAAATCATTCCACAGGTCCCAAGTTTACTTAATTTACTGAACTTTAGAATTTTAAGTGTATAGTTTTGCAAAATGTTCTCTTACACTCATTTACTTGCTACACTAACACTATTCCAATGCCTATATTCCTCAAATTAGTTAACTGTAAACCAGAGATGTTAGCTTCCTCATCTTCTAGTAAGCAACCAACAAGATAGAAAAAGGTCTGTCTTATATTAACTCAATACTATGTGACCCTATGAAGTCCAACTTAGAAAATGAAAATGTGGCTGGGCGCGGTGGCTCACGCCTGTAATCCCAGCACTTTGGGAGGCCAAGGTGGGTGGATCACAAGGTCAAGAGATCGAGACCATCCTGACCAACATGGTGAAACCACATCTCTACTAAAGACAAAATTAGCCAGGCGTGGTGGTGGGCGCCTGTAATCCCAGCTACTCAGGAGGCTGAGGCAGGAGAATCGCTTGAACCCGGGAGGTGGAGGTTGCAATGAGCTGAGATCGTGCCACTGCATTCCAGCCTGGCGACAGAGGGAGCCTCCGTCTCAAAAAAAATAGAAAATGAGAATGCATTTCCCACAGCTAGATTTTAACTTTGAAAAAGTAAAAAATAACTTGCTAATACTGTTTATTGACAAAGACAATAACACTGAAGAGAGTTATGGTTTTCCAAATTACTTTCCTAGCATCAATTCTCTCCCTCTTCCTCTTTAACAGAATCTCTCCCCAATACAACCATATACCTCAGTAGAAGCCAACACCATTCCAGATTGAGAAACGTGATTAACCTAAGGGTTATTTACTGGTGACTGGTTCAGGAACTAGCCTATGACCCAATTCTGGCCAAAAAGATGGGAAAGAAGTTTGCTAGAGGTTTTTGTAGAAAGTTTCCTCTATCCAAAAACAGTGGCACAGGAAGAGATACTTTTCCTCTTCTTTTGGAAGTTGTTATTTATGGATATGATATGATGCCTGGAATCACCGCAACCATTTTGCTACTAGCCTGAGGATGAAGCCAGTCCCAAGGATGGCAGAATTGAGCAATATATGGCTAAGCAAAATATGGGTTTATACTGACATTGTTGAACTACTGAAATCAACTAACTCTATTAAATGAGAAGATAAAATTTATTATTTTTAAAGCCATTTTGAATTAGTTCTGTTGCTTGCAGCTGAAAACATATGAATTAAACACTTTTTATAAAATACATCCCAGAACTAATATCAGAAAAAAAGGTTGTGGTTAATTCTATAAATGTCTATTAGAAGTTCAACATAAATTAGACCATATTGAGTGACCCTGTTGTAAAAAGGTCACTCTATCCTCTATGGAAAAAAAAGCTTAATACATATGTAAGAACAGAATCTAAAGCAATATATTTCCAGCACAACAATTCCTTTCAGCAAGACCTTTTTCAGAGCAATTTTCATTCAGATTTTTAATTTTGATTCATAATTGAATTTTTCTTAAGTTTATAAATAAATACGGGTTGGGCACGGTGGCTCACACCTGTAATCCCAGCATTTTGGGAGGCTGCGGTGGGAGGATTGCTTGAGCCCAGGAGTTCGAGACAAGCTTGGGCAACCTGGAAAGACTCTACCTCTATTTAAAAAATAATAAATATTTAAAAATAAATAGTTAATAAATAAAAATTATCACAATATTTAAGATTACACAGTTGCATGCTCTGGATTTGTTGTTACATATCCTCAGGTAAGGATAGGCAATCTGGCCCACAAACAGAACATGAAACAGGAAGTCCAAGTATGGATAAGGGTAGATGGTATTGACTTTGGCTTTGTGTTGGCTCATCAATACCAACTCATAGGGCAGTTTTCATACTGATATGCGACATGCAAAATGGTATGATTTGGCAGGCTGGACGTAGCCTACTGCCTCTTTTATTAAAATAATGAACTTTAAAAATTAGCCAGGTGTGGTGGTGCATGCCTGTAGCCCCAGATACTTGGGAGGCTGAGGTGGGAAGGCTACAGTAACTTGTGATCATGCCAATGCACTCCAGCCTGGGCAACAGAGCGAGACTCCATCTCAAAAATAAAATAAAATAAAATAAAATAAATAAATAAAAGAAAAAGAAAACAATAAGATAACCCTTTTACTTTATGTGAATTTACAAATATGCACAAGGAACAATACATACAACATATATGGGCAAGCAATGTGGAAATTGATCTTTAATAAGGCTTGATGGCTCACTTTACTTGTTAAAAGTCAAGTCTTACACACAGTAAAATTAAGTGGTATAATAACACACTGGATAACTTAAAACTCTCCGTTTGGCCCTGTGTTATTTAAAACTAACCTAATACACTGTGAAAAACTTACTACTCATTTCTTTTTTGAGACAGAGTCTCGCTCTGTCACCCAGGCTGGAGTGCAGTGGCGCGATCTCAGCTTGCTGCAACCTCTGCCTCCAGGGATCAAGCGATTCTCCTGCCTCAGCCTCCTGACTAGCTGGGACTACAGGCGCGCCACCACGCCTGGCTAATTTTTTTATTTTTAGTAGAGATAGGGTTTCACCATGTTGGCCAGGCTGGTCTCGAACTCCTGACCTCAAGTGATCCACCCACCTCGGCACCTCAAAGTGCTGGGATTACAGGTGTGAGCCACCGCGCCCGGCCTATTCATTTCTAATTGTTCAAAGTTTCAAACACAATTTTACTCAGAGCTATATAAATCTTGCTAATAACATTAAGTATTGCATTTTTTTTCATTATTCCCTTTGTTACAATAAGTGCCCAGCCAATTATCTTCATAAGTTTAGAGGTCACATGCTGATAATAAATAATATTAACATTTTAAAGCTTAAGTCACAAAATGAAGCTAGTTGGATCCATGGGCCTAAAATTTAACAAAATACTTGGGCACTGGATGTTTAGGGAAAAAAGATACAAGCTGGGCATGGTGACACATGACTGTAGTCCCAGTTACTCAGGAGGCTAAGGTGGGAGGATCACCTGAGCCCAAGAGTTTAGGCTGCAGTGAGCCACTGCACCCCTCAGTGACAAAATGAGACCCTGTCTCAAAAAAAGAAAAAAGAAAAAAAGATATGAAGGAAATACAACAGCCTGACCTCAAGAAACTTATCTTGTTTGGGAGGTGAATTATATTCATGAAATAATTATCATAATATAACACATGATTCCAAGTCAAAATAACAGAGACAGCCCTACATATAAAAGGGTACAGTGCTAGAATTTTTGGAGAAAGTTTTAAGAAGGAAAGGGGACGCAGACAGGCTCTTGATTTAAAGATGGAGGTGAGACGGGCATATTCTACATAGGAAGCAGCTTAAGCAAAAGCTTGAGATAGGAATGAGCAATCAGGGTATTGGGCTAGAAGGAATTCGACTAGAAGTATGAATAGAAAATTAGTAATAAAGTTATAAATATGTAAGTTAGGTGCCATATTACTAAAGACTATGTATACCAAGTTTAAGAATATTATCTCTACTTAAAAGAAATGAAGAGCTGATTATTTTTGAAAAGAACAGTAAAACAATGAAAATAACATTTCAGTAGAACTAACCTGTCTGAAGAATTTGGGACAAACTTATAGTGAGGGGTAGAAGAAATCGGAAACAGAGCAACCAGTTTAGAGGTACTGGTTAAGAACCTGGGCTTTAGTTAGGCAGATGGACCTGCTCTGCTACTTGGTAAGTTACTAAACCTAAGTCTCAGTTTCCTGTCTGTAGAGTGGGATAATAACAATGCCAATTTTATAAGGTTGTTGTGTGGCTAAAAGAATACATATAAAAGCATTTAACATAGTGCTTGGACTATAATAATTTCTTCAACAAATGTTAGCAACTATTACCTTCATTACAAATCATTTCTAAGGTGAGGTATTGAGGAACTGGACAAGAGGCAATAGAAACTAAAAGGAAAAGATGACTTGGGTTGACATTTCCATAGACTCATGAAACGTTATAACTAGAAAAGACCCTAGAGAACAATTCCAAAACCCAAAATGGATAAAATGTGGCCCCAGTAAACACTGGGAAGGAAGAAAAGAATGGGGCAAAATAGCTCAAAGGTTTTGACTGCAAGAGTACCCAAAGAGGTAGACATGGGATAATTACATGTTTTCAATAAGAAGCTCTAAATACAAGCTACACTTATTTGGTACACAATATATGTCAAATACTATACTAGATATTGATATGGTACATTTAATCCCCACAACTCTACAAAGGTAAGAGTTCAATTTTACAGAAAACAGATGCACAGAGAGGTTTTCTCTGGGCAGGATAAGAAGCAAAGCTAGTTTTGTAATCTATGTCATCTATTTCCAAAGCCTGTGTTCTTTCTACTACACTCAGGCTGTCTCCCCCTTTAATACCAATAAAAAATTATATCATATCACATAGATACATTTATATTTTTCTACCTATCTTGTTAAATATGGCAATCATAAACACGTCCTATCTTTTCTACATTCTAAGAAAAATATAAAAGTATTCATGATCAGCTGGGTGCAGTGGCTCACACCTGTAATCCCAGCACTTTGGGAGGCCGAGGCGGGAAGACCACCTGAGGTTGGGAGTTCGAGACCAGCCTGACCAACATGGAGAAACCCCATCTCTACTAAAAATACAAAATCAGCTGGGCGTGGTGGCACATGCCTGTAATCCCAGCTACTTGGGAGCCTGAGGCAGGAGAATCGCTGGAACCCAGGAGGCGGAGGTTGCGGTGAGCCGAGCTCGCACCATTGCACTCCAGCCTGGGCAATAAGGGTGAAACTCTTTTTCAAAAAAAAAAAAAAAAAAAGGCCGGGCGTGGTGGCTCACACCTGTAATCCTAGCACTTTGGGAGGCCGAGGCGGGTGGATTGCCTGAGGTCAGGAGTTTGAGACCAGTCTGGCCAACATGGTGAAACCCCGTCTCTACTTAAAATACGAAAAATAAGCTGGGTGTGGTGGTACACACCTGTAATCCCAGCTACTCGGGAGGCTGAGGCAGGAGAATTGCCTGAACACAGGAGTCGGAGATTGCAGTGAGCAGAAATCATGCCACTGTACTCCAGACTGGGGGACAAGAGCGAGACTTTGTCTCAAAAAAAATTTTAAAAATTAAAATTAAAATTAAAAAAGCATTCAGCATCAAAACAATGAGAATAAATTTTAAAAGCATTATCAAATGGGAGAATCACCATACTTCTAGTGAAACATAGTTGGATACACTATACATTATAATATATTAAATGAAAGCAATGACTAATCTTTTTCAATAAGAAGACAAAAAAACTGGCATGGCTTTTACATCATTTGATTATATAAGCATTTGTCCCAAACGACAATATCATTAAAAACTGACAACTAGATCATAAAAGAAACATCTTACTACACACAGGAGAAGTATTTATATAAGATGAATCCAAATGTGCAGGGTTAAAAATAAAAATTCAACCACATAAGGCTGCTTAACCTGTTAACAGTAAGGATCATGAAGTGGCAGATGACCTATTTATTCTATGTAGCTCTCAGCAGATATTTTCCCCAACCATAGGGCCAGTGTACCAGTTTTCCACCAAAATGTTACTTAATCTAAATTGTGCCAGGTTGAAAATACCAAGTATGTCAAGGTAAGCAAATAAGCTTCTTCGAAACCACCTTTGTGTCTGGCTTCAAAGTCAGAAGATACTTTACTAGGTTGTCCACCAAACTATATAGTCTAATTTCTAGACTAGTAGGTCTCAAAATGCGATCTAGAGTTTCTTTTTTTTTTTTTTCTTGAGACAGAGTCTTACTCTGTTGCCCAGGCTGGAGTGCAGTGGCACCATCTTGGCTCACTGCAAGCTCCGCCTCCCGGGTTCATGCCATTCTCCTGCCTCAACCTCCCGAGTAGCTGGGACTACAGGCGCCCGCCACCACACCCAGCTAACTTTTTGTATTTTTAGTAGAGATAGGGTTTCACCATGTTAGCCAGGATGGTCTCGATCTCCTGACCTCGTAATCCGCCTGCCTCGGCCTCCCAAAGTGCTGGGATTACAGGCATGAGCCACCGCGCTTTGCCGCAATCTAGAGTTTCTAAGACCCTTCAGAGGGTCCAAGAGGTCAGAACTATTTTCATAGTATCACTAAGATACTATTGGCCATTTTCACTCTCATTCTCTTATAACTGTACAGGGGTGTTTTCCAGAGGTTATAACCTGTAATATCTCAGTAGACTCAATGCAGCAGCAGAGATGAGAATTTAAATGTCTTCTATTGGCCAGGCATGGTGGCTCACACCTATAATCCCAGCACTTTGGGAGGCCGACTCGGGTGGATCATTTGAGGTCAGGAGTTCAAGACCAGCCTGGCCAACATGATAAAACCCCGTCTCTACTAAAAATACAAAAATTAGCCAGGCATGGTGGTAGGCACCTGTAACCCCAGCTACTCAGGTGGCTGAGGCAGGAGAATTGCATGAGCCTGGGAGATGGAGGTTCCAGTGAGCTGAGATCACGCCACTGCACTCCACTCTGGGCAAAAGAGTGAGACCCTGTCTCAAAAAAAAAAAAAAACCAAATAAGTCTTCTATGAAGCTGGATAGTAAAGATGTCAATGCCATTCTTCCCACTAACTCTTTTTGCTTTTAGAAAATATAGTTATTTTTTCATTTAGAAAAATTATGCTAACATGTTTGCCAGGCATGGTGGCGCAGAGGGATGCTGAGGCAGAAGGATCACTTGAGCCCAGGGGTTCAAGGCCAGCCTGGGGCAACAAAGCAAGACCCTGTCTCAAAAAAAAAAGCCATATGTATAATGCTTTATTATTTTTTAATGAATTAAATATATTTTAATTTCTCAGTTATATTCTAATACTACAAATATCAATAGATATAATCCACTTAAAGAGAAGCCCTTTGAGGTCTTCTAATTTTTTAAGTCTAAAAGGGGTACTGAGACCAAAAAAAATTGAGAACCACTTTTCTAGACTTTCCTATATTCATGTTTTGCAAAACAAAACTTTTCATTTTCTAATTATCTAAGGAAGAGACGTTGCTGCCCTAAAGATAATTTTAGGCTGGGCACGGTGGCTCATGCCTGTAATCCCAGCATTTTGGGAGGCTGAAGCAGACAGATCACTTGAGCCCAGGAGTTCAAGGCCAGCCTAGGCAACATGGCAAAACCCTGTCTCTACCAAAAAATAATTTTTAAAACATTAGCTGGGTGTGGTGGCAAGCACCTACAGTCCCATCTCCTAGAGAGGCTGAAGTGGAAGGATCATTTGAGCCCAGGAGGTTGAGGCTGCAGTGAGCCATGATCATGCCACTGTACTCTAGCCTGAGCAACAAAGGTGAGACCCTGCCTCAAAAAAAAAAAAAAATATATATATATATACATAATTTCAGAAGTCTGTCTTGATAAGAACAAAAAAAAGCCAACAATTTTTAAAAAAGAATTGTCCATTAATTTAAAAAGGAAGTTATTTATTACATTTTCCTAAAATGAAAACAATAACAACGTCAAAACTAAAGTGCTGAGCTAACAGACCACTAGCTACAACCTTTTGTGTATGAGTTATAATCAGTTGTGTATAGGTAATCCTCAAAAGACCAAAGGTGACGCTCTTTGAGAGGCCTCTATCCAGCTTTGCTACAGAATAATCCCAATTCCCGAAGTCATAGCAAGACTAACCAAGATGCTTATAGGCGATTCTCTGTACTACAATCTTAACATTTCTACAATAAAAGTTTTGTTGTTGTTGTTTTTTGTAGAAATGGCATCTCTACAAAGCTGTTCTGGTCTAGACCTCCTGGCCTCAAACGATCCTCCTGCTTTGGGCTTCCAAAGCACACTGGGATTACAGGCATTAGCCACCACACCTAGCCAAAAATAAAAAGTTTTATGTTTCATCTGAACAGTTCAGTATATCTACTGCTGCCAGGAAATACACAAACATTAAGACATTAAACTCCCATTTGGATTCAACTTTTACATTACTATGACTGTAGATACACCAATCCATGCAGTTATTAGGAACCTTCAGGATGCACAACAATGTTAGTTATTGAAAAGATAGGCTAGAGGGAAACATCTTTGAAAAATAGTTTTTGAGGCCACTAGAAGCAATAATAGATAAAACTTGGCATTTATGGCTCAGTCTAAAATTAAGATGAAAGGCTAGGCATAGTGGCTCACGTCTGTAATCCCAACACATTGGGAGTCCGAGGTGGGCAGATCACTTGAGGCAAGGAGCTCAGGACCAGCCTGGCCAACATGGCAAAACCCCATTTCTACTAAAAATACTAAAATTAGCCAGGCATGGTAGCATGCGCCTGTGTAGTCCCAGCTACTCGGGAGGCTCAGGGACAAGAATCCTTTGAACCCAGGATGTGGAGGTTGCAGTGAGCCGAGATAGAGCCACTGCACTCCAGACTGGGCGACACAGCGAGACTCTGTCTTGAAAATAAAATAAAGATGAAAAAACATATAAAAATATTGGCACCATTACAGTTAAGGGCCCTAAGTCAACAAATGTCTAATTCAAAAGTTATTTAGCCCTAGGCTACTACAATAGCCAAGCAATGAGTTGAGCAAGGACCTTAAGTAGAAAGGCACCTAAAGACTAGAAGGAAACAATGTTCCTTATTTACTAATTAAACATATACTGACTAAATTGTCTACTACTTGCAAGACCCTGGGCAAGCTAAGCAGCTCATGACCAGGTGGGAAGCCAATTTCATAGGGAGAAGCATACATAAATAGTACAGTAGCTTCTCTAGACAGAATGGAAAAAATTTCATCTGAGAAGTGCTACAAGAGTAGGCCAGGCGCGGGGTCTCACGCCTGTAATCCCAGCACTTTGGGAGGCCGAGGCAGGCAGATCACCTGAGGTCAGGAGTTCGATATCAGCCTGGTGAAACCCTGTCTCTACTAACAATACAAAAATTAGCTGGTGTGGTGGTACATGCCTATAATCCCAGCTACTTGGGAGGCTGAGGCAGGAGAATCACTTGAACTCAGGAGGCGGAGATTGCAGTGAGCCAAGATGGCGCCACTGCACTCCAGCCTGGGCAACAGAGTGAGACTCTGCCTCAGGAAAAAAAAAAAAAGAAGAAGAAGTGCTAGAAGAGGGAGGCAAGAGGAAGGAGGGATGACTTTTAACAGAAGGGTTTAGAGAACATATTCTGACACCAAAGGTATCTGACCTGGGTCCTAAAAACACATACATATAAGATTTCAACATGTAACTATTGTGAGTGAAAGGCATCCCAGGAAGAGGAAAAAAAGCATACATTCAAGTAACAGCAAATACAAAATTGCTTCTATAGAATTTATGATGCACTCCAGGAGGAGAATTAACTAGAAAATTAAGTTGGAAGCAAAAATTAGAGGGACTTATATGAGAGGGTAAGCAATTGGGGGATTTTATTTATTTATTTATTTATTTATTTATTTATTTATTTATTTTGTAGGCAAAGGGAAGCCATTCAGAGGTTTTTAAACCCATTGGAAGATTTATCATTGTAAGATAAATCATCAGATGATACTCTTAACATTACCGTGGCTTGAACAGGATAGAAATGGGAGAGCAGTTAGTACGCTATCACAGCAGTCCAGGAAGGAAATAATAAGAGCTTGATGTGGGGTGGGAGCTAGGAAAAACCTACAAAACATGCTGCAACCACTTCACTAATGATACAGTTTTAAATGTTTTGAAAACTTAATTTATCACATAAAACAAGGTTGACATTCACACTATTTCCATGAAAAACCATTCACTTCATAGGCAATGTTTCAGCATACTCAAGTGTGCTTCGTTTTCAAAAAGCTGTTAGGAATAACTAACCATATTCTACATTAAAGCTACAAAAGGGGTAATAAAGAACAGCATATGTATTTTTCAGTATTCTCAATAGAATCTCAGTATGCACAATTTCATTCAAGGATGAACATTTTAAACTCAAATGTTTATTTCCATGGAAAATAAAGTTTGGATCAGAATTTTCTATACAACCTTATAAGACCCACGTCTCCATATAGTTATAACAGTCAACTTTTCTTAAAATTATTTTTGGACAACTCAACTCAACTTGACCAGTATTTTTCTACTAGGCTAATATATTTCAACCATAAGTGCATTCTTCATTTTCTCCCCTCCTCCCTACTCACCTCCCACCCAACAAATTCCCTTTGTATGTCTGCAAGGCAAGGTACTATATAATGCAGTATAATTCTAAGGCAGTTTGAATATATAATTCTTATAACAGGAATCTAGAATTATTAACCTTACTTTTTACAATAAAAGTACCAGTGATGTACTAAATTTCTATTCATATGTATGACAAATGTATCTAACATGCTTTACCGTTAGGGGGAAACAAAGGGGGAAAGACACAATAGATGGGTGGCAAATCTTACAAACTTTACAAAACACTGAAAAGCTGCATCTGGATTGCAGTCACAATTATAAAAGCAAATAAAGCTCTGAAATAAAGGAAAAGAAAAAAATTCTAAGTGATCATCAAGAGTGAAAAAGGTTTATTCAATACTAGTTTTTAGTACAGCACCATTTAACACTGACTAATTGAAAAAAAAAACAGGATAATTCACCGTTTGCAAGGACACAGGAAACAATTTCTACATACCTTCTATAAGACAGTTACACTTCTTCACACTTGCATGGCTCAAATCCTTTCAAACGTTTCCAAAAATACAGTCTTATAATAAACGAGGTTCCCCAATGACACACATTTTATTCTGTAGACTTAGCCATAACACGTTTTAAAATACATAAAGAATTCATCCTCGACAGAAACAAGGAGTCACAAAGGCTCTCTACTTATTCAGAATCATTACATAAAACACCATCTGTAACTGCAAACAGGGTTTGAGAAAATCTGACAGCTAATAATCATAAAATGGGGTAGACTTTAAAGGAAAAAAAAGCCAACTTTTCCATTTTGCTTTCCTTTTCCTTTCCTACCAGATACACAAAATGTCTGTAATAGCGTCAGACAGAGCTTTAAAATAAAAATATAGTGCTATATATGTATACTTTACATTACGTGTATAGGAACACATATGTATATATCACACGTTCACAGGAAACAGAAAGGTTCCCTCGTTTTTGTTTTTGCTTTTTCTTTATTCTAGGAATTGAAGTTACATTAAACCCTATCCCATAAATTAAGTTAAATCATCATTAAATTAAAGAGTAATAAAATATTGCACGTAGATTTCTCTGAGCGACTATCTTCTGAGAAGGAAAACCTCAGACTAAGACCATGGCTGAATACGAACGCCCAATCCCTAAAAAAAATCACTAACCGGCATTTGTTTCTGCAAGAGAAAAAGGGAGTCTTACAATGAATAATCACATAACTCAGTTTCAGAAGTTAACCGGGGTAAAACACAACGAACCAAATTAGACAAATGTATGAAAGGACAAGCTTTCAAGAATTCGCCCAAAGTGAAAGACTGGTTTTAACCCCGGGATATAAAACATCCTTTGCAGGTAGAAGAGTCTTTAATTGAAAAAGAAAAAAATAAAATAAAGTGGCGGGCACAAGAAAAACCTGAACGACACGCAAAGGCAAAGTAAAAAATAATGATAATTTTAAAAAGGGGTCTCTCCTCCCACCCCCACTTCCAGCCCCCACCCCCACCTTCGCAGGACAATAGGATCAGGGTCCTAACTGCAAACTTTAAACGTGTAAACCAGAAGCAGTTTTACCGCAGCTGTAACTGCAAATCTCCTCATCCCGAACCTAGCGCACCCAGGAATACTTCTGCCCTGAAAACATCAGCAAGCTCTTGGTAAATACAAATCAGACCCATCACGAGATTCTTTTTTTTTTTCTCCCAAGTACCTGGAGGATCCATTTCAATATAAAATATCAGTTCTGTCGAATAGGGCATCATCACCTCCCTCCAGTCTGCGTCATCGCGGTCCATACTCCACACCGTATTGTACATCGCGCTGTCAGGGGCAGGTCGCCAGGAGATATATAGAAGGCATATATTTTTTATCTGGTATTTAAAAATCTAAAAATATATATCTGCAAAAGTTCCACACGGAAATGTACTTCGGGTTTTCCAACGGCCAGTACCAGTCCGGCCAAACTACCCGAACAGGGTCCTCCCCCTCTCTCCTACAGAACACAACAAAATGCCCCCGAACTTTCAAGCTATGGGCTTTTCTCCTCAGAGGATTACACAGAGGCTTGGGGGACGGAGAGCAGAGGTGTTAAAAAGCGGCTTCCCAAAAATCCTTTCTACACAGTCGCTCTCCGGGGAGAAAAGCTCCCACCGCCTCCAAATCTTTCCGCGGAAGCCACTTTTGTGTCCTTCGAAGGAGGGAGAATGAAGAGGAAAAAAAAGAACACGTTGGGAGAAACCCGGGCAAGTGACAAAGGAAGGCAAAAAAGGGGGCTGGAGATTGCGTTCAAGTTTCGGGGTCCCACTGGTCTGCAGAGAGCGAATCCCCCAGAGGCCGGGACTCGGGCTCCTCTCCGGTCGGTCTCGGAACCGAAGCTGCCGCAGCCTCGGGAATGGGGCCGGCCGGAGAAGTCCAGTCAGCTCGGCTTGTCTGGGCGCTCCCGCCGGGGTGTAAGAACCAACCCGACCGCACCAACTGCCCTCAAGCTCTGCCCGGACTCCAGCCACTAGAGTTTCATTTTAACGGCGCGGAGGGGACACCCTCCCCGCCCCATGCTGCCCACCCGCTGAGGCGCCACCCAACCGCGCCGGGAGGGGGGACAGCAGGCATCACCACCGCCCCTTCCACGCCGTCCCGCCTCGATGTACCGGGATTCTGTCAAGTGCCTGAGAACATGTTCAAAAAGCTGCTCTCCATCTCGACTTTCACGTCTCCCCACCGCTCTCTAGGCTTCGGCTCCCCAATCAGCCATCCGCGCTCTCCCCCAGCCTCAATCAGAATGGTACGATCCGGGCGCTGGCCGCACTCCAGGAGTCAGTGCCGGGAGCACGCGAGCCAGGCGAGGAGGGAGTGGGGCGAGGGAAGAGAGGCAAGGTGGGTGGTGATTGGCTGAGGCCGGTTGCCGGAGCCTGGAGCCTGCGTCTTTTGTCTGCCTTGCTCCTGCGAAGGAGCGGGAGACGGCTGCGCGCCCCAAGCGGGCCAATCAGGAGACAGCCGGCGCCGGCCGGTAAGGCGGCGATTGGTCAGAGCCCAGTTACTAAGCGGGACAAAGGCAGAAGGGGAAAAGAAAAGAGGAGGAAAAAAAAGAAAGAAAGAAAGGAAGAAAACGCAAACGGCGGTTACTGACAGGCTGGGCGAGCGCTCGGGGGCTCAAACTGCCTGGAGACAGGCGGGGCTCCTGCTGAGGCTTGGTCCGCCCGGACGAGTAAGGAGAGGAGCCAGGGAGGACCTGCTGGCGTGAGACGCCTCTGCCCGGTGATTGGCCGCGGGGGAAGGGAGCGGACACAGAGGGGGCACGTTCTGTCACTTGGCGGGGTGCGCGCTCTTCTGGTCCTTAGGAGGTCTCTGGGGAGACTCCTTTCCTACAGACCTCTTCACCTTGCTGGGACAGCCCTCTCCGCACCCTTGACAAGTTGTCAAAGCAATGGTCCCCAAACCCACTTGCCACCTTACCACTCAGGGAGAGGATGTGCCCGTGGCCCCTGCAACCTTCCTGGCTGCTACCTGACCCCACTCCCTGCTTCTCCCCTTGAGCAATTGGACATTTCTGAGGGAGGCATTTCGCAGTTCCTCTGTGCTTCCCACCCAAAGACTTTTGAACCCAGAGGTAACTCCCCACGCCTAAAATAGTGAGAGGTCTCAGCAAGCCCTCCTGCTCGAGTGCTCAAACCAATTAAAAAAAAAAAAAGTCTTGGAATTACAGTGCATGTGTAATTTCTAAGATAAGTCACAGGTGTTGGAATCTCTCACCAAAAGGGCTCTATTCTGTTTCCCTGACAGACCCTCTTCCTCACATACTCATTCCCACCCCCAAAGCTTAAATCTGGGAGATTGGCTTCACTATGAAAATGCTGAATATTTCCATGCATTTCAGAAACAGCTAATTAACTTGCTGGGGAACACTGAATAGCTAAAAGCAGATTTGTGTCTCCTGAAGATTGTGCCTGGAATTGCCATCCTGTATACCCTACAATACAGTCTGAGGAGGCCAAAAACTGCTCCATTTCCTCTTTACACAGGAGTAACAAAGCCCATTGTGTTTGAGTTGACAGCCTGATTTAAGCCCTAGCAAAACCTCCTACCTTGAGCATGTCTGCTATATTGATTCGCCTATGGAAGAGTTGCCACGTTTCACCCTCTACCTCCTAAGGTGGTTCTGCCTTCCTTAAAGATGCCCTGAGTTGAGACAGTTCCTGAGGGCAGACAGTCAAAATGTATATGGACTGGGTATAGAGTAACTGGTTTAAAAGGGCCAGAAAGTATGGATGGACATGGTTGAGCTAAGAAAAGACACCAGGATTCTTATATGCTTTCTTATTATTTCTGAAATCCAAATATGATTTCAACTTTGGGGCAGGACTCATTAATTATAATTTCCTGAACCATTCCTTACAGGTAGAAGATACTGGAAGATCAACTCTAATTTGTGGCTGCCTTCCCAGCAGTCTCTACTTCAGCATATCTGGGAGCCAGAAGCACTCAAGTTTGATAACTCAAAAGACAGAACAATCAGTCAAGGGTGGGTTGGTTTATTTTTGTTCACGGGTGTTCATGTGCATTCCCAAACAAAATGAGGGTGAAGAGAGAGGAAGTGTGGAAAAGATAATGGCTTTCAGATTTCCACAGCACCTTTTGCCTGGACCACTTTTCAGCATTTAGTGGTGGGGTTTCAGTTTCTAATACACAGAGCAATCACCCAGGCTTTTCCCACAGCTAAGGCTTTGAGAGATGAAGTGACGTCCAAGCACAGTATATAATCAAGTGGTCAAGGCTGACACATGGAGTAAAGCTGTGATTCAGTCTTTCCACCTAAAATTGTATGACCCAACTCTCCAACTTAAATAGACCTTTGAATATATCTCCAGAGAATAAGTGATGCAAGAGGCAATGATGAATCAAGGGGAAGCAAACTTTCTTAGTCCTTGAGCTTAAACCAGTGCCCTGCCATGGGGGAAAGCACCTGTGAGATGATTCTGGTCTTTCTTTCAGTTGAGAAATAGAAGTGAGGTTGTGATTGCTTGTCACCAAACTGCCCCAGGCTCTTTGGCAAAGGTAAAAAATGTTAGCTCGGGTGTCCTGGACCACTTCCAAGTTGGAGAATTATATTTGACCTGGGTGTGGATTAAATTCAGCTCTAAGCACTCAAGCTCCTGGGTCACAACCTGCTACTTTGGGAGCTGCTTGTTTTCCTTTGCCCTCTCCCTTTCTTTTTTTAATTTAAAGTAGTCTTAGGTAAATCATGAAATCTGCTTTCATTTATATATCTATGAAATAGATTTATGCAAGCTGCTTAGTTTATAGTGAAACACTTAGAATGAAAAAATATGCCACTTAAGTATTTAGGATTAATAGTACTTTTCTGTAACTCCAAATGGCTAGGATGCCCTTCACTTTTCACCCTGGTATGGTTTTTTTCTGCAACTGTTCAAATATGCTTCATTTCTTCCTCTTTATTTCAGAGATGGATGAAATATTTCTTCTGTGCTCTGAATATAGGGTATGATCTCAGAGCTCTCTGTGCCAGCAGAATCAGTCTGGAACTCAGCCAGAAGTTCTTCGTGATTAAAGGTGCCATCTGAGCGCACAATATTTTTTTAAAAGCCTTGCAAAATGGGGCCGGGCACGGTGGCTCATGCCTGTAATCCCAGCACTTTGGGAGGCTGAGGTGGGCAGATCACGAGGTCGGGAGTTTGAGACCAGCCTGGCCCACGTGGTGAAACTCCGTCTATACTAAAAATAAAAAAATTAGCTGGGCATGTTGGCAAGCGCTTGTAATCCCAGCTACTCGGGAGGCTGAGGCAGGAGAATCATTTGAATGCAGGAGGCAGAGGTTGCAGTGAGCCGACATCACGCCATTGCACTCCAGCCTGGACAACAGGGCGAGACTCAGTCTCAAAAAAAAAAAAAAAAAAAGCCTTGCAAAATGGAAATATACTTTTTTTTTTTTTTTTTGATCACTAGCATTAGCACCAGAACTGACTTTAGACTTTGGGTAGGGATTCTACCAGCCTCAATACCTTCTTTTTCTTCTCTCACCATTTTCCCTTGACCACTTGTCTTGTGATAAGGCCCAGTCCATGCAATTAAATAAACTCATTTAACAAATATGACTCCCAGAAAGCCCTACAAATTATCAGTTGCAGATTTTTAGGGCCTCCCCAGACACTTGACTTGTAAGTAGAAGATATATCAAGTTTTGATGGAAAAGTTTGCCTTCACAATGTACAAAGAACCATGTTAGTGGATCTTCTGGAAAGACATCTCACCTGAAAATCAATAGTCATCTCTTGAGACAGCAGTGTCTAAAATCGTGATTTTCCATTTTTTCCAAATGGTATTCCTTGTATTTGGCATTTGCAATTTTTTACCTTTCCTCATCTTTCTTAGCACTTGAATACCCATGATAGAGTTAATCATTTAACCCAAGGCACTGAGAAATTATGACATTATATGAATGAGTAGACTTCATTAAAGTGGCATTCCCCTAGATGCTGCTGAATTCCAGGGCTTAGGGGACAATGTTTGAGGCCTCACTTATACACCTCAGCATGTGATGTAGATCTGCTCTGCCTCACTCTTCCCACTTTGGGTCCTCATTTAGGTTTAGGGGTAACAAAAGAAGCAAATCTCTCTAGCTTGACATCTTCCTCACTTTTGATGTCTGCCCTTGTAGTAACACAGGGGCCAACTGGATAATATGTATGCCATTGCTGCAAACTTCCCCTCCAACAAGGCAACAGATTTCAGCTCAGCTCTCACCAGGGGAGAGAGCACAAATTAGATCCAAATGGCAGGAACAATAGTCCAGGCTGTTTCAGGAGGACAGGGCACAAACAGGGCAGGCAGCTGGTGAAGCTCTGTTACCTCATTTAATCTCCATAACCCTGGGGTGGAAGGCTGTATTTTTATTCTCATTTTACAGATGAGGAAATTGAGACCCAGAGCAATGAGGGGATTTGTTCAAAGTCATGCAGTCACTAGTAGCAGAGTCAGGATTAGAGCCCCATGTCCTGACTACCAGTTCATTGCCTTTCCCGCTGCACCACACAGCCTTCCTCTCCCATTCACTCACTTAGCAAATGTTTGTTGGTGCTTCCAAACACTGAAGATACAAAAGTGAATAAGACTGAGTCCCTAACATTGAGTCCAGAATTCATAGAGGAGGGACCAACAAAGGAATAAATAATTAAAGACACAATAAGCGCTATAATCAAGAATTTGACAAAGTGTGTTGGGGGAGCCCCAAAAACAGTGCTGATCTCTAACCATGTGCAGGTGAGTAGAAGCTTCCTGGAAGAGGTGACATTTGGCTGCCCCAGACTTGCATGCACCTGCTTTAAATGTGTGGTCCTTTACTTCTCAGTTTTCGCAATTCACAATTAACTCTAAGCCTGAAAAAGTTTCGTCGAAAGCTGATTCCATTAGAAAGTGGCAAACTCCTACTTCTCTGCATCTGATCTTATACATTGTGCTCACACAGACCCCTGTGCTGGCCTCTGCACAGCCCTTGGCACACCATGTTCAAAGTGTTTGCTTCCAGTTCTCTCTCCTATCACTCTTTAGAGTTCCTCATGTTGGACAACAGTGGTTCCTCATGGTCCTTTAACCATCAATGCCCAGCCCAAGGCCTGGCACACAGTGGGTAGCCAGTGAATATTCTTCGAGCGAATAAGCAAAAGTGCAAGTAAACTCTCCAGGAAGGCTCTGGGGAGTCTAAGTTCAAATTATCCTAGTAATCCTTTCTGTAGGTATTCAGCTGACTTTGTTTATTTAAACGGAGGAAAAGAAAACCAAAAACTTGTACAGTTCTTTGGCTACAGGAACCAAGAGGGGCAGACAATGACCTTTCCCTCCCTCTGGCTGACCCTAGGGTCTTCACCACAGACGCTGAGTTCCGCTGCCCTTTTATTTTATCAGCTGTGAATTGTTTGCAAAATTCCAAGCAGTTTGTAGGAAATTCAGGAAAATTCAGCAGCTAGAAGAGAAACTGGTTTCATTTTCCAGCTCAGCTTTTTTCTGAAATATAACACCATATAGGGCTTTAAAGCATGCTCACTTCCTGTGGTCATTATTTCAATAGCTTTGAGCAACTTGTAGTTTATGCCTTCTTTCTGGAATGTCCAATAATTGCCCTGTAATTCCACAGGTCTCAAATCTAAAAACCATTTTATACGTTTCATTGTTAGAGGGCAATATCAGTCCAGTTCCCTTATTGGATAATTTTGGTTTAAAAAGATAAAAAGACCAGGCATGGTGGCTCACGCCCATAATCCTAACACTTTGGGAGGCTGAGGCAGGAGGATCACTTGAGCTCAGGAGTTCAAGACCAGCCTGAGTAGCATATGGAGATCCCTGTCTCTACAAAATTAAAAAAATCAGCTAGGTGTGGTGGTGTGCTCCTGTAGTCCCAGCTACTTGGGAGGCTGAGGCCAGAGGATCGCTTTAGCCCAGAAGGTCAAGGCTGCAGTGAGCCAAGATAGTGCCACTGCTCCCAGCCTGGGCACAGAGTGAGACCTTGTCTCAAAAACAAAGTCCTGCAGCCTCCCCAAACACTTCTGCAGGGGCATCATTCTTGAAATCTGGGAAAATGGTGTGACTTCTAGGGTTTAAAGATCACCACTTGGGTAAGAAAGTATAAGCATGGAATGTAAAAGGCATGAACATGATTGTTTGTGTCCTCAGCTTTGAGCATTTGATTGAAAATGATACACTTACAGTGATTTTCTTCCAGGGTAGAGGCTACCTTCCATTCTGCTCATCTTACACTTCTTGGAAAGGAGACATTCGGTGAAGATCACTACTATTCTCCAAACTTCATTCGGGACCCTATTCCTTCCCTGTTGATGTCAGTGTGTGAAATTCTAAATTATGTCATGGGTGTATACGTTCAAAAGCAATATATTTTCAAATAAACAAAAAATATAATTGGCCATCACATATACCAAATATGCAATATGATAATTGTGCCTAAAGTAGATTAATTAAATGTTAATGGTAAACAGGAAGAACAGTTCAAAATGACAAGCTCTTTCAGTTTAATTCAACTGAGTCCCTCCCGTGGGTCAGATCTTTTGCTCAGTACCCCATAAGACACTATTTCTGCCCTTTATGAACCCACCACCTACTAAGGGAGACTTATGAGAACACTTTTGCTGACCCACGTGCTTCTTTTTTTTTTTTTCTTTTTGAGACGGAGTTTCACTCTTGCTGCCCAGGCTGGAGTACAATGGCATGATCTGGGCTCACTGGAACCTCTGCCTCCCCGGTTCAAGCAATTCTCCTGCCTCAGCCTCCTGAGAAGCTGGGATTACAGGTGCCCACCACCATGCCTGGCTAATTTTTTCTATTTTTAGTAGAGATGGGGTTTCACCATGTTGACCAGGCTGGTCTTGAACTCCTGACCTCAGGGGATCCACCCACCTTGGCCTACCAAAGTGCTGGGATTACAGGCATGTGCCACTGTGCCCGGCCTTACCCATGTGCTTCTAAACGGACTAACTCTCCCTAAGACCATAAGATCAGGACAAGAGAATTCCCATCCTCCTCGTCTTTCCTCTTCAACAGCCTTACACTCTTTCTCAGCTTCTTCCTGGCATCCTCGACTGCTGAGTATTAACCTCACACTTCTCACTGATTCTGTTCTTGCAGCATTGACTTCTGACTCTGTTCCCTAAATACAACTCACACATACCACTTGGATCCTATCTTCTTTTCCAAGACAATGGAGGAATCTAGCTCAGTATCCTACCCTGACATAGGGGCATGTGGTTGGTGTTTCTGCTGAGTTTCCCAGGACCCTGCAAACAAGAACCAGACAAATCTGTCATACCTATGAACTGCTCCCCATCTGAAATTTTTTTGAGGGACAAGAGGAATGGCGTCTCGCTCTGTCACCCAAGCTGGAATGCACTGGTGTGATCATGGCCCACTGCAGCCTTGACCTCCTGGGCTCAAGCAATCCTCCTGCTTCAGCCTCCCGAGTAGCTGGGACCACAGATGCACACCACCATGCCTGGCTAATTTTTTATTTTTATTTTTTGTAGAGACAGGGTCTCCCTATGTTGTCCAGGCTGGCCTGAAACTCCTGGCTTCAAGCTATCCTCCTGCCGCAGCCTCCCATGTGCTAGGATTACAGGCATGAGCCACCACACCGTGTCCCCTCTCTGAAATCTTTAATAGATGACTCTCTTTGACCTATGCCAACCCCCACCATTTTTTTTTTCTGGCCAAGCACAGACATTGGGGAAAAATTACCACTAATACTATTTTAATGAGCTGAATAGTGATACCCAAAAAAGATATGTCCAACTCCTAAACCCTGGAAGCTCTGAATGTGAACTTATTTGGAAGAGGGTCTTTGCAGATATAATTAAATTAAAGATCTTGAGATAAGATCATCCTGGATTTAAGGTGGATCCTAGATCTAATGATCAGTGTGTCCTTATAAGAAAAACAGAGGGAGATTGGAGACATAGACATAGATGAGAAGGCAATGTGAAGACAGTAATAGAGATTGGAGTGATATATCTATAAGGCAAGGAACACTAAGAATTGCTTGCAACCCCCAGAAACTAAGAAAGAAACATGGAGTGGATTCTCCTTCAGAGCCTCAGAAGAAACCAACCCTGCCAACACCTTGTTTTGGACTTCTGGCCTCCAAAATTGTGAGAGAATAAACTTGTGGTTTTTTTTGTTCTTTGTTTTTTGTTTTTTTGTTTTTTGTTTTTTTGTTTTTTTGTTTTTGAGACAGAGTCTTGCTTTGTCACTCAGGCTGGAATGCAGTGGCATGTTCACAGCTTACTGGAGCCTTGAACTCCCAGGCTCAAACAGTCCTCCCACCTCAGCCTCCTGAGTAACTGGGATCACAGGTGTGCACCACCACACCTGGCTAATTTTTTTTTCTTTTTGTAGAGACGAGGTCTCACTGTTTCCCAGGCTGGTCTTGAACTCCTGTGCTCAAGGGGTCGTCCCACCTTGGCCTCCCAAGGTGCTGGGATTACAGGCGTGAGCCACTGCACCTGGCCGATTTCTGTTGTTTTAAGCTACCCAGTTTGTGGTAATTCATTATGGCAGCCCTAGGAAATGATACAACCACCATAATTTAATTTTTTTCAAGCACATTTTATTTTACTTTATTTTATTTATTTATTTTTGAGACAGAGTCTCACTCTGTCACCCAGGCTGGAGTACAGTGGCATGATCTCAGCTCACTGCAACCTTCCGCCTCCCGGGTTCAAGCAATTCATTGCCTCAGCCTCCCGAGTAGCTGGGATTACAGGCGCCCACCACCACGCCCAGCTAATTTTTGTATTTTTAGTAGAGATGGGGTTTCACCATCTTGGCCAGGCTGGTCTTGAACTCCTGACCTCAGGGGATCCACCTGCCTCGGCCTCCCAAAGTGCTGGGATTACAGGCGTGAGCCACCGCGTCCAGCCTTCAAACACATTTTGAAATCAATATGTAGAGATCATATAATTTTAGAATAAAGGATCATCTTTCCCAATGAATGACTGTAAGTCACATTAAATATAGTGCTCAAACCTATAAAACTTTGTCATAGACTAGCTCTAGTCCTAGAAACCAGAAACCTAATCCCAACGTGAATCTTAACCATTTTCTCCCAGTGTCATCAAATGTCTCTCTCCTGTCTTTCCAAAAGAGTCAGCCAGCCAAAGCCAAATCCCAGGCCAAAACAACAGTCTACTTCTGCTCTTATGCCCAGGTAGTTGGGCTTAGGTAAAGAAAACCAAGTTTACCAACTTAGCTCTGGGCTGGTCTCTGGTCATAATTGGGATTCCTTTGGCTCATTCTGTATCTGCTTATTCTGATACTCCAAACCTTCACTACTCATCTCAAGTGACTACCTTCCACTGTCAGATCAGTAAATGTGACCTCTCCTTTTACTTGACAGAAATCAACAGGCATAATACTCCCTTCCTGTATTCATCCCTTCAAAAGCCTGTAAACCTGTACCCATTCTTGCTTCCTTGCCTTCCTTTCTGAAGAAGCATGTCTTTCCTGGAGTTGAAAGCTAATCACTAGATTTGACCTCTGGATGGCACCCTCTTCAGCCTCCTAAAACCAGTCCTACCCCCTCTCCTGTCTATCCAAATGCCTACTGGATGCCACACAAATGTTTCAAAATCATCATATCTGAGCTAGTTCCTTTTCTAGTTAGGTGACAGGGCCAGATGAAAATATAGGCCAGACAGGAAGAAAACATGTACAAAACCCCAGAGGAGAGCACATCGCTCTTTGAGGACATTGAAATTAATTACAGAGGCCGGGCGCGGTGGCTCACGCCTGTAATCCCAGCACTTTGGGAGGCCAAGGCAGGTGGATCACGAGGTCAGGAGATCGAGACCATCCTGGCTAACACGGTGAAACCCCGTCTCTACTAAAAATGCAAAAAATTAGCCAAGCGTGGTGGCGGGCGCCTGTAGTCCCAGCTACTCGGGAGGCTGAGGCAGGAGAATGGTGTGAACCCGGGAGGCGGAGCTTGCAGTGAGCCAAGATCACGCCACTGCACTCCAGCCTGGGCGACACAGCAAGACTCCGTCTCAAAATAAAAAAAAAAAGAAAAGAAAAAAAAAGAAAGTAATTGCAGGCTGGCCTAATGTTAAAGGAGGTAAAGGGTGGTGGGGATGAAGCTACAGGGTAGGCATGAAGAGGCTTATAAGTCAAGATAGGAATGTGTACTTTATGCTCAAGCAATGGGGGGAGTTTAGGAGTTTTAAGCAGAGGAGTGTTGTGATGAGATTTGCATTTGAGAATCATCAGATTGCAAAATGGATTGAAGGGGCAAACTTTGAAGACTTGGAAAACATTGTTGCAACAACGTGGGCAAACGATCAAGAGTCCTGTGTAGATTTGTGTAGATGTGAGAGATGCTTAGGAGGTAGACAAGGCCACACTAAATGAGTGATTAGGTAACCAGCATGTCTCCACCCTAAAGAATGGGCCACTCAATAATGAAATTACAGCCTTTCTTGTGGAGAATCTCTCCCTTCATTGGTAGTATTTTTCTCCTTCGCTTCTGCGTGTGATTCATTCATTTCCAGGACCTCACTGGGTAGATCAGCTAGCTCCAAGATCACTGCTAATGGGTTAAGGCCTAAAGGTGTGAGTGGATCAATGACCCAGGCTGGTCAGTCAATTGCTCCATTGTAGTAGATACCTTTTTTGTGTTTATTTTTTTAATTGATACAGAATACTTTACATATTTATGGGTTACATGTGATTTTTTTTAGTATATACAATGTGAGATGATCAAGTCAGGGTATTTGGTGTATCCATTAGGTTTGAGTGTTTTGTTTTGTGTTTTTTGAGACAGGGTCTCACTGTGTCGCCCAGGCTGGAGTGCAGTGGTGTAATCACAGCTCACTGCAGCCTCGACCTTGACTTCATAAGCTCAAGTGATCCCCCCACCTCTGCCCTCCCCACCACCACCCCTGCTCTTCAGTGCCAGTAGCTGGGACTATAGCACATGCCACCATGCCCAGCTAACTAAGAAAAAAAATTTTTTTTTTTAGAGACAGGGTCTCACCATGTTGCCCAGGCCAGTATCAAATTTCTGGACTCAAGCAATCCTCCCACTTTGGCCTCCCAAAGTTCTGGGATTATGGATGTGAGCTGCTATGCCTGACCACCTTGAGTATTTATCATTTTTATGTGTTGGGAACATTTAAAGTCTTCTAGCTACTTTGAAATACATAATACTTGCATCTCTACTCTGCTGTTGAACATTAGAACTTACATTTTCTATCTCACTGTTAACCAACCTCCCTTCATCCCCCTCTCCCACCCACACACCCTTTCCCAGTCTCTGGTATCTATCATTGTAGTGGATACTTTTTAGTACCTCTGGCCAGTTCACCATGATGTCCCCCTTCTCAATTTGTACATGACTGTGTCCCTGGCCATAGCTGGTAGGGCCTAGGCTAAATTGATTAGAGTTTCTTTCATAAATATTTGGAAATAGTACCCAAAACAAGATCTAGGCTCTTCAGGGGTTTGGACCTATAACACGGAATCAATCTCTGGAGGTATTATGGCCATGTTCACCCTGAAGGCTGAGTTGCAAAGGAAGCCGGTCTTCAGAAAGCCAAGGAAGGATGAAAGAAATGCTCTGAAAGGAGCAGAGGTGAGGAATGGAAAGAATACGAGCAGTAATCAATTTCCTGAGTATAGAGCTTCTTAAGGCCCAGCTTGGTTCCTATACTAAGGTCAGGCCTACACCTAACATTTGCAGGGCCCAGGATGAGAATATAAATGGAGAGCCATATACCATATGTCAAAATACTTGAAAGTTACAAATCAGGCCAACCATTAAATAAAAAATACTCAATCCTCGGCCAGGTGCGGTGGCTCATGCCTGCAATCCCAGCACTTTGGGAGGCCGAGGCGGGCGAATCGCAAGGTCAAGAGATTGAGACCATCCTCGCCATCGTGGTGAAACCCTGTCTCTACTAAGAATACAAAAGTTAACTGGGCATGGTGGCACGCACCTGTAGTCCCAGCTACTTAGGAGGCTGAGGCAGGAGAATCACTTGAACCCGGGAGGTAGAGGTTGCAGTGAGCCAAGATCGTGCCACTGCACTCCAGCCTGATGACAGACCGAGACTCCATCTCAAAAAAAAAAAAAAAACGACTCAATTCTCCTATCTTGCCAAATATATCTTCATGCAAACTTAGAAGACTGGGTTGAGGCTGGGCACGGCGGCTCATGGCTGTAATCCCAGTACTTTGGAAGGCTGAGGCGGGTAGATCACCGAGGTCGGGAGTTTGAGACCAACTTGACCAACATGGAGAAACCCCATCTCTACTAAAAATACAAAATTAGCCAGGTGTGATGGCGCATGCCTGTAATACCAGCTACTCGGGAGGCTGAGGCAGGAGAATCGCTTGAACCCAGAAGGCGGAGGTTGTAGTGAGCTAAGATCGCGCCATTGCACTCCAGCCTGGGCAACAAGAATGAAACTCCACCTCAAAAAAAAAAAAAAAAAGAAGAAGACTGGGTTAAAATTTAGAATTCACAGATCCTTAGAGTTCTGACAAAACATGGGGGAGATGGGAGGGAGAGAACTGACCCCTTTTTCTTCCTACCCTTGGCTCTATCCTGCACTGTGAGACTGTCAAGGGAGTCTTTGTATACATGTCCAAGCTGCTTCCATCCATCCCTGTCTTAGTCCATTTTGTGTTGCTATAACAGAATACCTGAGGCTGGATAACTTTTTAAAAAAAAAAAAAAGATATTTATTTTGACTCATGATTCTGTTGGCTGGAAGAGTCCAAAATTGGGCAGCCACATCTGGTGAGAGCCTCATGCTGCTTCCATTCATGGTGCAGAGTGGAAGGGGAGCTGGCATGTGCAGAGATCACATGGTGAGAGAGGACACAAGAGAAAGCAACCAAGGAAACAAGGCTCTTTTAACTCATCTATTCCCATGAATTCAAGACCTCACTCACCCCTATAGGAAGGCATTAATATATTTGTGACCCATCCTCCTCCATGACCCAAACACCTCCCACTAGTCCCTACCTCCCAACACTGCCACGTTGGGGATCAATTTTCAACATGAGTTTTGATGGGAATAAACCACATACAAACCATAGCAATCGCCTTACAAATAGCTGTTCCTTGACCACCTCTTGGTTCTAAAGGTGCTGATACTGACAATGCTCTCCTTAGGAGAACAGATCCAGGGAAAAGGCCCATGCAGTTCCTAGAAACAGGCTAAAGTCCATTTGGGCAGAGAATTCCAGGACTCAGGATACTAAGCATAGTTGAGAAGAGGGAGGTGAGATAAGCGGAATACTTATCTGGGTGGAGAAGCACCCTTGGCCATATGGATTTCTCATCCTATGAAGAGAGGTAGGCTCAGAGAAGAGCCAAAGCCGGGCCCTCTAGACATGGGGCCCAGGGCAGGAGTCCCTCTTTTTCATGTCTAACGGGGCTGCTTATACAAATGTATTATTTATTTAAGGAGACTCCAACTACATTCTGTTACTTGCAGCCCAAGAATCCTAAGTTCCCTTTACCCTCTGAACCACTGTCCAGTTTTCTCTCTGCTCCCCAAAGATCCCAGAGTAGTACCTGGGAGAGGGCTTCCTCGTGAACTCTAATGCTGACCAAATGTGACAGAAGCAGGGATGCAGCTTTTTTCATGGGCTGTGCTATCAGTGGTAAATTATTTTGGTCAATCACTGTGACTTTCCTCACCCACTTACAGTCTATACATTTTACCTCCAATTAGAGATTTTGAACTTAATAGGCAGCCACAAACTCTAAAAATCATACTTTATTTTATTCTTGCATCTTCTGGCAACATACTCAATATCATATCAGAGTTTAAGGGCCCTGCCTCCCATCTGATTTGGAAGTCCTCCAAAATGGGAAAGGTGTTCAGATGCTAGGCAGCCAAAAATGTCAAATGTTCCCTACAACCTCATCGATCAGGTCTTGAAGCTATCTCCCTTGGAGGAGGCTCCAGTTCTCTCCCTTGGGAAGCCTTGAGTATTTTAGGGACAGCCCCCCTCCCCTCCAACTCTACACACACACACACACACACACACACACACACACACACACACACACACACACACACACACACACACACAGCTTTGGTCCTGCCCATCTCTCCTCTCTCCAATTCTATACTCATGGTTGGGGTAGTAATGATCTGCCATGGACCACACAGTCAAATGCCACCATAAGCCTGGTATTCAAGACAGGAGCTTCCTGCTAGACCTGCCTCAGAGCCTCACTCTCAGTGGCCTGAGTATACCAGTGAAGAGAAAACATCTGTACCCTCACGGACCTATAGTAGCCTCTACTAGAAGCAACCAGCCTAGCACTGGGAAACAAATGGGCAGGGACTGGAGGGAGGGTAATCTAGCACCTGACACTCCTGCTTTCTCAGAACTTACCTGTGATTTCCTACTTTTGCAGCAGGAACTCTGTTTTTTATTTTATTTTATTTATTTTTTGAGATGGAATCACGCTCTGTCGCCCAGACTTTGGAGTGCATTGACATGATCTCGGCTCACTGCAACCCCCTGCTCCAAGGTTCAAGCGATTCTCCTGCCTCAGCCTGTAGCTGGGACTACAGGTGCCTGCCACAAGGCCCAGCTAATTTTTGTATTTTTAGTAGAGACTGGGTTTCACCAATGTTGGCCAGGCTGGTCTTGAACTCCTGACCTCAAGTGATCCACCTGCCTCAGCTTCCCAAAATGCTGGGATTACAGGCGTGAGCCACCACGCCCGGCCAGGAACTCTGTTTTTGTTGTTATTGTTGTTTTGAGACGGAGTCTCGCTCTGTCACCAGGCTGGAGCGCAGTGGTGCGATCTCGGCTCACTACAAGCTCTGCCTCCCGAGTGCACGCCATTCTCCTGCCTCAGCCTCCCGAGTAGCTGGGACTACAGGCGCCCACCACCACGCCTGGCTAATTTTTTTTGTATTTTTAGTAGAGACGGAGTTTCACTGTGTTAGCCGGGACGGTCTCGATCTCGATCTCCTGACCTCGTGATCCGCCCACCTTGGCCTCCCAAAGTGCTGAGATTACAGGCGTGAGCCACCATGCCCAGCCAGAACTCTGTTTTTTTAAATAGTGTTGCACCTCACTATCAGACAGATTTGTGCTAATGAAAACAACAGATTTTCGCTCTTCCGCACTTTTCTAACATGATGCCTTCCAAACATCCATGTGGGTCAGCAATTGCTAGGAGAAGCTTCAACCAAGTAACTCACCAAAACTACCAAGGCATTGAACTCTCAAAAAAAAAGGGAGTAAGAAAATTGACTTCCTTCTGGATTTTAAGCTGACTTCTAAATTGGTGCCCTGGATCTGCACTGATAATGCCAAGTTAAAACACTAAAGAATTTTGCAATCTTGGAAGAGTTTTTCGTAAACATTATGAATGCTTCTAATTTTCAGTGATGGAGAGGGACCAGTGTTAATAATGGAGGTCTTCTCATGGCCTGTGCTTACCCACTTGGTGATATTACACCTTTCACTGAGATCAAGCAAATTTACTGAAGCTGTAAAGGGACAACTTCAGGCTCGAGTCTTCCATATGGTCCAGTATCACTGTGGTATTAGCATGACTTTTCAGTTGCAAGTGACAGAAAACTAGCTTAAGACAAATAAAGGGGTAGTCTCACTTCAGGAACAGCTGAGTGGAGGTGCTCAAACAATGTTAGCAAGAACCAGACTCGTTCCCAGTTCTCCTTCCCTCTGTTGTTTCCCCAAGAGGTCACAAGGATCCTGTCAGGCAGTTCCAGGGTTACATTGCATCCAACTAGCAACTCTTTCCAGCAGAGTGCAAGTTTCTCCATATAACTGCGAAGTTCTGGAGTTGAATCTCATCAGCCTAGCTTGGATCACATGCTTACTCCTGAACCAATCAGAGTCCAGTTAGGTGGAATGTTTTAATTGGCCAGGCCTAGGTCATGTAGCCACCCTTGGAAGCAGAGTGCAGGGATCAGTTGCACTCAAGCTACAGAGACTGAGAATTGGAGAAGAGCATTTCTCAAATAAAATCTGAGCAGAACAAAACATATTTACTACTCTTGAAGAACCATTGTTCGTGCTTCTCCAAGATTTTGGAGAGAGAGAGAGAGAGAGAGAGAGAGAGAGAGACATGAAGAGAGAATGAATATATAAATGAAAAAAAAATGCCTCCAGATAAATTCAAATGATAAATGACTTTCTCCATCAACCTTTAGGCATTGAAACCAGATCAACTCCATCTTAAATAAGGGCTGGGTGAAATTAGGCTGAGACCTGCTGGGCTGCATCCCCAGGAGGGGATTCTTAGTCATAGAATGAGACAGGAGGGCAGCACAAGACACAGGTCACAAAGACTCCACTGATAAAACAGGATGCAGTAAAGAAGCTGGCCAAAACCCATCAAAACCAAGATGGCTATGAAAATGACCTCTGGTCCCTCACTGCTCATTTTATGCTAATTATAATGTATTAGCATGCTAAAAGATACTCCCGGCTGGGCGGAAGTGGCTCACGCCTGTAATCCCAGCACTTTGGGAGGCTGAGGCAGGTGGATCACCTGAGGTCAGGAGTTGAAGACCAGCCTGGGCAACATAGTGAAACCCCATCTTTACAAAAATACAAAAATTAGCCGAGCGTGATAGCAGGTGCCTGTAATCCCAAATACTTGGGAGGCTGAGGCGGGAGAATTGCTTGAACCCAGGAGGTAGAGGTTGCAGTAAGCCGAGATTGTGCCACTGCACTCCAGCCTGGGCGACAGAGCAAGACTCTGTCTCAAAAAAAAAAAAAAAAAAAAAAGACACTCCCAGCAGTGCCATAACAGTTTATAAATACCATGGCAACATCCAGAAGTTACTCTATATGTTCTTTGTGTGTGTGTGGTTTTTGTTTTTGTTTTTGTTTCTGTTTGAGACTGAGTCTTGCTTTGTCACCCAGGCTGGAGTGCAGTGGCGCGATCTCAGCTCACTGCAGCCTGCTGGGTCTAAGCGATTCTCTTGCCTCAGCCTCCCAAGTAACTGGGACTACAGGCATGCACCACCACACCCAGCTATTTTTTGTACTTTTAGCAGAGGCGGGATTTCGCCAAGTTGGCCAGGCTGATCTCAAACTCCTGACGTCAAGGGATCCACCTGCCTCAGCCTCCCAAAATGCTGGGATTACAGGCCTAAGCCTCCGCACCCGGCCAAGAAGTTACCTTATATGTTCTAAAAGGAAGATTTCCAGGAAATCCGTGTAAACTCAAGAATAATCCACTCCTTATTTAGCATATAATCAAGAAATAACCAAAAGTATACTCAGTCAAGCAGCACATACTACTGCTCTGCCTATGGAGTAGCCATTCTTTTATCCCTTTACTTTCTTAATAAAGTAAGACAGCTTCTGTTATCCAAAGATAATGCCATTAATCAGTAGCTGTTTGCACGAAATCCAAGAACCCCCTTTTGGGGTCTGGATCAGAACCCCTTTCTGGTAACAACATGGATTCCTGAAACCCCCATCCCTTCATATTGATGACCTATACAAGACAGACAAAATCCCCCGTCTATGTCCTCTTATGCAGTTGTAGGGATATTATAATACCTTCTCTGACGCTCATTGCTGGAAACAACTCACTCCATAGGAAGTGGCTAAGCTATCCTGTATGTGGAACACAGTGTGCTGGGCTATTGTGGAATGTCTGTTGAGAGCCAGGAAATCCACACAAACTCAGATCTTACCTGATTTTTTCCCTTCACTATCACTAAATGGAATATATAGGATATGGAATCCAGAGTTAATGTAGTTAATCAGTAGGTCTTTGAGGTGATTTCAAAAATCATCCATCTAAGATAACACAGACTTTCTGTACCATTTTCTAAAGAGTCTGGGTTTCCCGTACTTTAACTTATGCTGCTTACCCTAAACCCATTATACTAAGCCCCATTCTTGGAGAGAGAAAACTACTCCTGGTTTGGCCCTTCCATGACAACTTCTCTTTCTACTTTTTGAATTTTGGGGAATCCCCCAAATTAAAACTCTAAGTTAGAGAACCCAGAGTGGAAGCAGAGAAAATGGGAATTATTGGCTCTTCCCTCCCTTTATTTTGCTGTGGCTTCCACACCTGGATAAGGATAAAACATCTAGATACTCTATTCCTACATGCTTCTGGTAAACACTCTTTTTTTTTTTTTTTTTTTTTTGAGACAGAGTTTTGTTTTTGTTGCCCAGGCTGGAATGCAATGGTGTGATCTCGGCTCACTGCAACTTCCGCCTCCCGAGTTCAAGCGATTCTCCTGCCTCAGCCTCAGGAGTAACTGGGATTACAGGCATGCACCACTGTGCCCAGCTAATTTTTTTTGTATTTTAGTAGAGTCGAGGTTTCACTATGTTGGTCAGGCTGGTCTCGAACTCCTGACCTCAGGTGATCCACCCTCCTTGGCCTCCCAAAGTGCTGAAGTTACAGGCGTGAGCAACTGTGCTCGGCTGCTGGTAAACATTTTTTAAAGAGTCTAGACTTGATCCCCACCAATGTACCTACCTCTCCTGAACATTGCCAACATATACCCACAGATTTTTCATCTCTTCCCCCATCTCCACAAGTCCTATAGGAAACTCAAGCCTGACAATTTGTCCCAAAACCACATCTGATCCATTCCATTTTTGTGATGGGAGGTGGCTTGGGTGCTTGCTACTTGTGAATTTGTCATTAAGCACCTCTTGAGAGTTGGTGCTTTTATGGCTGCCCCTCTTTCTAGGATTATCCCTCCACAAGAAAAAGATGGGATCTTTGCCTGGCAGAGGCCTCCTCTTTTGCAGGTTGAAGACAGTTAAACCCCAGCCAGGCACAGTGGTTCACATCTGTAATCCCAATACTTTGAGAGGCCAAGGTGGGAGGGTCACTTGGGCCAGGAGTTTGAGACCAGCCTGGGCAACATAATGAAACCCCATTTCTGCAAATAATAATAATAAAGACAGATCAAGCTCTAGGCCCATTCCTGGTCTCTTGTTCCCTGATGCTCTTCAACTTTAGGAATGCTATAGCTGGGATTTCTTCTTGGCCAGGAGCCTTCTCATCCCCAGCTTATCCAGTGTTCTGCTTTTTAGGGACTCAGAGGTGTCCATGGTTATATCTCTTTCCCCAAAACCTAAAGGGCCTCCATTAGCCCTTTCATCTGTCCCATGAAGTCTTCATGTATAGTAGTCATTGGAGTCCTTGCTGGGTATCTACAATCACCTCAATTGATTGAGTTTTCTCTACTCCATAGCTTGAGCTGCCTCTCCTCCTCCATTTTTCATGTTAGTTTCAAAAAGTAGAAGAATCTAAAAGACCACCCTGGGTTTGGCAGCTGGGAAAACCCCAAAGTCTTATCCTGGAACAGCACTAAAACTCACCTGTTATACAGGAGACCTGATTCATGCTGTTCGCATCTCTAGCTCCTGTTTCCTCTGCCTTCTATAAGAGTTTCTTTAGTCCTGGTTCAGAAGTATCTTTTCTCTCACCCTCTGATACAACAGAGAAAAATTCAGAACATCCCTGTGGTTATAAACCCTCCCCACTGCTAGCTTTGTCAGAGCATTCAACACTCAGCCAACTAACACTGAGGCTTGAAAATTCCCCTTGCCAGACTAAGAGGTTCTGCCATCACTTCTCCATATCGGGTATCTACCGCCCACAGCATCTCAGTAGAGTAGTACCCCAGCCAAGAGCACTCTTTCCCCATGCTAGGGGTGACCTTTCCTAAAAATACCCTCAACTTTCAGATCCTCATAAGTCTCTAGATTAACTAAATAGTCTTTCCTTCACCTCTCCCCCAATAACTAGGCCAACGATTTTAGTGGCAATTGGGTTGTTTTCTTATGGAGATTGTCTAACCATATCTAACACAACAACTCCATTCCCTGGTATCTCCCTTGGATTGTACGCTGATTAACATCTTTTTTTTTTTTTTTTTTTTGAGATGGAGTCTCACTCTGTCGCCCAGGCTGGAGTGCAGTGGCGTGATCTCTGCTCACTGCAAGCTCCGCCTCCTGGGATCACGCCATTCTCCTGCCTCAGCCTCCCGAGTAGCTGGGACTACAGGTGCCTGCCACCACGCCTGGCTAATTTTTTTGGATTTTTAGTGGAGATGGGGTTTCACCGTGTTAGTCAGGATGGTCTCGATCTCCTGACCTCGTGATCTGCCCTCCTCGGCCTCCCCAGTGCTGGGATTACAGGCATGAGCCACCGCGCCCAGCCTGATTAACATCTTTAGCAAACTTAAGTAAGGCTGTGTTTTCCCCCTCCTGAAGACCTTGCTGGGCTCTCTTTATTTGTTCAGGAACTTAAGAGAATTTGCACGGTCTTTTCAATTTTATGTGTGTTTATTTTTTCACAGTTATTTTGAATCTCACAATTCTTAGAGGCTTCTGGAAGTCTATATCTACCTCCACGTGCAAATTTTCCAATGTTATCTTCATCCTTGCCCTAAATATCAATTGGCTTTATTTCTAGAGGTAATGATGAGTCCATGGAATGGATATAAAATTCAATAAGATTCAAAATAATTCAAAATATAATCCATATATCCTCAGCCTCATTTGCCTGTAAAGACAAAATTAGATATTATTTAATAAGTTTTTTTACCCAACTTACTCTAGGATGAGCACCCACTTTCCTACTTGTAGGAATTAACCCTACCTCAAAGTGTCCTTCAGCCATTTTAAAGAGTTTCTCCAGGGCCTCTTGAGTTGAGAATAAGTTCTTGAATGGCTAGTCATCTTGCCAGCATACTACTTGTTCAGCTTCTATAGCAGATGGCTCCCAGGAGCTTGCTGCATCTCCAATAGTGACCACAAGCAGCAACCTATTTTGGCTTCCAGCGGGGACAATGTTTTCTGTCCTGGCTGCTGCCACCTCTGCTGATGGGGCTGAAATCTGCCTCCTTAAGGCTGGTGTGACTTGTAACTGCTGTCCTGATACTACCTGACTTCCTCCTCTCTTTCCCAATGTTTTTCCCAAGATCTGGGCAATACAGACTTTTTCATCTTGTTAGAATCGGATGTGGGAATTGAGGAGAAAGGAAAAATGAAGGATGTCTGTACTCCCCCCAACTCACTTCTCACAGAGAGTGTACTATCACCATTCACAATTATTTGCCACATGTCTGTCTTTCCCTCTAAACCACAAACTCCTTATTTACCACACAGTGCATGACTTAGACTCCTAGTCAGTGCTGCTTAACTAGTGGAATACTATGATAGACATACAAAGTACCATGAGGCAATAAAGAAAATCATCTGTCAGGATCAGATAACTTTTCCTGGAGAGGATAGGAAAAGCAGTACTTAGGACTTGATCTAGAAGGATAAGTAAGAATTCACTAGGCAGATAAGCGAAAGTGAGAGTAAAGGGTAAGTCACATAATAAAGACACTGCATGTACAGTGTGTCAAACAAGACAGAAGTTTGTTTTCTTGTCATGTAACAGTCCAGAAATAAGCAGGTAGTTCAGGTTAGGTAGGAAGCTCTAAACATAGGCCCTGTTAAAACATGGGGAAATTCTATTGCTGAAAGGAAGAAGGAGACAGTGGTTACAGCCATGCATTCCAGCTTGAGGCCTATGCAAAACTCATGAATATAAAAAAGAACAGCTTGTTTGGAGAACAGAAAAGTTCAGAATCCTGTTGAGCATGGTGGTGCACGCCTGTAATCCCAGCACTTTGGGAGGCTGAGGCAGGCAGATTGCTTGAGCCCAGCAGTTCGAGACCAGAACTAGCAACACAGCGAGACCCCAACTCCACAAAAAAATAAAAAAATTAACCAGACGTGGTGGCACACACCTGTAGTCCTAGCTACTTGGGAGGCTGAGGTGGGAGGATTGCTTGAGCCTGGGAGGTTAAGGCTGCAGTGAGCCATAGTCATGCCACTGCACTCCAGCCTGGGTGACAGAGCAATACCTGTCTCAAAAGAAAAGTTAAGTTCAGAATCCTAGGAACTAAAGTGTGAGAGACAGAACTGAGGAAATGAGGAATAGAGATAAGTGGAGGCCTCATTTTGAAGCTCCCCTGTCTCTCACCTCATCTCCTTTTAACCCTCACCCTCCCAACACACAACCACTCATTCACATCTGCTTCAGCCTTTTATCTGTCAGGATTTGATAGGCCTCAGGTTCTTTATAGGTACCTGCTCTCCCTCTACCTAGAATGTTCTTTCCCCCAGATCTTCACTATAACTGTCTCCTTCTCTTCATTCAGGTCTCAGCTCAAATTTCACCTCCTCAAAATGACCTTCCCTCACAGTGCTAGCCAAAGAAGCCCTCTCCATATCAACTTTTATTCCTATTTTAATGTCTTACTAGGATGTATCACAATCTGAAATAACTTTACTTATGTTTTTTGTTCAATGCCTATATCTTGATCTAGAAAGTAAATTCTGCCCAGGCACAGTGGCTCCTACCTGAAATCCTTGCAATTTGGGAGGCCAAGGTGGGAGAATCACTTGAACCCAGGAGTTGAAGACCAGCCTGGGTAACATGGCGAAACCCCATCTCTACAAAAAATACAAAAAATTAGCTGTGGGTGGTGCCATGCACCTGTGGTCCCGCCTACTCCAGAAGCTGAGGTAGGAGGATCACTTGAGCCCAGGCATTCAAGGCTACAGTGAGCCATGATCATCATACTATGCACTCCAGCCTAGATGACAGAGGAGACCCTGTCTCAACAACAACAAAAAAGAAAAAAAAAAACAAAAAACAGGAAACTCTGCGGAGTCAGATATATGGTTTACATCTCTGTATAGCCAGTGCCTAGAATGCTGCTCCACAAGTTTTGTTTCCTTTTTCTTTTTTTCCTTTTTTTTTTTGAGACAAGATCTCACTCTGTCACCCAGGCTGGAATGCAGTGGCACAATCTCAGCTCAATGCAGCCTCAATCTACCAAAGCTCAGGTGATCCTCCCACCTCAGCCTCCTGAGCAGCTGTGACTACAGGCACGTGCCAGCACACCCAGCTAATTTTTATATTTTTTGTTTGTTTGTTTTTGTAGAGATGGGGTTTTGTCAAGTTGCCCAGGCTGGTCCTAAACTCCTTGGCTCAAGCTATCTGCCCACCTTGGCCTCCCAAAGTGCTGAGATTACAGGTGTGAGCCACCATGCCCAGCCTAATTTTTTTAAAAAATTTTAATTGTTATGGGTACATCTACATTTTTTAACGATTGGGAAAAAATCTCAAGAAGCATAATATCTTGTGAAAATTATAAATTCAGATTTCGGTATCCATAAATAAAGTCATACTCATTCATTTACGTATTGTCTGTGGAGGCCTGGCAGATCTGAGTATTTATAACAGAAACTGTATGTCCACAAGGCCTAAGATATTTACTATCTGGCTCTTTACAGTAAAAGTTTGTCGACCCCTGGTTTAGTAATAGTAATGTACATGAAAAAGAGTAAAATTTACTTATATAAGTTGTAAAACGTGTATCTTAAAATGTGAAACTATAGATGCCTACACTGAGTTATTATGAGCTGTGCTGGCATACACATTTCTATAAATGTGCATGTTCTTCCTGGTTTTTCTCATAGAACATAGACAGTGAATAATAGGAATTCATTGCTGGCTGGGTTTTGATGCAAAAATTTCCTGTTTAAAAAAAAAATTGTCAGCCTGGCCAACATGGTGAAACCCCGTCTCTACTAAAAATACAAAAATTAGCCGAGCATGGTGGTGCACACCTGTAATCCCAGCTACTCCCAGAGGCAGACAGGAGAATCGTTTGAACCCTGGAGACGGAGGTTCCAGTGAGCCAAGATCGTGCCACTGTACTCCAGCCTGGGCAACAGAGTGAGACTCTGTCTCAAAAAAAAAAAAAAAAAAAGGTATGTGACATTTCTGACCATGAAGAATCTCATTCAGTCTCCTGGACACAGAGACAGTTATCCAGAGAAGACATCTGTGGTGAAGTAGCTAATACCCCATGCACTTGTTATCAGATCAATAACAGAGCCTGACCGGGTCTCTCTGAGCCACAACTGCCCCTGGACTGAATGGGGCATTTATCACACTGTTGTGGACAAACCAGCTGACCATCATGCACACAGGCCCAAGCGCCTGTCAATTAGCTTCTGTCCATTAGCTGTCCAAACCCACACTCTGGCCCTGGTACTGCAGTCACGTTATCAGTTCCCTCCAGACCCTGGAAGCATGATCGGCCATGAGTTCCCATCTCCTACCATGCCTCAACTCCACTTGGACAAACTGTCAGTTAATTAGCTAATGTGAACAAAACACTTGAAGCTAAAAAAATGCTCAGCTGGGCTATTATGATATTTGTCTCCTGATCCTCAACTCCCTGCAACTCCCTCCACTCCAAAGTCTGCCCACAGGACTCCTTCTATCTGTCAATAGGAAAATTACACAGGAAGTGATGGAACAGTCACCTATGTTCAAGGCCAAAGCCTCTCAATCCTCCTGACGTTGCTGCTATGGATTCAGGCAACTAGAATCATAAATCCCAGGGCCTGAGGTTTGGATTGGCTTTCCTATTTATTTTAGGCAAGGTCTGACTCTATCGCCTAGGCTGGAGTGCAGTGGTGTAACCTCAGCTCACTGAAACTTCTGCCTCCTGGGCTCAAGCCATCCTCCCACCTCAGCCACCCAAGTAGCTGGGACTACAGGCACATACCACCACGCCAGCTAATTTTCGTATTTTTTGTAGAGACAGGGTTTTGCCATGTTGCCCAGGGTGGTCTCGAACTCATAAGCTCAAGCAACGTGCCCACCTCGGCCTCCCAAGCTGCTGGGATTACAAGACATGAGCCACTGTGCCTGACCATAGATTGGCTTTCCTCTTTAAAAGGAACTAGTGGCTCAGCAGATCCAGAGTTCCCCAAATTATCAAATTTGGGATGATTTTTAATTTCTTCAGCTGGATGGCCCATTTAGAAAGTCAAAACAGCCTTTTGGAATGATTATGTGGAAATCAGCCTTATTCACTTTAAACCTTATATTCCCAGGGCCAAAACTCAATTCTTCGTCTCTCAATTCAAGCTCCTCTCGCTGCAGTGAAGGAGGAAAGCTTAGAGTCAGCAGGGACTCCAAGAGAAATCCCTGTTCAGAAAGTTGGTCTTTGAAGGACTGGGTGATGGCCGAAGTGCCCAAGGGTGCTGAAGCTTTGTGTAGTTATCAGACACCAAAACAAGAAGGTGCCCAGGGCAGACACATGTTATTCCCTTCTATCTTCCCTTCTGAAAGGTATTTCATAATACCTTTATGGAGGGGACTGAAAATAGCTGACCTCAACCATCTAAAGCCCAATTTCAGAAGAGTTAACAGCACATTTTTATTGCAATCGTATTTGGGCAATTCCTACATGCTCCCTGATAATCCTTGGGGAGCAGGTAGCACATCCTTTGTTTCTCCCTGCATTTCTATCATCACTTCTCTCCATTTCCATTCCTAAGGCTTCATCAGTACTCACTATGACAGCTGTTACAGCCTCCTGGGTCACCCCATCCCACTCCTTCTCACCCCCATTCCTGCTGATCTAAGCTGTCCTCCTCCACTGCAGTGAGAGAAATCATTTGAAAACACAATTGTGCCTATTTCACTCCCTGTCTAAAAGTGTCCAATGGCTCTCTATCATTCTCAGAATACATCCAAACTCCCTAACTTAATTAACTCACTTTAGAGTCTGCTCTCCACTTCTCACCTTCCAACATACCATGCTTGTACTCTATCAGGCAGTTTCCCCCACCCCACTTGTGACTTGCGCATGCTAGCGTCTCACGCCTTTCCTTCTTCCTGGAATGCCCTCTCCACTTCATCTTCATCCACCCTCAGAGGTCAGTCCAAGTGCCACCTCTTCCAGAAAGCCTTCCATGAGCTCACCTCTGAACTCCTAGAGCACTGCACTTGTTATTCTCTTGGGCCTGCTCTGCTTTATACAGTGGCTACTAATGTACAGCTGTTCTCTCCCCCATGGGACAGTAGGCATCTTAAGAAAGTCCTACAACCTAGTGTGTAGCATATAGCAGGTGCTGGTACATTTAGTGACTGATTAACAAACTGCAGAAGAAAGATAAGCTAAAAAGATCATGAGTCAGAGAAACAGAACTGGGATGGAGGGAGAATCACAAATCATTATCAAAAAAGAATGGTTGACAAGGTTGAAGACTAAGTTGTCATCTTAATAACAATAGATTACAGCCAGGCACAGTGGCTAACGCCTGTAATCCCAGCACTTTGGGAGGCCAAGACGGGTGGATCACGAGGTCAGGAGTTCGAGACCAGCCTAACCAATATGGTGACACCCCGTCTCTACTAAAAATACAAAAAATTAGCCAGGCGTGGTGGCGCGTGCCTGCTATCCCAGCTACTCAGGAGGCTGAGGCAGGAGAATTGCTTGAATCTGGGAGACAGAAGTTGCAGTGAGCCGAGATGGCACCACTGCACTCCAGCCTGGGCAGCAAAGTGAGACTCCATCTCAAAAATAAATAAATAAATAAATAAATAAATAAATAAAATAAAATGGCAAATAATCCCCATGGCACTCTCCTTACCTACTTTGTCTCCCCGTTACCTGCTTTAACTCCATAGCACTTATCTCCATCTGTAATACTACCTATTTTATTCATTTGTTTATTTTCAGTCTCTTTCCACTAGATTATAAATTCCATGGTCACACAGTCAGGGGCAAAGCCCAGATTCAAACTCAGTTCTGACTCCAAAGTCAGATGATAAAGTTACAGTCATGTGGAACAAAGGGAACAGACTCTCCATGGCCCTTAAAGGCAAATACCTTTCATCATAGGAAGGCTTTAGAGAGGCTAATTTTGCCTTAATATAAGACAAAATTATATTATAATAAGACTGGATTTTGAGCATGATCCAGTTGTTAGCTGGGGCTCTCTCTGCCCCTTAAGGACCAGATAAGACTGGCTCAAGCCCTCATTCCCAAAGATTCCCCAAAATATTTCCAGAGATTACAGAAAATCCCCAGGACAATTACATTGTCATCATCACCTCCGGCTCTAAGTTTCAGCTTCCACTATCTGAATTTAGCTTGTAGATCACCACACATGCCACATGTGTTATCCCCGTCCTGCACCTGGTTCTCAACCCTCTCTATGAGTACCATACACACACACACACACACACACACACACAGAAAAACAAATCACTTACCAGGGGCATTTGTTACCAAACTTCACTGTCATGAGATTTAGCATAGCCAAAGGAAACTACCCAAATTTAATACTAAATTCTTGTCATTACCTTTCTGCTATGCCGTGTTGTTTTTTACTTTCCTTTTCCTCCTCTTTTACTCTCCAGCCCTCTCTTCCTGACTCCCAGATTCTCAAAAGCAAAAACACACAAGCAAACAAAAACCTCATTTTTTTATTCAAATCATGTAGCTCTGTTCTGTCCCTAAACTTAGTTCTTTAGCCTCTCCTTTTGCACAGCCAATGATTTGTCCAAAATAGTTGGTTCATCAGATTAGGTTATTCTTATCCTTTGTCTTATTTTCAGGCATGGGGATAATTTATTTAGTTCTTCCAGTTTATGAGAAAACAAAAACCAAAAATCTCTCCTTCAGCACTGACTCTCCAGTGATGGGACAGATGACCTCTTAAGACAGTGAGTACTCCATCCTTGGATTTAAGCAAGCAAAGACTGGACTGATATCTAACTAAAATACATGTAGGTCTGTGTATAAAACATGGAAGAAGAAGATGGTGAAGATTCTTCAACTTTCAGAACCTACGATTCTGTAACAAATTAGGCACATTTGCCTTTTCTGAACACCATGCAAAACCACAGGACTTTTTCAGTTGCATATAATAGAAACCTAGCTCAAACTGTCTTTTTAAAAGGGAGGATTTGTTGCCTCATTAACAGAAAACCCAGGCAGCTGAACCCAGGAGCTCAAAAAAATCTTCAGGTATGTGTCTTCTCCATTTCTTGGCATCTCTTAACTAATGTTGACTTCCATCTCAAGTATAGGCTGTCCCCTTGAATGGCAAAGATGACCAACAGCCATCTCCAGAACTACATTTTTCAGCTTCAGTCCTCTATCCTTAATCCCGTAATAGGAGAGAGGGCGTCTGTCCCATTTATTCCAGCAAAAGGCACTCATTGCCCCACTTGGGTGAAATGCCCATCACTAAACCAATTTTTGTCATGATTGGCCAAGATAGGATTTCAGTGCCCATCCCTGGAATTCAGGTGTGGACTAGGCCCAGTTGGAACACATGGACCAAGATGGGGAGGAGTGTTCCCCAAAGGAAAATGGGGAGACCGTAACCAAAAGGAGGAGAGACTCCCAGGAGTGTAAAAAACAATAATGGCCAAACCGCATCAATGTAGTTAAGGAGATAGTCTGATCAGTAGAGGAATTCACCAGTCAGATTGGACCACATCATTGACCTGATGAAACTATGCCTCTTGGTCCTCCAAGAAACTACTAAACACCCAAAAAGTAATGATTCACTTATCAAATTTGCAAGGATTTTTTTTTTGTCAGGGTCTCACTCTGTCACTCAGAGTACAGTGGCACAATCATAGCTCACTGCAGCCTTGAACTCCTGGGCTCAAATGATCCCCCAACCTCAGCCTCCCTTAGTAGCTGGGACTGCAGGCATGTCCCACCATACCTAGCTAATTTTTTTTTTTTTTTTGTAGAGACAATGTCTCACTATGTTGCCTAGGCTGGTCTCAAACTCCTGGCCTCAAGTGATCCTCTTGCCTTGGCCTCCCAAAGTGCTGAGATTACAGGCATGAGCCACTGCACCCAGCCAAGGATTTTTAAAATGTTAATACTCAGTGCTATGTCATAAAACAGGTACATTAATATCAGGGTGATGGCATGTAATTGGCACAACCTTTCTGGAAAGCATTTTGGCAATATATGTCAAGATCCTTAAAAATATTTTGATCCTCTGATCCAGTAATTTCACTTCCAGAAAAAATTGTAAGAAAATAATCCAAGCCAGGCATGGTGGCATGCACCTATAGTCCCAGCTACTTGGGAGGCTGAGCCAGGAATATCACTGGAGCCCAGGAGTTTGAGGCTATAATGTGCTATGACTTCACCTGTGAATAGCCACTGCACTCCTGTCTGGGCAACAGAACAAGACCCAATTTCAGAAAAAGAAGGAAAGAATGTAAGCCAAAATATCAACAAAGATTCATGCATAAAGATTTTCTTCAGGCCAGGCACGGTGGCTCAAGCCTGTAATCCCAGCATTTTGGGAGGCCAAGGTGGGCGGATCACGAGGTCAGGAGATCGAGACCATCCTGGCTAACATGGTGAAACCCTGTCTCTACTAAAAATACAAAAAATTAGCTGGGCGTGGTGGCGGGCACCTGTAGTCCCAGCTGCTTGGGAGGCTGAGGCAGGAGAATGGTGTGAACCCGGGAGGCGGAGCTTGCAGTGAGCCGAGATCGCGCCACCGCACTCCAGCCTGGGCGACAGAGTGAGACTCCGTCTCAAAAAAAAAAAAAAAAAGATTTTCTTCATAGTATTTTTAGAATAGCAAAAAATTAGAAACAATTTATACGTCTAAGGGTAAGAGTTTGGTAAAATAGGCTAAGCATGGTGGCTTGAGTGGGGTGGCTCATGCCTGTAATCCCAGCACTTTGGGAGGCCCAGGTGGGGGACCACTTGAGCCCAGGAGTTAGAGACCAGCCTGGACAACATGGCAAAACCCCATCTCTACAAAAAAATATAAAAATTAGCTGGGAGTGACGGTGTGTGCCTGTAGTTCCAGCTACTCAGGAGGATCACTTGAGCCCAGGAAGCAGAGGTTGCAGTGAACCGAGATCGTCCCACTGCACTCCAGCCTGGGTGACAGAGTGAGACTCCATCTCAAATAAATAAATTAATTAATTAAATTAAAGCGAGATACAAAACTGTCTATGTGGTATAATATTAATAATGTAAAAGAAAACCACATATACCCCAAAATTTAAAAATACATGATACTCTGATTTCCATATATAAAAAATTAGAGCAGTGTTTATTTATTTTTATTTTTCCGAGACAGAGTCTTGCTCTGTCGCCCAGGCTGGAGTACAGTGACACAATCTCGACTCACTGCGACTTCCACCTCCGAGGTTCAAGTGATTCTCCTGCCTCAGCCTCCGAAGTACCTGGGATTACAGGCGTGCACCACCACACCCGGCTAATATTTTGTATTTTTAGTAGAGATGAGGTTTCACCATGTTAGTTAAGCTGGTCTCAAACTCTTGACCTCAAGTGATCCACCCACCTCAGCTTTCCAAAGTGCTGGGATTACAGGCACGAGCCACCATGCCCGACCGCACTGTTTATTTCTTAAAGGATACTTTATATATTTTTTCTTTTTATTTGCCTGTATTTTTCAAGTTTTCTACAATGAACAAACATTACTTAAACATTATTTTGGAAGTCACCTGTTCTTACCTATGAAGAATATGGCCACCCCTTTATACCACATCAGGCTGCTTCAGCCTTTTGGACACCTGAGGGAAAATGCTTGATGGATGACAGATGAAGGTTAGCGACATTTCTTTTATGTCTTAAAACCTTCCCTCAATTATCCACAGAAAGTTTTTCTCATAATTGCCAGTCCTTCTTTAGACAGAATCTATCACTTCATAACATGATGCTTTTTTAAAAAGTAAAATAAAACTGGAGAACAGAACATAAACTTGTGCTGACCCTGATATGAAAATGAATAGACAACTGGGTTTCCAGCTGCTAGTGAAGTACCAGTGCAAAAGGGATGCCCCAGCTGACCAATGCCAGAGACTGAGGTAGAAGTGCCCCCATGTCAGGCTTGCCTGTGGGAGCTGTCTGCAGGAATTCCAGCTTGCCACTTTTTGAGGTCCAAGGACACATTCTGCCTAGAGGTCCTTCAGACAAAAAGGTCTCCCTCACTGCAGGAAACAAGTGATTGTCAATGATTACTAGCTAGAGAGACAGAAAACAAGATGATGCTTCTAGGACAACACAAATGGTACCACCTCCAGGAAGCTTTCCCTGTCTCCTTCCTGATCCCTACTACTCCCCAGATGGCATTCCTCCCCCAAGGAACCATGGCCCTGGTGCTTTCCCTGCCCTCTTAGAGCAGATGTCACCATTGATGATGTGGCAACTGGTACTGTGAGAAGACGTCACACAGACCTTCATTCACCTCCTGGCTCTGCCACTCAATTCCTGAGCCTCAGTTTCCTCAGCTGTAAAATAGAGACGGTAATCTCCACAGCACAGAGCACTGTCCCCCTCCTTGGATTCTCTTTGGGAACAGTCTGACAACCCAGTCCTTGAGCTCATATAACATGATTGTGCCCAGAGAAACTGCCTGGCTGACCAGACCACAAAGGGAGATGCACTAGGACCAGCCCAGTGGTAGCAGGGGCACCCCCTACCTCTAAGGCCTTGCCAGTCAGACCTCCAGTGAGCCACAGCCAGGGAACAAACAACCAGCACTGACGAATAATACCTCTCCCATCTCTGGACAGAGTAGTTAACAGGTAGGAGGATTACAGGACTCCAATTATTGAGGATCTATCTAGGGGTGTGGTCATAGGCATGTCCAAAACTGAACTCAAGCCTCCTGCCAAATATGTTATTCTTCCTGCTCCCTGTCTCAGTGAATAGCACCACCCAGGACCCAAGCTGGAAATTAGGATATCATCCTCATACCTCCCTCTCACTCAATTCCCATTCAATTCATCACCAAGACCTGTCACTTTTACCTCTCAGCTCCATCCATTTCTTTCCATCCCAGGGCCAACACTGTGGTTCATACCACGATCCCTCTCCCCTGAGGCATTACCACAGCCTCCTCTTCACAGGTCTCCTTGACTCCCCACTGCCCCACAGGGAGCTTATCTCCTGCTTCTGCTGAAAACCCCTCAAGGGCTCTCAGGATAAAAACCAGCTTCAACAGGAGAATCGCTTGAACCCGGGAGGCGGAGATTGCAGTGAGCCGAGATTGCGCCATTGCACTACAGCCTGGGCAACAAGAGCGAAACTCCGTCTCAACAACAACAAAAAAAACTGGCCTCAATAACTCCAAGCCCCCCACCTTGCCCCAGTCTGGTCCCTGCTTACCTTTCTAACCTCGTCTCTTTCTACTTCCTGTCTTACACCTGTAGTTTCCCCAGATTTTCTGTCCTGGCTCTTACCTACCTGGTTTTGCTTATGCTATTCCCTCTGTCATTAACATCCTTCTCTTCCTCCCCACTCCCCCATCCCTTTTTTTGAGATGGGGTTCTCACTGTGTGTTCCAGGCTGGAGTGCAGTGGCATGATCATATCTCGTTGCAACCTCAAACTCCTGGGCTCACAGTATCCTCCTGCCTGAGCCTCCCAAGTAGCTGGGACTACAGGTGCATCACTATGCCCAATTAAGTTTTCTACTTTTTTTTAGAGATAGGATCTCACTATGTTGCCCAGACGGGTCTCAAGCAATCTTCCCGTCTCAGTCTCCCGAGTAACTTCCTCCCTTTGTTTCCCCCAGACCAGCTCCTACTCATATTTTGAGATTTAGCTCAGATTTCTACTCTTCCAGAAGACTTTTTGCTCCCCAGTTTGCCACACATACCCCCAAACTAGGCTATGTGTTCTTATTGCTGCCATTTAGGGAGCACTATTCAAACACCTCTGATGCCTTAACTCAACCCTCACAACACCTAGGTATTTCTATTCTTCTTCTTCTTTTTTTTTTTTTTTTTGAGATGGAGTTTCACTCTTGTTGCCCAGGCTGGAATGCAATGGTGTGATCTCGGCTCACCACAACTTCCCCCTCCCAGGTTCAAGTGATTCTCCTGCCTCAGCCTCCTGCGTAGCTGGGATTACAGGCATGTGCCACCATGCCTGGCTAATTTTGTATTTTTAGTAGAGACGGGGTTTACTCCATGTTGGTCAGGCTGGTCTCGAACTCCCGACCTCAGATGATCCGCCGTTCTCAGCCTCCCAAAGTGCTGGGATTACAAGCGTGAGCCACTGCGCCTGGCCCCTATTATTCTTACTTTACAGATAAGAAAACTGAGGCTTGGAGAAGTTGAAGCAAATTTTCCAGGGCCAAACCGTAAGTGGTTCAGCAGTGTTGAAACCCAGGTCTATTTATTTGTTTATTTTTAATTTAAACTGCTGCTTTGTCCTTTTTTTTTTTTTTTTTTTTTTTTTTTTTTTTTTTTTTGAGACTGAGTCTCACTCTGTAGCCCAGGTTGGAGTGCAGTGGCGCGATCTCGGCTCACTGTAAGCTCCGCCTCCTGGGTTCACCCATTCTCCTGCCTCAGCCTCCCGAGTAGCTGGGACTACAGGCGCCCGCCACCGCACCCGGCTAATTTTTTGTATTTTTTTTAGTAGAGACGGGGTTTCACCTGTGTTAGCCAGGATGGTCTCGATCTCCTGACCTCGTGATTCGCCCGCCTCGGCCTCCCAAAGTGCTGGGATTACAGGCGTGAGCCACCGTGCCCGGCCTGTCCTTTTATTATGAAGGTACCAAGAAAAAATAAGAAGCACTCTTTTTTTGGTCAATTTGGTGAACACACTTCATCTGGTATGCATAGGCACTCAATAATACCATCTGTCTATTCCTATGCTTATAGGCTTTTTTCTTTTCTTTTCTTTTCTTTTCTTTTTTTTTCTGAGACAGAGTCTCGCTCTGTCGCCCAGGCTGGAGTGCAGTGACATGATCTTGGCTCAGTGCAACCTCAGCCTCCCAGGTTCAAGCGACTCTTGTGCTTCAGCCCCCGAGTAGTTGGGATTACAGGTGTGCGCCTCCATGCCTGGCTAATTTTTGTATTTTTAGTAGAGACGGGGTTTCACCATGTTGGCCGGGCTGTTCTCCAACTCCTGGCCTCAAGTGATCTGCCCGCCTCTGCCTCCCAAAGTGCTGGGAGGCGTGAGCCACCACACCTGGCCAGGTCATACAAGCTTTTTACACCACAAACTGCAGTTCTCTTTTCTGAAGCTGGAGCCTCTGGAAGTACACAGCACACCCCTAGTTCGGCATGCCCTTCCCCCACCCCTCCTTCCGGTCCCCAGAAGCTTCAGGCTGTCAGGCCCTTGAGTAGTAACTGCTAGTGAGCCCACTTCGCTTCCTTGCGAGGGTACCTCGAGGATGAGAACAGTAATCGGTCGAATTCGCTAGTCGTGTCCAAACTGCGTTTAGACAGGGACAAGCAAGACAATGGAGCCGCTTTCCGGATAGGGGACGTGGATTCTACATCCTCCACCCCACGCCCCCAACCTTAAACATGCTTGCCAGCCTCAAACCTTCAAATTTTCTTTACCAAAACCCAGGCTCAGACCTCGAGACCAGGGTCCAGCCTGTTTAAGGAGCTCCCCAGACCCCGCACTTCTAGCTGCGTTCAACCAGGCTCAGGAGGTCCTTCAAGATCTTGGCTTCCTTTTCCTGACTCCGCGCCCGGCGCGGTTAATTATAGCCCCACCCCGCGACTACCTGCTTCGCTCCCACCCGCGCGCCCAGGACCCTAGCTGCGGGACTCTAGCGGGGAAGGCACCCCCAATTCTGGGCCCTGGCGACCTTGGGTCAGGGCCAGGAAAGGCACTTCCAGCCAAGCGCTGGCGCCGGGTGCGCCTCGCTTTACGGAAAGAACGCCCCGCGAATAAATCCGGAGCGGATTTGCATCACAGCAGCCGCGAGAAGGCTAGCTGCTGCCAAAGCTCCGAAGCTCTGGATGTCCCCATCCCTTCCTGGTCCAGAGACGAGGGTGTGGGGGGATGGGAAATGGGGCAGTGGGGAGGAAGCTACTGCAAGGAGGGGGTGTGCACCCTGGCCTTGAAACCTGGGTGGAGGCGCAGCTAGCTAGGTGAGGAGCAGCCTCCTCCTCTAGGCCAGATCTCGAGGTGGGCCTGGGTTCTCGTGGAGGGAGATAAGGGTAAAGGCTTTGTGTGTATGTGTGTCTTGGATTAAAGGAAACTGCCAGCCTGGAGGTGGTGAGTATAACAGCCCCCACCTCTACTGTTAAGAATCTCCCAGCTGTAGTCTCACCAGGTTCCCCCTACCTGCTCCTTCTGGGGTCCTCATATCCCTGAGGCCTGCACCTTGGTGACTACTGTGTGCTCACAGAGCACAGGCATCCTGACCTCAAGTCCTGGCCCTGGCTATACTGCTGCCCTTCAGTCATCTCACACGGCCAATCAGTGCCCGCTCTGGGCTTCCACTCACGCTGTTTCTCAATCAAGAAAGTTCTTTCCCCTTTGCATTAGCTAAAATTTTGCCCATTCTTTAAGCCCAATTTAAAAACTACCTGTGGCCGGGTGCAGTGACTCATGCCTGTAATCCCAGCACTTTGGGAGGCTGAGGACAGCAGATCACTTGAAATCAGGAGTTTGAGACCAGCCTGGCCAACATGGTGAAACCCTGTCTCTACTAAAAATACCAAAATTAGCTGTGTGTGGTGGCGCATGCTTGTAACCTCAGCTACTTGGGAGGCTGACGCATGCACTTGAATCTGGGAGGCGGAAGTTGCAGTGAGCCTAGATCACACCACTGCACTCCAACCAGGGCGACAGAGCGAGACTCCATCTCAAAAAAATAAATTAATTAAATTAAATTAAATTTAAAAAAAAATACCTATGCTATCTTCTGTGGAGCCTCTAGGAGGTCTGTGTCCCTACTTCTCTAAGCTCTTAGTATACTAAGTCCAAGCCTCTCTTTTAGCCCTGACATTTTTCTTGGTGTGTCTGCTAGTCTGTTTTCTCCATTAGGGTGCAAGCTCTCAAGAACAAGGACCACGACTGATTCAGTTCTGTGTCCTTGGTGCCAAGGGGAGTGTTGGGGACAGCAGTGGTTCTGTGTGACCCTTGGAAGGGCCTGTTCCCTCTCTGGACCTCAGACTCCTTCACCCTTCCAGTGAGGGAGCTAAATGAGATGACCCCCAGGGCTGCCTCCAGCCCTGACCCTATGAGCCAGTGACCCTATCAGCCAGTGGCTGGATTACCCAGCCTCCTTATCATAACCCAACCTTGGGCAGGGCAGAGCCGGGCTGGAATCAGGGGATCTGAAATCCTCCCACCTCCCTTGGATCAGTTAACTGAGGCAATTGTGCAAGATTGCTGGGAACCTCAAGGCAGTGAATCTGGTGTCAACACATCATGATGCTATCCCAGCTGGAAAGTCCCCCTGCCCCTGGCTCTGGAGGCCTGACAACTAGCTCCAGCTGGGGATGGTGGGGAGGGTGAACTGGCACATCCCAGAAAGTGAAGAAGCCCCCTTTACACCCCCTCCTCAACACACACACACTATCTCCAGGAACAGTGGCATAGCCCCTCAACTCCCTGAAGACCAGTTCAGGACCATTCCACTCTCCACTCCAACCTCCTCACCCCCAGTTCAGCCCAGCTATCTCCAATCTGAGCTGAGACTACCCAGAGTTCCCAAATAGAAGGAACCTTGGTTCAGCTTTTTTCACAGCACAAAAAGCTGTCAGCCCCTATTGCACTTACGAATGGAACTCACTGCCTCTCAGGGCTGCATGGACCACTTCTTCCTGAAACTCTCATCCATGGACTTACATTTTACCTATTGAAGCCTCATGGAGTAATGCTAATCTGAAACCACAGCCCTCAGATTTAGACAGACTTAGTTGAGATTCCAGTTCTGTTACTCCCTAGCTGGATGATCTTAGGCATCTTATCTACCCTCCCTGGACCTCTGTTCCTTCATCTATAAAATGGGAGCAATGATTTATACACAAAGAGTGGTGGTTGTGGGCGTAAGATTTATGAAAACACCCATCATAGGCATTGACACATTTAGGATGTCAAATGTGGGCATTATTTTTATTCCCTATTCCCTGCATTCTCCCCTGAAGCTGCCTGATACTTTTTCTGGAAGCTGGGAATGGAGATACCTGAAGCTAAAACTTCTCTGGACAAAAGCAGGAATATACAATCCTAAAAGCTGCACTTAAACACAATTTTAGACTTCAAAAGACAGCAAAGGAGATTTGAGGCCCAGAGATGGGATAGAACTTGCCAAAGTTCACACAGCAGGTATAAGTAGGTAGAACAGCAGGCAAGCAAGGAGAGGGAGGCAAATGGGCGTGTGAGTAGAGGTCAGGGCTGAGGTATTGAGCTGAATCCAAGGACAGACAGCTGAGCAAGAAGACCTTCAGCTGACATTGCCCCATTTCCCATGCCCAGCAGGGCCTGGCATTTGCCTGTCTTTGGAACTGCTCCTTCTGGGTTCCTGAGTTTGCAGTAGTTTCCCAGAAGTGCTAGGTAAATACCTTTGTTGTTTGCTGAATAACCAGCCCCAAAGATTGGACAAGGGTCCCCATACAAATTTTGCCTCAAGATTGGCTCCTTCTATAGAGATGATCAGCCCCCCTAGGCACAACCCCACCCAGGTGCTCTCCACAGGGTCCTCTATCAGGGCCTTGCTGGGAGCTCTGAACCCCACCACATGGAGTGGCTTCGGTGTGCATCATGTGGCTCAGGGCTTAGCACCTTTGAAGACAGTCTATTCCTCCCAGCCACCCCGAGAAAAGCATGGAGTATTTTCTGTTCGGTACCTTTCTTCCCAAAAAAGATAGCCATTCCAATATGATAAGAAGTCTTACTAACCTTTGGAAGGAAATGTCCTGGGCTGATGGTAACTGCAGTTATGGGGAAGCTGGAGATGCTGGGGTCAGCATATTATGCTACTTGATGATTCTTTCTTTAGGTTATGTTTTCTTTGTTTGTATAATTCTGCTTTCTCTATCCCCACCTGCTGCCCCCTGCCCCTCATCTTCAGGAACCAGAAATGTGTTCTCATGGACAAAGTCTGTCTTCTGTCTGGTTTGGTGTTTGTTTGTTTGTTTGTTTGTTTTGAGACAAAGTCTAGCTCTCGTCCCCCAGGCTGGAGTGCAATGGCATGATCTCGGCTCACTGCAACCTCTGCCTCCCAGGTTCAAGCGATTCTCTTGCCTCAGCCTCCCAAATAGCTGGGATTACAGGTACCTGCCACCAAGCCTGGCTAATTTTTGTATTTTTAGTAGAGACGGGGCTTCACCATATTGGCCAGGCTGGTCTCAAACTCCTGACCTCAGGTGATCCACCAGCCTCAGCCTCCCAAAGTGCTGGGATTACAGGCGCGAGCCACCGCGCCTGGCCCTGCCTGGTTTAAGCTTATGTGTCCCAGGCTCCCTACCTCCCCTCAGTGTTCATGTGTGGACACCTTTGCCTATCCCCAGCAGGAAATCCTCTAGTTTAGACAGCCACCTGAATGTAAGGGCTTTATTAATTGATTTCTCAAGATGTCCATTTCAAGGATATTCTAATTTTGTCATCTGGAACTCAGTAATGCCACAATTCTGAATTTCTTAGTTTCTATAACCCAGATTTTACCATGCTGGAATTCTGTGATGCTAAGATTCCATAACTGTGAACTCCATGAATCTAGAATTTCATGATTTTTTAAAATTGTGTTTAATGAATTTTGTTGGTAATAGTAGTCAGCACTCTCTTGGCCTCAGTTTTGTGTTTGTTTTCTAGAAGTTGCAAGTCTCAGCTCCAGGCTCTCTTCTCTGGGCATGCCGGTGCAGAGGAAGGTCATTTCCACCTCTCCCGAGGCTCAGGGGTTGGGATAGTACCCAGGGAAGCCCAGTCCTAGGGCCCAACACTCAGTCTACTCCCTCTCTACTGAAAACTCTTACTTGGGCTTCAGTACCTGAGGGTAGCAGGAAAAGCAGTCTCCTTTGCAGTCCTTCCACCCAGCTTCCTGTCCTCCTTGCACTGCCCCATGGTCCAGGGAGAGAAAGTTTTGTGGGAGACTGCCCTGGCTGAATGGGTAGGTGTGGGAAGAAGGGTTAAGCACTGGGCAGAGAGCCAGTGGAGGAACCAGGGGACATTCCCTAGGGAGCCCTGCAGCCTTCCCCAGAGGTGAGGAAGGAACAGAGGCCGGAAGTGGGGGTGTGGGTGAGGGCACTGGTAAGGGTGGGGTGACCGGTATTGCATTGTGGGGTTGGAGCTGGGCTTCCGGCCATTGACCTATTAGTGACAAGCGACCTCCAGCCTGGCGCCCCAGGGGCTGTCTGTTCGTGCCCTTACCCACTGACTCTGTGTTCCTGTGCCTGAGTCAGACTCCCAGGAAAATCTCGGGGGCAGGAGTTGGGGTCTGGGGAACCTATTTCTCTAGAGCGGAGCCACAGAGGCGAAGAGAGGGGCCAGGACACTCCAAGGATCAGATCAGGGCTTGGGGCAGAACCAAGACTGAAGCTCCGGGCTCCTGCCTCTAGCCCAGAGCTGTTCTCTTCACGGTCCAAAGGGTCCCAGAATTATAAAGTAATACTCCCCCAACTAGCCAGGTGGTGAAACTCAGGGCTAGAGGAAGAGCCCGTGCTAGGCTGCCTCCCAGGAGCAGCCTGGACCTTCTTCCAGTCCTGCAGCACATGGCTGAAGCTGCCAAACCCGATTTTCCAGTGGCTGCCTGAGGCTGGCTGGAGCGGGAAGCCCTCCTCCTGGCATGAACCCTCAGGCCATCATCCTCCTCCCCCTCACCTCCCGATTCGGTGGCTTGGCCTGGCCTGCTCCTCCTGCACCTGTGCCAACTGTCCCAGTGTGCCACCACTTCCTTCTCCACCTGCCTGCCATCTCCCCTGGGCTGCTCCCCAGGCACTGTGAGGTGTGGTCCAGAGCTGTCCATTTCTGAGCCTCGGTTTTCTCATCTATAGATGAGGAATAGTGGCCTGCCTCCCAGGGATTGACTACAGGAAGATTTCAAAGAAAAGTGAGGTGGTAGGGGGCAAGCAGTAGCTCACGTCTGTAATCCCAACATTTTGGGAGGCTGAGGCGGGAGGATCACTTGAGCCCAAGAACTGGAGTGCAGTGGCATGATCTTGGCTGCAACCTCCACTTCCCAGGTTTAAGTAATTCTCGTGCCTCAGCCTCCTGAGTAGCTGGGAGAACCTGTTTCTACAAAAAAAATGTTTTAATTATCTAGGCGTGGTGGCCTGCACCTGTAGTACCAGCTACTTGTGGGACTGAGGTGGGAGGATAGATTGTGCCCAGGAGACTGAGGCTGCAGTGAGCTAAGGTCAGGTCACTGCACTCCAGTATGAGTGACAGAGAGAGACCCTGTCCCTAAAAACTAGGCAGGGGAAAGGGCTGAGCCAGGTGGCTCATGCCTGTAATCCCTGCACTTTGGAAGACTGAGGTAGATGGATCACTTTAGGCCAGGAGTTCAAGACCAGCCTAGCCCACATGGCAAAACCCCATCTCTACTAAAAATACAAAAATTAGCCAGGCATGGTGGCACATGCCTGTAGTCCCAGCTACTAGGGAGGCTGAGGCACGAGAATCACTTGACTCTGGGAGAAGACGGTTGCAGTGAGACAAGATTGCGCCACTGCACTCTATCCTGGGCAACAGAGCCAGGCGCTGTCTCAAAAAAAAAAGAAAAGAAAAAAGAAACAAACAAACAAAGAAAAAGGAGATATGAGTATCATGGGCCACCAATTAGTTGGATGGTGTGTTAGTGCCATGTTGGGAGCACAGCCTAGGGTGTGAGAAGGAAGCACTGCTCTGTGGAATTCTGGAGATATGGTTGTTAGGATGAAGGGTGCAAGGTAAGGGCTGTATTCCCTCTGATTTCCTCAGGTTATCTCACCTATGGGAGAAGGAAGAACAGAGAGAGGCAGAGAACATCATCGCAAACGGAGCCCCTGTTACAAGTACTCAGAGACCTCCTCACGATTTAATGAAGAGCTTGTGTAATCTGTGTAATGTGCCTCTCACTGAGCTATAATTCCTCTGGGAAAGAACTCCCACTGCCTTGCTCACTGCTGTATCTCCAGAATTTAGTACCATCCCTGGCACATAGCAGGCACTGTTGACTGACACAGAGTTGCAGATTGAAAAGCAGAAGCAGAGGCACCTTAAGGGGTGGAGACCATCTAGGTCAGCTCAGCTAACCCAGGCCCTTCCAGCCTGAGAGCCTGGTGTTCTCAGCCACCAGGGAACTCTGGCAGGGTGGGAGAGAGTGGGCTGCACCCGCTCATCCGGGAGCCACCTAAACTGAGGTGGTGGGTGCCCTCTGGCTGCTGCTGCCTCTGGGAGCCTAGATGGGGAGGAGAATTAGGAACCTGAAGGGGGAGGGGCAGTGAAGAAGCCATCATCGCAGATACAGCTAAAAATAGCTGGAAGAGATGATGTCATCTGGTTCCCACAGCTTAGCACCCCCATCATACACACACTCGAGCACAAACACACACTCTCACAGACACAGATACACACAGACACAAGTGTGGGCATGAGTGCATGCACACACACATACTACACACTCATATAGGGGAGGGAGGCTTCTGGGTCCCAGGGCCGCAGGGGCAGGGAAGTCTGGTGAGTGTGTCTGCATGCGTGTATGTCTGTGTGTGCCTGGGTTTGCATGAGTGTGAAGGCATGTGTCTGCATCTGGGTGCTTGTGTGCTTGTGTCTGGGTGCATGCATGTTTCTGTCTGTGTTCATTTAGAGGCATGCGTATGTGTTGTTACATATATCGTGTGGGGATCTATGCATTTGTGTCTGCGTATATCTGCTTATAGTATGTGCTTGCATGCATGTGTGTGGTTGTTGCAGTATGTGTCTATGAGTTCACTTATATTTACATGTCTGCATGTGTTTGTGAACTGTGTCATGTATCTTTATATGTATGGCCCCTCTTGGGCCCTTGAGCATGGCCCAAGCACCTTCTAGCTTTGACTGATGTTCAGCAACCCCCATCCCATAACCTGAGGAGCCCAGCACCGTCTGGGCATGGTGTGTCAGTGAATTCTCTGCCTCAACCCCCCTCAGGGTCCCAGTCTCTGGCAAGAGTTGGGGTAGATAGACATAAGCACAATTCACTTTCCCTTCACAGGCAGCAAAGGACATTAGCCACACTTCCTGAACCCCAGGGGGCCAGGCCACCAAAGGTCTCAGGGTTCACTCCCTTCCCTAGCCCCTTGGGAAGGTAGCCTGGAAATGCAGCCAGATCTCGGACCGGTGCAACACGTATTAGCCCATGCATGATGCAACATATTCGAGACAGAGTCCTACAAAATGTTCCCAGCGACTAAGACACAACCCCACAGAAACCCGGTTACAGCCAGTGACACATGAGCACACACTCAGAAATCCAAATGGAAAATCCCCAGGCCAGAGAGCTTAGCACCCTCCCTACTTTCTGGGCTCAAACTCAGTCTTGCCCCACCCCTAAGCACCCCAGCTCAGCTGCCAGTTCTGGAAAACACTGACCTCAGAGAATGGTTGAAGGGCCGAAGGTAGTATGCCTTTCTCAGAATCTCACCCTTCTCCATGTTCTCCTCCTTTAGGCTGTTCCCCATCCCCCTCCTGACCTTCACTTTTCTTACCAGGGCTGATGTCCTCTCCGGCACACCCATACCCTCACAAACGCTCCTTGACACTCACAGTCAGTCACAGAGGCACATTAAATCACAAAGGCACATTCAGCCACATCTACTGATACTCCTATTCTCCCGGCCTCAGACACACACACCAGCAGCTACACCTACACGCTGACCATCACAGGCACACAGAGGCACATCCACCTCACATCCACCTCATACTTGTGTACTCTCAGGGTTCAGTCTTTCATCCTATCCCTCTCTGATCTGTGCCTCCCAATACCTTCCAAGATGTTTACAGAGACCCTTCTCCCTGTGCAGTTAGGAGTGTAAGGCAAGAGAGCCCCTACTTCATGGGGCAGATCAAGAGCTGAGACCAAAGATGGTCTATGTTGCTGACCTTGTCCTGTCCTCCTGCTGTCTTAAACTATGATCCCTGCTGCGGTCACTGAAGCCTTTCCCTGTAAGTATTCAGCCATAACCCTCCCCTCACGCCCTGCATAGTCAGCTGGTTAACACCTCTGTGTGGAATAAGGCAGTTTGAGCAGAATGACTGTATTTGTTGTTCACCACCCACACGGCCCCTAGGAGATGCAGGTCCAGGGCAAACCAAGCTTCTGGGCTAGCTTCTGGGCACTTCTAGAGGATCAGAAAAATCCCAGGTTGCCTGAGATGTCTGAGAACTGAGGAGAGGAAGGAGAGGGAAGAGTTTGAGGAAGGAAGCAGTTCTGGAAGTTCCCTGCCTCTTGGATTCAGCCCCTCCCCAAACCCTCTGCTTCCAGCCAATCCATCCTCCATTAAGGCTGTCAGCACTTTGGGGTGCCTGCCATCAGGAGTCCCCCATATATGTAGGGGTGCTATTTCACAGAGATCATCCTTTGGCGTGCCTAAACAGAACCAGGTAGGGAAATCTTCACTGGCTCTGGTTTTTTTTTTTTTTTCTTGAGACAGAGTCTAGCTCTGTCACCCAGGCTGGAGTGCAGTGGCGCGATCTTGGCTCACTGCAACCTCTGCCTCCCGGGTTCAAGCAATTCTCCTGCCTCAGCCTCCCAAGTAGCTGGGACTAAAGGCGTGTGCCACCACGCCCGGCTAATTTTTTTTTGTATTTTTAGTAGAGATGGGATTTCACCGTGTTAGCCAGGATGGTCTCGATCTCCTGACCTTGTGATCTGCCCGCCTTGGCCTCCCAAAGTGCCGGGATTACAGGCATGAGCCACCGCACCCAGCCTAGTGGCTCTGTTTTTTAAAACCCCACCCTGGCTCACAGGCCCCCTGGCTAACCTTGAGGTGGGAAGATCCACACTATGGTGGTGTCAGTGTGGGTGTTGTTGATACCCATGGCCCTGGTGGCAGGATTGATGGCTGCACTGCTGGCAGTTCGACCTCGGAGACCCTGTTGATATCTTCTGCGGCTACACTTGAACATCCTGGGAAATCGGGGCCTGGGCCAGCCCATACCTGGCCTGCGGTAGGGGGAACGCATGCCCTGGGGCCGAGGGCCACGGACAAGCCGAGATGGCCCCATGGGCACAGGGAGCTTCTGCAGTGTGCCTGGGGGGTGCTGTTGGCCAGGGTAGCTGAGGCCTCTATGACATACAAAGTCTGCATAAGGGCAGGGCCCTTTATTACAAGTCGTGGGCCCTGGCCCCTCCTCATGGGTCAGGCTCCTTCACAATCTTCTTTATTGGGTCTGGCCTAAAAGCCAGCCCAAGAGCCAGACAGCCTCAGTTTGGCCCCTTGGGAAAAGAGGCCCTAGAGGCGGAACTCACTTCCTCACTTTCTCACTTATCCATATAGTAACAATATTAACAATGTTTTTTGAGCACTTACTACGTGCCAGACACTGTGCTGAGCACTTTACCAACGTTATCTCATTTAATCTCAGCTACTTTACAAGGATATGCCATCATTATACCTATTTATATACAGTCAATTCTCATTATTCCCAGTAATGTTCTATAAAGTCGCCACAAACACTAAATACTGAACAAAGGGTAAATGCAAGGTTAGGTTCCTGAAACCCTCTGGTCACAATATTTTTGTCAACTGATCTATACATATAACCTGATTTTATGTGTGGAGACACCTTATTTAATATATATTGTTGGCCAGGCATGGTGGCTCAAGCCTGTAATCCCAGCACTTTGGGAGGCCGAGGTGGGCAGATCACCTGAGGTCAGGAGTTCAAGACTAGCCTGGTTAACATGGCAAAACCCCATCTCTACTAAAAATACAAAAATTAGCTGGGTGTGGTGGTGGGTGCCTGTAGTCCCAGCTACTCAGGAGGCTGAGACAGGAGAATAGCTTGAACCCAGGAGGTGGAGATTGCAGTGAGCCCAGATTGCACCATTGCACTCCAGCCTGGGCAACAAGAGTGAAACTCTGTCTCAAAAAAAAAAAAAATATATCTATCTATCTATCTATCTATCTATCTAACTATCTATCTATATTTGAGTCATTGACATTGAACTCACAGCCAACAGCATTATAACTTGTGCCTGAATGAAACTTATCTAAAGCACATATTTCCCCTATAAGGCACATCACAGCCTTCTTGCACTTAGAAAGACTAGAGAGCACTTCAGCACTACAACTGGGGACCATTTTAGACAGTAAAATCACCAGCAAAAAACACCAAAAAATGTGAGAATATGCGTCACTAAATAGACCACCAAAAAGCACATTTGTTTACTCTATGAAAACTGAAATAAGAAGACAGAGAGTCCTCTTGCTCAACAGACCTCAGCTGGAAATACGTGTGTTGGACGGCTGAAATTTTTTGCCTTTCTGCTCATGTCCATGAATGACTGCAAAAGTACCACAAGTACTGGTTTGGGAATTACAAATAAATTTCAGTAAGCAGGCAAATTCACAGGTATGGAATCTGTGAATAAGGAGGATCCACTGTATAAGGAAACTGGGGCTCAGTGAGGTGAAGTCACACAATTAGAGGCAGGCAGGAAGCAAATCCATGATGATCAAGATCCAAAACCCAGAGCACTTAACTCTCATTATTCTGCACTCATTCACTCAGGAAATGTTCACTGACAACTTCTTATGTGCCAAGCACCAGGGCCATAGATGAATGTAATCTGGTCCCAATTCTTCCTGAGAATGAAACAGAAAGGTTCCAGGTGCGGTGGCTCACGCCTGTAATCCCAGCACTTTGGGAGCCCGAGGTGGGTGGATGACTTGAGGTCAGGAGCTCGAGAGCAGCCTGGTCAACATGGTGAAACCCTGTCTCTACTAAAAATACAAAAATTAGCTGGGTGTGGTGGTGTGCACCTATAATACCAGCTACTCAGGAGGCTGAGGCAGGAGAATCGCTTGAAACTGGGAGGCGGAGGTTGCAGTGAGCCAAGATTGCGCCACTGCATTCCAGCCTGGGCAACAGAGTGAGATTCTGTCAAAAAAAAAAAAAATAGACCTTCTCCTTCTCCTTCCACTCCTCAGTCCCTTCTTCCTTTCCCCCTTACTCTGCTCCTCAAATGCCCCCTTCCCAACTTCATCCTCCTTTCTGTTTGTGGAGGACTCTGTGGCACCCTTAGTACCACCCTCACAAACCTCATCTTTCCCCCATCCCCTCCTCCAGCCTCTACTCTTGCCATCCTCAGTCTTAAAATATGACCTTGCTTCCACCAACTTCTAGCAACTGTAACTATAAACCGACCTGCCCCTGCTCCTCCTCTTCCTCAGGTCAGACCAAGGCCTCTTCCCTTGCTCTTTATGGAAGCCAGCCTTGTCTGCCTCTTTAGAGATTCCATCAGTGTAGACAGTCTGCTTGGTGGTTAAGATGTAGACTCTGGTGCCAGACTAACTGGGATTGAATCCTGGCTCTGCCACTTACAGGCTTTGTGATCATGGCAAGTACCTGACCCTTTGGTGCTTCTATTTCCCCATATTTAAAAATGGAGATCAGAAAGTCTATCTCATGGGATGGTTGTGAAGAGGAAAAAAAGCCTTAATATATGCAAGACATTTAAAATAAGATCAGTATTATTAGTGTAGTCTGTAATACTATTAGCCCCTCTCTCTTCTGTCTCTTCAGCTGCCTCCTTTCACTATAAAAACAAAACAAACTTAGAAATCCACTTCCTCAGCTAGGCACAGTGGCTGATGCCTGTAATCCCATCACTTTGGGAGGCTGAGGCAGAGGATTACTTGAGCCCAGTTCAAGACCAGCCTGGATAGCATAGCAAGACCTCATCTGTTTAAAAAAAAAAAATTTGCTTGAGTGCCGGCAAATACCTGTGGTCCCAGCTACTTGGGAGGCTGAGGATCATTTGAGCTCAGGAGGTCAAGGCTGCAGTGAGCTGTGATGTTGCCACTACACTCCAACCTGGGCAACAGAGCAAGACCCTGTCTCAGAAAAAAAAAAAAAAAAATCAACTTCCTCCATCTCATAGCCCCACTGCCTGTGACTCTCTCGACTTTGACCTTCTTGCTCTGTGCTCATTCCCTACTGTCCCTTCCTTCTAGAGCAGGAAGAAAATCTCATTTGAAAAGCCCAGAACTATTCTGTTACACAGAAGACCAGGAAAGAGAAGTTTAAAACCAAGTCTAAGAAAAGTCCCCAGGGTCACACAGTTCATAAGCGACAGAGCCAGGATTCCAGCACCTGGTCTGAATGACCCAGAAGCCAGGACTTTTCCCCCGCACCTCTACATCAGGCGTGCTGGAGCAGGAAGCGGTCAGGCAGCCCCACTAGGAGTAACAAAGATGGGATCACAGAGCCTTGGAACTGGGGGTGGCTCCTTCATGAGACCATGGTGCCACCTACTGGCAGAAAGAGAAGGGGTGTACACAGAGCGCTAAGAGAAGACTGGGAAGGAGAAAAAGAAAAAGATGGGGAAGGAGAGGAGATGGAAAGATGAAGGGAGGGGAAAAATGGGGAATGTGAGGTTTCATGGAGGGAAGAGGATTAGGAACTATTTGCTACTCGCAGGAGAGAGCGGAAGCTGCCAAATCTCAGTCATTTCCTTGAAAGTGAGTGAGAGACAGAGAAAGAGAAAGAGGGAGTGTGTGTGTGTGTGTGTGTGTGTTTGTGTGTGTGTGTGAGTGAAAGAGATACTTAAGTACGTACATCAGATATTATTCTGTTGTTTGTTAGTTGCTGGGAGTCAGTCCACAAAGAATTTAGTGTGCGTGTGTGCGCACGGACGCACACACACACATGCATTCAGGAACACTAGCACATGTTTATGTATGTAACTGGGTGCTTGCTGTATGAACATATGGATGGCAGCATGAGCAGATGCATGTGCATGTGAGCATGAGCACAGAGGGTATGTATGAGTGTATCAGCAGATGCAGGGTAAGAAGCACATTACACTGTTGTGGTGGAGGGCACGCAGACATTCTGGGAAGCCACTTGCCCCACCCCTGGGCTGCTTCTTCTTGAGATCAGGAGGGGCGTTGCCCAGGGCTGGTGTTGCCAGGTGGAGGCCTGCTGAGGCAGTGGTTGTGGGGATCGGTCTCCAGGCAGCAGGGGGCAGCAGGGTCAAGGAGAGGCTAACTGGCCACGGGTGGGGCCAGCAGGCGGGCAGAAGGAGGCTTTAAAGCGCCTACCCTGCCTGCAGGTGAGCAGTGGTGTGTGAGAGCCAGGCGTCCCTCTGCCTGCCCACTCAGTGGCAACACCCGGGAGCTGTTTTGTCCTTTGTGGAGCCTCAGCAGTTCCCTCTTTCAGAACTCACTGCCAAGAGCCCTGAACAGGTAATGGGATAGGGATACAGATTATCCTGTGAAGTGATATCGATCTGGAAACAGGTCTGGGGAGCTGGAGGGGCTCTAGTGAGGGTTCTGGGAGGGTCTGGGGTTAGTGTGGGGGGGAGCACAGGATATACAGGTGCTAGGAAAGAGCATGGAGTGACCTGCAGTGTGGGAGTCAGGCTGGGTGTGCAGGTGGAGGAACCTGGGGTGTTAGGATCTCAGAGTGTCAGGTGCTGGTGGAGGTCCTGGGTAGTATAGAGGGGTAAGGGTGTTAGGATAGAAACTGGGAAAAGGTCTGTGTCAGACCAGGTACAGGAGAAGCTTGGTGAGATATGGGTTCAGGATCCTGGGGTCTGGCATATCTGGCTGAATATCTGAAGCCAGGGCCAGCCCAGGTGGGCCCAGGGGAAACAAGGCCCTAACTTGCACATGTCTACCTCCCAGGAGCCACCATGCAGTGCTTCAGCTTCATTAAGACCATGATGATCCTCTTCAATTTGCTCATCTTTGTAAGTACGGACATTGTGGACTCTTTGGGGCTCCCTATAGGAGCAGGTCACAAGCTGAGTAGAGACTAAGCTGGGGAATGGGAGACTGCTATGCCCAGGCTTCGTCCTGCATGTGTCCCCTTATGAGTGGGATGCAAAGGTCTCCCCAAATGCTGCTGATTCCTAGTCCCAGCAGCAGCCAGGCTGCCATACAGGTGCGTGTGTGAAAAAGGGGATGGAGAAGCTAGGGGCACCCCCTCTCTCCTACAAAGCTTTAGCCTAGGCTTCAGGCAGGGCAGAGTAAGCTACCAGGAATGATTCTCCACCCTTTATAGGCACTGGGGGCCCAGAAAATAGAAGGGCTCCACCCAAGTTTACCTACCACAGAAGGAAATTCAGTACAGAGGAAATTCTTCTGTATGACGGGGAGCTGAAAGGAGGGAGGGCCTACCTCTCATCAGAGCAACAGTCCTTATTCATTCGACAAACATTCATTGTCTAGGATACCATGATGGGTGCTGGGGTGGCAGGTAAGCAAAGCCTTTCTCTGCCCTGAAGGATCTCAGCTCCGATAAGCCAGATAGGCAGATAATAACAACACAGTGTGTTTGGGCTTAGGACGGAGGTTATGGGAGCCTGAACTCAGCCTGGTTGGAGAATACTTCCTGGAGGAAATAGCTGAAGCTGGGAAATTGCACTTGGTGGGGGAGTTATAAAGCATGCATAAAGGGCCAGAAGTAGTGAAACTTGATATCGTTCAGAAAACCAGAAACAGATTGCATAGGGCATGTTTGAGAAGCTGAGCCATGAGGCGTAAATCCTGGAGATGGTGGTGGAGATAGGGAGAAACGGACAAAGTGGACAAAGGACAAAGCTCTAGGATGATGGCTGAGGGGTAGAAGAAGGGGCAAGGGAGACAGAGGTCTTGGAGATGACGCCCATATCTCTGGCATGAGCAACCCAGATGGCAGGGGGTGGGGCCTGGTTTGTGGGAAGGGGTGTCCCACTAGCAGATGTGTACCCAGTGGAGGTGCAGCTCAGATTGGAGCTGGCCATGGGTATTTGAAAATCATGTGCGCACAGGTAGCCACTGAAGCCATGGGAGTGGATGAGAACACTTGGAAAGTGAACTCTGGGAAACCCAATTTATTAGGGATAAGCAAAAAAAAAAAAAGCCACTGTGAAGGAGATGGAGAAGGAGCAGTGGGAGGGGGAGAGGAAAACAAGGAGAGTAGTACACTAACCACATTAGAGTAGGTTAGTGTAAGTGAAAGTGAGGAAGTGGGCCAGGTGCAGTAGCTCACAACTGTAATCCCAGCACTCTGGGAAGCTGAGGCGGGCAGATTAGTTGAGCTCAGGAGTTCGAGACCAGCCTGGCCAATATGGTGAAACCCCGTCTCTACTAAAAATACAAAAATTAGCTGGATGTGGTGGCGCATGCCTGTAATCCCAGCTACTTGGGAGGCTGAGGAAGGACAATCACTTGAACCCAGGAGGCGGAGGTTGCAGTGAGCCAAGATCACACCACTGCACTCCAGCCTGGGCGACAGAGTTTATGTATGTATTGATTAGTTTAGAAGCGTGGGTAGACTCTCTAGTTCTGATGTGGTCTGTGCCTTGGGCTTCCTTCGGCTGCAGGGAACTTGTGTTTTTGTTGTTGTTGTTGTTGTTGTTTGTTTCTTTGAGACAGGATCTTGCTTTGTCACCAAAGCTGGAGTGCAGTGGCATGATCATGGCTTACTGCAGCGTCAACCTCCTGGGCTCAAGGGATTCCCCTACCTCACTCAGCCTCCTGAGTATCTAGGACTACAGGAGTGTGCCACCATGCTCAGCTAATTAAAAAAAATTTTTTTTGTAGAGGCGGTCTCACTATATTGCCCAGGCTGGTCTCGAACTCCTGGACTTAAGTGATTCTCCCACCTCTGCCTCCCAAAGTGCGGGGATTACAGGCATGAGCCACTGTGCCAGTCCTGAACTAGTCTTTATCCCTGTATCTGGAGGAAGCAATAGGATTCCAGGGATTTGGACAGGAGAGGCTCTGCCCTGAGAGGGTTAAAGGCAAATCCGGTTTGATTTCTGGCCTCTGTTACCCAGACCTTGCCAGGCTGGGCAAAGCAGGATAGGGCAGACCTCCAGCTCCATGAAATTTGACCCTGCAGGCTAGAAGTCCAGCTTTCTGTCCTTGGGCAAACATGCCTGGAATCCAGCCACAATCTGCCACCTCACTTCCCGTTCTAGCCTCAGTTTTTATAGCTGGCAAGTGAGGACTAGTCACCAAGGTGGTGTCAGGCTGATTCATCCACTGAAGCCCTGGGCCGGGAGGCTTTCCTCTAAGATCTGTGGGAACTGCGCAGGGCCCTCCTCAATCTAGGCCTCAGAATTCCCCCTGAGGTTTGGAGTTGAGCTAGACAGCCTTTAAGAGAAGCTCTGGCTGTATTCCCACTGGTACCTCACTTTCCTCTTGTGAGGCAAGGAGGTCTTGTCTACATGAGGGGCGGGCCTGAAGTTGGATTCTGGAGGGGAGCCAAATGGGGCCTCAGGTGGGTGAACCTTCTCAACCTCCTCCCTCTCCAAGGTTGCCAGCAGGTGGAACCTCAGCCTCGCCTCCATTACTATGGTGACTATTGAGCCTGTTCTGCTACCACCCCCGTCTCCACCTATCAGAGGACAGAGGTGTTCTAGGCACCCATAGCCCAGAAAGGAAATAGGAGGCTGGGCCCTCACCTGCCTGTTTTCAATCCTAGCTATGTGGCAGGACCCTGGCAGCAGTGAGGGAAAGTCTTGCCCCTCTGCCCACCCTGAGGATATTTCTAGAACCCCTGATCTCCTTTATATCTGCCCAGGTGTGCAGCCTGGTCCTAGCTATGCATATCCCAGCTCCCATTTTTCTGGCTCTAGAGGATGTTTCCCTCCTTACAGGATGAGGTTTTAGACTCCCTAGCCAATAAAGAGGGAAGTTTCTCGGCTCCCATCCTTCTTACTCAGCTGTGTGGTAGTAAGCTACTTGCCAGCACTGTTTAAGGCCTGCCTGACCTCTCTCTCCCCAGCTGTGTGGTGCAGCCCTGTTGGCAGTGGGCATCTGGGTGTCAATCGATGGGGCATCCTTTCTGAAGATCTTCGGGCCACTGTCGTCCAGTGCCATGCAGTTTGTCAACGTGGGCTACTTCCTCATCGCAGCCGGCGTTGTGGTCTTTGCTCTTGGTTTCCTGGGCTGCTATGGTGCTAAGACTGAGAGCAAGTGTGCCCTCGTGACGGTGTGTGAAACCCAGCTCCACAGGCTGATGACCAAGAGTCCCCTCGCCCTTGACACCAGGCCCTGGGATTCCCAAACCCTGCTTTGGACCCCCCTAGGCTCAGGCTTCTGTCTCACTTTTCCGGGGGGGGGATTAGGGCAAGGAGGGCATGAGGGACTGTCTCTCCCTAAAACCCAGACCCCTGTTCCCCACTCAGTTCTTCTTCATCCTCCTCCTCATCTTCATTGCTGAGGTTGCAGCTGCTGTGGTCGCCTTGGTGTACACCACAATGGTGAGACACTGGGATGGAGGAAGGGAAGAAGATTGGGCAAAACCCTGGGAGTGGGCTGTGGCCTGTGAATGGCCACCTTCTGTACCAGCCCCTAAACACTGGCCTGCCTCACCCAGGCTGAGCACTTCCTGACGTTGCTGGTAGTGCCTGCCATCAAGAAAGATTATGGTTCCCAGGAAGACTTCACTCAAGTGTGGAACACCACCATGAAAGGGGTAAGGTTGGCTGGGGGAGGTTTTAGGGTGGAGAGAAAGAAGCAAGGCCCCACCTCCACCCTCATCTTGTCTCCAGCTCAAGTGCTGTGGCTTCACCAACTATACGGATTTTGAGGACTCACCCTACTTCAAAGAGAACAGTGCCTTTCCCCCATTCTGTTGCAATGACAACGTCACCAACACAGCCAATGAAACCTGCACCAAGCAAAAGGCTCACGACCAAAAAGTAGAGGTGTGGGCTGGCATGAGTGGGTGGGGACTGTTTTCATGGCCTCAGAGTGGCAAACGGGGATGGGAGTAGGGCAGCTGCCAACTATAAATGCTCTTTTCTCTTCCTGAAGGGTTGCTTCAATCAGCTTTTGTATGACATCCGAACTAATGCAGTCACCGTGGGTGGTGTGGCAGCTGGAATTGGGGGCCTCGAGGTAAGCAGATGAGGAGGCTGGGACTGGGACATGGGCATGAGACCAGGGCTGCTCAACCCATCTGAGGCCTCTCTGGAGGAAACAGACTTCTAACTGGGCCTCAGGTAGGGTGTCTGTGGGACAGGCTTCAGGATCCCTATCATGTTCCCTCATCTCTCCCTGTTCCTCCCTCTCCAGCTGGCTGCCATGATTGTGTCCATGTATCTGTACTGCAATCTACAATAAGTCCACTTCTGCCTCTGCCACTACTGCTGCCACATGGGAACTGTGAAGAGGCACCCTGGCAAGCAGCAGTGATTGGGGGAGGGGACAGGATCTAACAATGTCACTTGGGCCAGAATGGACCTGCCCTTTCTGCTCCAGACTTGGGGCTAGATAGGGACCACTCCTTTTAGGCGATGCCTGACTTTCCTTCCATTGGTGGGTGGATGGGTGGGGGGCATTCCAGAGCCTCTAAGGTAGCCAGTTCTGTTGCCCATTCCCCCAGTCTATTAAACCCTTGATATGCCCCCTAGGCCTAGTGGTGATCCCAGTGCTCTACTGGGGGATGAGAGAAAGGCATTTTATAGCCTGGGCATAAGTGAAATCAGCAGAGCCTCTGGGTGGATGTGTAGAAGGCACTTCAAAATGCATAAACCTGTTACAATGTTGCCAGTTGGACTCTTCATGTATCCTTGGGGAGAGGGGCCTAAACTGGCCACGGATTCCTGTGGGGCTGCCAACTCAGAAGGCCCTGGAAAGGAGGGAAGTAGGGTGGGGTTGGGGGTCAGAAGTGGTTATTTCTCCCCTTCATTTGGGTTCCAGGCCTTGGAGGGAAACTAAGAGGGATGGCTGAGAGGGCATGAAGAAGTACAGTTGGGTTAGGCCAGTCTGCCTCCTTATAAAGGGGAGAACTTTGGACTGAAACTACCCCCTCCTGGGTAGGGGCACTGGACTGGAAAGCTATGAAAATAACAAGCTTGTGACGAATTCTTACCAGGGCAATGGGAAAGGGTCACTCCTTAGGTTCTGGGAAGCCCTTCAGGAGCCCCCTTCCTAGGGTCCAGGCTGCCTGCCTTTCCCACTCAGGCAAAACCCCAGATCTGTCCCTGCTTCTGGGATCTCAGCAAGCACTTCATTTTTTCGTTGCTGCTGGCCTACCTGGTGTTCTTCAGACCTCACCTCTTTTTCTTTTCTTTTCTTTTTTTTTTTTTTTTTTTGGGACAGAGTTTCGCTCTTGTTGCCCAGGCTGGAGTGCAATGGTGTGATCTCGGCTCACTGCGGACTCTGCCTCCGGGTTCAAGCAGTTCTCCTGCCTCAGCCTCCTGAGTAGCTGGGATTACAGGCACCTGCCACCATGCCCGGCTAATTTTTGTGTTTTTTTTTTTTTTTTTTTGAGAGAGTCTCGCTGTCGCCCAGGCTGGAGTGCAGTGGCGCGATCTCGGCTCACTGCAGGCTCCGCCCCCTGGGGTTCACGCCATTCTCCTGCCTCAGCCTCCCGAGTAGCTGGCACTACAGGCGCCCGCCACCTCGCCCGGGTAATTTTTTGAATTTTTAGTAGAGACGGGGTTTCACTGTGTTAGCCAGGATGGTCTTGATCTCCTGACCTCGTGATCCACTCACCTCGGCCTCCCAAAGTGCTGGGATTACAGGCATGAGCCACCGTGCCCGGCCACGCCCGGCTAACTTTTTATATTTTTAGTAGAGACAGGGTTTCACCATGTTGGCCAGGCTGGTCTCGAACTCCTGACCTCAGGTGATCCACATGCCTCAGCCTCCCAAAGAGCTGGGATTACAGGCGTGAGCCACCTCACCTGACCTAGACCTCATCTCTTCTTTAGCCCTAACTATCCCTATGCTCCAGGTAGGAAACTAGGGATCGGAAAGGCCAAGATACTTGCCCCAGTCCCACAGGCTTCTGTGAAGAGCTCAGCCTAGATTTGGGCCCAGAACTCCAGCACCTGGTGTAGTCCTGGCTGACATGGTACTAGTTCCACTTGAAGGGGCAGCTGGCCAGAATGTCTGATATAGACCTGATCACTGTTGAGCCAGGAGTGAGAGGCCTGAGGGAGGCTATGGCAAGAGGGTACAGTGTCTGCTACCAAGCAAAGCCCAGCCTAACAAACCAGTCCCCCTCCTTACTTCCCTTTGACCCCTGTAACTCTCTTCCTGAGCTTTTCCAGGGCAGCCCAGAACCACCACCCCCTTGCTGAGCCCAGAAAGGAAGAGGGACCTGGCCAGAACCAAACAGTGCCTTAGAGCTGGTCTGTGAGGGCCAGACCAGGAGCCTGCTAGGGTGCGGGACAGGGGGAGGAGCTAGCCTGCCTCACCCCTTCACCACCATACTGTGCCTCTCACACTTCTCCTCTGCCGTGTGCCTGTGTGGAGGCTGCATGGGATTTGTTTGCCCAGGGCGGGCCTCTACCTCATCATGGGCTAATTGCTGCTCAACCTGGCTGTTGTGCCACCTCAGGCACTATATCCAGCTCCAACAAACACTGAAGGCGTCAGGGTGGCGAGATATGTCCAAGCGACATACCACCCATGCTGTCACCGAGTTGGGCTCCAAGCACCTGTGAAAGAGGCAGGGCAGAGAGCAGGCAGGAGGGCTGGAGTTCCAGCTGGAGTTCTGTACTTGTACAGAGGCAGGCAGACCCTTTCTGAAGAGGTGCTCCACACTCATCCTCCTGACATTAGGCCCTTCACAGATCCCTTAAATGTTCTTTTCCCTGCCGTAGGCTTTCTCATTCACTCCCTCTGGACAATCCCATCCATTTTCTGGTGCCCCTATGACTAACTTAGATCTTCCTAACCTCTTTGGGTTACTGGCTATGTGAGAATCTGATGAAGACCATGACCCATTTCTCCACAAAAATGCCCAGATAGAGAATTCTGAATAGCAAAGTGCTCTAAGGGCCATAGACACCCTTGCTCCTACATCTCCATCTGCACCCTAGCCCGTCTCTTGAATGATGCCTGCCCAGTCCTGTCCCATCCACTTCCTTCCCACCCCTACTATGCACACCTGCTCTCTCATTTCCTCTTCCAACTCCCCAGTATCCCTTTTTGTTCTCTCCTGCTCTGTCTCTGGGGACAGGTGCCCGGCCCAGGCAAGATAAGCAGGAACCCGGCTGGTGGTTAAACGGTGGGGAAGAGGTAGGGTGGCTGCTCCAAGCCTCAAGTAGGGCGGGGCTAAAGTCAAGCTGTCCTAGGGTAGAGTTGGGGAAAAACCTTGGAGTTTGAGACTCAGGCATCCCCTGGTGGCCAAATGGCCCCAAATGGAAGATAAACTCTGTGGAGGACAGTAAGGAAAACTCACCATCCAACACAAGTATTCTCTCCACCACTTCCCTCCAGCACCCCCCTGACACACAAAATCACAATCACAAGACATCCCCAGAGGGCTTCTCCTTTTTTAATCAATGACCAACTTATCCAGCTTTGGAAATCTGGACAAAGAGAAGGCTGAGAGGAGGCCTGGTCCAGTGTCTAAGGGTCTCTGAGTGAGTCTGTGTCAGCATGTGGGCCCCAGCTGGGCCTGTCCATGGGTTGGGCACAGCAGTTTCCTGAGTAAGAGCCAGCCCCACCCTCAGGGCAGCATTCCAGCCCAAAAAGAAATCCAGGCCCTCCAGGTTCGGCCTGTTTTCAAGGCCCTCAGGACAGTCAATAAATAGGTTAGATTCTGAGCCAGGCCTGGAAAGTGAGGGTATTCAAAGGGCAGGATGAGCTGCTAGGGATCGTAATGATTCCCAGGTACTCTCCTGCCCTTCTCCAACAAGGAAGTAAATAAATAGACTTTTAACTCAGGAACGGGGTGTTGGAGCAGGGGAACCCTCCCCTTGGAGTTAGTAATTAAGTCTCATGTTAAAAACAAGGTAGCCCCAGCCCCTACCAGCATCTACAAAATCCTACAGGATGGAGGGAAGGGCTAGCCAGCCTGGGGGTACACAGTACCCAGCCCCGCAGGGTCCTGGAGGAGGTCTCATGTCTGTTCTGGGGCTCCTGGGGCTCCCTCCTCCTTTGGGGGTGGCTCCAGGAAAATTGGGGTGACTGAGGGTGGCTTCTTCACTCTGGGAAAATAATACAAGAATGTATAGAGAAGAAGCCATTAGCTATATCCCTGGATCTCACTAGGCCTCCTGTTTCCCAGGGCAGAAAAGGGTCACTCACGAGTAGGGGGAAGCCGGGACCCCCACCATCAGGAAGTGGTTCTTCTTCCGAAACAATCTCCACAGGCCCCGATGGTTGCCACGCACATCCAGGTCCCAGATATGGAGGCACTAGTGAGGGTGGGATGGAGACAGAGACATGGGTCAGAGAGCTGTAGGGAGGGGTCACTGACGACCCTTTGGCCCAGCCCCCACCCCTCCTCAGAAACCACCTCAATTTGTAAGAGATAGCATCTTTTAGAATATGAATTTGGACAAGGAGGTTGGAAGAGGTGTTCTAAGAGTATAAAGAGGAGGTTCTGAGGTTGAAGATTCCAGAGCAAAGGCTCCCTGGATCTTGGGGCAGTATGTGTGTGAGGGGGAGGGGTTCTCCAGGGTGGGCATGGTATTGGAGCACCTTGGCAAGCTGGGTCCAGGTGGTGAAGTCATCATCTTTCTCCATTCGAATAAAGGCCACGTAGGTGTGGCCCTCTGTGTCTGGCAGGAAAGAGTCTTCACAAGGGTTCTTGCTGTGGTCCAGAACCTCAGCCTCACTGCAGTAGAGGGTGGGAGAATATAGCCAAGACAGGGCCCACTTCATGGGTGTGTCCCACAGGACCCTGTACTTGGTTGAATGCTCTGCTGTTGCCACCTTGAAGTTCTTTTTTTTTTTTTTTTTTTGAGATGGAGTCTTGCTCTGTCGCCCAGGCTGGAGTCTCCTGCCTCAGCCTCCCAAGTAGCTGGGACTACAGGCGCCTGCCACCACGCCCGGCTAATTTTTTGTATTTTTAGTAGAGACAGGGTTTCACCGTGTTAGCCAGGATGGTCTCGATCTCCTGACCTCATGATCCACCCACCTCGGCCTCCCAAAGTGCTGGGATTACAGGCGTGAGCCACCGCGCCCGGCCTGAAGTTCCTAATGTTTGAGATGAGGGCCCTGATTTTCATTTTGCACAGGACCCTGTAAATTATGGGGCCAAGATCCCCAGTATTTGACTCTTTGCTCCCTGCTACACCCCAATTGTCCTAGGCCATACCTGAGCAGCCTGTGAACTTCCACTTCATAAGCTTCTTTCTTCAGACTGAAGAGGAGGGAGAAATGGGTCAGGGGAGTGGGCAGGCCCTCAGGTCCCATGGGTAGCACTGAGCAGGGCAAGGGGTCACATGGGAATCTGTAGCCGCAGGGCTGGAGTAAACACACAGGCCCAGCATTGGAAGGGACTTTCAGGGACTGGCCTCCAAATCTCCTAGATATCCACCCCTTGCCCTGCTGCCAGCCCCAACCTGTCCACATTCCTGAGCTGGACACCTGGAACCGTGTTGAACTTGTGCTTCTTGAAGTAGGCCTCCTGGAGTGGGTATGAGAGTGAAAATCAGCACCTCACATTGTCTGGCCCACACCCACTTGCTGACCAGCCAGACATCTATAAGACACACAAATGAAGTCCTAGACCTGTAAAGAGCCCTCTAATTTCCCACCGTCTTCTCCATCCTCTTTGCAGCATCCTCAGCAAGCTCTTACTAGCTTTAATTTGGCCTCCACCATTGCTGGAGAGCTCATGCTGTCACGGCAGCTCACACTACTGCACCACAGACCCATGAACTAGCAGTCCCTGCCTCTTGTAGTTCTCCCTGGGCCTGCTGTTCTAGAGCCACAGATGTCAGAAACAGGCCCTGCAGGAGGTGGTGGGCAAAGGGACGGGCTGGGCTGGGAAGGAAAAAACTACTTTGACTCTGGTACTGAGAGTGACCTGAGGGAAGCGCCTGCCCCTCTCTGGGAGAGGAATGGGGCTCGCGTATTAGTCAGCCTCTGAGGGACCTCTGGCTTCTAGGAGGTTCCAAGCTGGACGCTATTCATTCCTTTGGGCTGGGCTGGCTCAAGGCCTCCCTTGCTGTAACTGGGGAATGGTCCTCTGAATGCAGCCAGGTGGGTTGGCGGTACCTAAGGACTTCCCTGTTCTCCTCAGGCTGAAGCATAGGCTCCAGCACTTGCCAAAACAGGAAAGGGCAGAGATTGCAGGGCTGGACCAGTACTTAGAGGCAGAAATACTCTCCCCAGACACCCACAGTCTAGTGCTAAAAATAGTAAAAATAAAAACAATACCAGCTGACCCTTATATATGTTTATAATTCAAAGCACTTTACATATATTGACTCATTTAAACCTCAAAATATCGTAACCCAGTGAGGTAGTAGTATTTTATCCTCTTTTTTTTTGAGATGGAGTCTCGCTCTGTCACCTAGGCTGGAGTGCAGTGGCGTGATCTTGGCTCACAGCAAGCTTCGCCTCCTGGGTTCACGCCATTCTCCTGCCTCAGCCTCCCAAGTAGCTGGGACTACAGGCGCCCATCACCAGGCCCGGCTAATTTTTTGTATTTTTAGTAGAGATGGGGTTTCACCATGTTAGCCAGGATGGTCTCGATCTCCTGACCTTGTGATCCACCCGCATCGGCCTCCCAAAGTGCTGGGATTACAGGCGTGAGCCACCGCGCCCAGCCCTTTATCCTCATTTTTCAGATAAAGAAACTGAGGCAAAAATAGGATAGCTCTTTCCCCAAGGTTACATGGCTAGCAAGTAGCAGAGCTAAGATTGCTTCAGAGTCCATGTTCTTGTTCTTGACTGTCATGCCACACTGTGCCCTGCTCCCTGCCTCCCACTCACGTGAAAGTAGCCATTCATGTTGAGGCCGACGATGCCAAAGTGGTAGGATCGGGAAACGTCAGGGATGATGCACTCTCGGCCCCGGCGTTGTTCAGGCATCCGCATCCACATGTCCCAATCCCAGAGCTGGCAGACATGGACCACGATGAAGGTTAAGATGTTTCGAGTTGGTAGGGGACTCCAGCCCCCTCACCCTACCCTGACAGTTACCTTTTCCGGTGTAGGCCACTTGGGCTCAAGCTCCTCCTTGTACAAGGACCTCCTGAGCACCCAGCCCAGCCCAGGCATGGTCTCCACACGGTACAGTAGTGCTGGGTCCTCAGCCGTGTGTTCATACCCCTGGGGACAGGGTGCCATAGTGGGAGGTATTAGCTGAGGCCTCATAAACTCGCCTGCTAAACCCTGGTCATTCCAGCCTACCTGGTCATTCCAGGCAGAGATGCAGTACAGGCTGTCATCCTCCTCCAGTAGGTGGATGGATTGGCTCAGGAAACTGAGAGAGGCAGGGTCAAAGAGTTCAGGGAGGGACAAGGATAAATCTAGTCACACAGAGATGCTAGAATTGCTGGAGCTGGGTCTCAGGAGCACCTCCTTCCTGGAGTACCTCCTTCCCCCAAATCCCCACTGTCTCCATTCATCCACTGTACCTTCAACAGCAGCCCCAACACCTGCCATCCTACCTTTGCCCAGGCTTCGCCCCCACTTGTGAGCTCATGTCCTCCAGAAAGCTCTCTAGGACACCTCACTGACTCTTTCCCTGCAGACTGAGGGACCTCAACTGAAACCTAGAGACTCCCCTCACCTGAAAAAATCCACAGCAATGTCCAGGTCCTCTTCCAGAACCACAGCAAACTTGGCCTCCTAGAAGGGGAATGGGACATCATGGTCCCAAAGGGGTCTCTCCATCCTGTGATCTCCTTTGCCCCCAACCCTCTTCTTGCAGGCAGCATTACCCCCATTTTCCAGATGTGAAGGATGAGGCCCAGTGAGGGGAAGAGCTTGCCACGTAACAGGCCCAGACCTTATGCCCATGTTTCCCCCCTCCCAGGCCCAAGAGTTGTATCCTTAGTACTCACCGGAAACAGGTTGAAAGTGGCAGTGAGGCTGGCCTTGTAGTGCTGGGAGTGGGGTGGGAATAGGGCACATGAGCTTTAGGGTAGAAGGCAGAGCCAGGTGTCTGCCCCATCCCCACTTGCCTATGCAGTACCTGAGACACGCGGGCATTCTTGATGCTGATGGGAGTATGCTGGATGCCCCTCAGACCAAACAGTGCCACCACATCCATGGGTTCCTGGGGGACATGGCCACTGCTCACCATGTGAGGTCACTTTCCCTCTGCCCACCTCTGCAATCCAAGGCCTTCACATTTCACAGCCCTTGCCTGGGCGGTCTCCCTTGCCCGTCCCTGGCAATCACTGCTGCTCCATGTTGTACTCCACCCGAGGCACCCCCCAAGTCCTGCTCACCTCATAGTAGCCGTCAATGAAAACTGTTATCATCTGAGGAGACACCCCCTGGGCTGAAAGCAGAGAGCGCAGCATCCTGGGGAGCCCAGGGATAGGTTAGGGTCACTTCATCACCCCTCAACTCAGGTTCCCCTGTGTTTACAGCTGGGCCCAGAGTCCCTATGCTTACCCACAGAGGTGAATGCGTCTAGAATCTATTGCCTTTCTGCCCACCTCAAGAGTTCCTCCTGGAGGTAGATGACCTAAGCACCCTCCTGTTCAGTGCTGGGTATAGCCCATTCCCAGGCTTACCTGTACAGGTAATTGGGTCGGTTCCCTGCAATGACAGCCACAGGCACATTGAGGACCTTGTTGTCTGGGAGCTGTGGGAGAAATAGCGTTTAGCTCTTGCCTTATTCCCCCTTCAAACTGGGATCCCCACCTAGGGAAGACTTCTCAGGTGAGGGTAGGTGCAGACTGGAGTAGACAGGGAAGGGATAGAGGATCTTCCCTGTTCTGGGCTCTCCACACACTCAGCCCAACTCTAGCGCTGAGCTTTACTCACATGGCCTGCCCCTTCACCCCAGCCCTGTCTTTCAGAGCGCAGTGTAAATCCTGCCCCTGGTTCTCTCCCAGGCTCAGGTAGGGAAAGCCCAACCTAGATCATTCCTGGGGCCCCCCTGCTGAGCTGGGAAGGAGTCCAAACCTCACTGTCTTAAGGCCCCACTCACTGGGTCAGGGCTGAACTCGATGGGTGTGGGGTCCTTGCAGCTGCATACACTTCCATAGCCCTCAACTTTGCTGCAGAAGCGCCGGCGGCGACGGTTCAGCTCTGTGTCTGCCCAGTGGCACTCTGCCTCTGAGGGAAGGATGCGGTTGTCATGGAGGCATGGGGCCAGCAAGGTTTGAAGAGCCCCAGGCACACAATCAAAGGAATAAAGCTCCACAGAGAGATCTAAATGCCCACCCCCAGCCCAGGCCCTGCCCCATCCATGCTCCACTAACTCCACCTTCTGCTGAGCTCAATGGCACATCTGTCTTCAGCAGGACTGGGTCCCCCCAGGAAGAGAGGGCAGGTGATTTAGAATGTTTCTCCCCGAAGACAGGACCTGGCAGGAGGCAGGAATGAGGGCCATGGGGGCCCAGACACCAGTTTGGGGGCTTTTTCCCATCTCCCTGCCTACTTTCATCCAACCCACTGCCACTGGCTCCTATTTGTTCCCCACCCCACCCCATCTCCTAGGGTTCTGCTCCTCCCAGGCTCTTGATACTACAGAGTGGATGGCCTCTGATGCCGGCACCTCCTTTTCGTCCCACGAAGGCCCATGTGTCCCTCCAGCCCAGGGCAGGGCCAGCCTGGCTGCCCAGGCTCCTCAGCAGAGCCTTGGCTGTGTCCTTGAGGTGGAAGGAGCCCTCATCCTGGGGGACCAGAGAAGGCAGTTAGCCTGACTGGCATGGTTCCAGGAGACCTGGCCTCACAGAGCACGAACTATGTAGCAACCTTTTACTTAAAATAGCTCATTACATTATTGCAATAACCCTCTATGGTTACTCTCTTTCACAGATAAAATAATAACTGAAGGCTTAGAGATTCTAAGGTCATCCAGCTAATAAGTCCTTTCCACAAACCCACACGATCTGCACCTCTCTCTCCCGCCACTCTCTGCCTTCTTTTCCAACCACTCTCCTACTCTCCTCCCTTATTCTGCTCCACCTCGACTAGCATCTTTGCTGTTCCTCAAATATGCCGTGTACCTTCCCACTATAGGGGCTTTGCACTTGCCATTCTTTCCACCTGGAATGCTCTTCCTCCAGATACTCACCTGGCTCACTCCTCAATTCCTCAGCTTTCTGCTCACATATCATCTCCTTGCAGGGGCCTTCTCTTTCTAAAATGTCCCCTCCCCTCTATCATTCATTATCCCCTGCTTTATTTTCTTCTTTATACAAGTTATCATTTACTAGCATTATCCACATTTACTTGGCTGTTTCTGTTGACCTCCCACTGCTGGAATATAAGCTCCATGAGGGTGGGGACTCTGTCTTGTTTCCCATTGTATCTTCAGCACCCAGAGAAGTACCTGGCATACAGCTGTTGCTCAATAACTATTTGCTGAATTAATACAAATGTTAAGGCTGAGATTGGAACCTGAGTAACCTTCCTTCAGAGAATCTTCCCACTATGTTATATGAGGGGCAGAGAAGCCGGGGCTAGAAGCAGGGTTGGAGCTAGGGAGTAGGGGTCAGGGTCAGGACAGAATAACTGACCTTGACAGTGCAGATGAGCACTCGGCCGGGCGCTACCATGTTGAGGAATAGCACCATGGCCTCATCCTCATGAGGTGAGTACGTGTCAAACACACGTTTTGCCATCACGTGGCCCTGGCAGGGGATATACTTCTGGTGAGTTGGTGTCATCAGCAAGAGCCCAGCTCCAGCCCTCTGGGTCACCCACCCCTAGAAACTCACCGTGGCCTGGTTGAGGACAATGACATGGATGCCCCGGCCCTGCTCCCGGGCCTCATCCTCCAGCACCTACACAGTGGCAGAGACAAAGTCCAGCTTTTCACTCTGGCATTCAAGGTGTCTCTGTCTTAGGGGTACTTAAAACACCAGCTGCTTGAAACATCACCTCCTGCCTATGTTTCTGTTCACACAGTTCTTTTCCAACTCAGCTCGAAGGCCACCTCTTCCAGAAAGCCTCTATAGCACTCCCATCAGAAGAGATCACGTCTTTCTACAACCCTCCCCTCCATGACTTTCATGGCTCTTAGAGCCTCTGCTGTCTCTGCTTCATCCTGGAAGTATCACAATCCTCCACCACACTGAACCCCTCAAGGTAGGGCCAGGTCTGATTACTTTCAGGTCCCCAGTGCCCAGCACAAGGCTGAGGCCAAAGAAAGGACCAGGGGATGGTTATAAAATAAATCAATGAATTGACTGCCTACTATTATGAATGATTACTTTTGAGATCCCACTACATACAAGACACTTCACAAACTTTTCATTGAATCCTGACAAGTAGAAATCATTAGTCCCAGTCTATAGATAAGGAATCGAGGACTCCAAAGTCACACAGCTAGAAACTGGCAGAGTTGCAGTTCCCACTTAGGCAGTAGACCCTGCTGCCAGTGGACCATGCCCTGAGCAGAATAGAGTGACTGTACACCAGACCCTGGCCCACTGACCGTGGTGCCATCCACTGCCACATATACTTTGCTGCGACTTGAATACACCTCTACGTCCAGGACCCGCCGGGGACCACTGCCTCTGCGCCGTGGGGGCTCCAGGCGGCCTAGGGCCTCATCTGTGGGGTACAACAGGTCATGGAGATAGTCTCCTCAGCAGAGTCTCACCGCTTAGGGTCTGCCTGCCACTCCAGCTGTGAGATCCAAGGCCCCCTACCCCATCCTTAGCCTAGCCCTACCATAGTCTTGCTCTGGCTCTGGGTCTTCATTGGCTTCACTGATGGCTCGCCGAGTGTCCAGGATCAACTTGATATTGACAATGACAGTCACCAGCAGGAAAAGCACGGCCCCTGTCTGAGGGGAGGGGTAGGGATGATTAAGAGGAGCACCTCCTTCAGATCCTAGAGGGTCTTTCTGAAAGGAGGGCCCTGGCTGCAGTGAAGACATCCAGAGAAACTGGGTCCTGTCCCTTCCTCTGTCTGCCTAGCTCTACTCCCCTGACCAGGGCCTAGTTTCACAGCCACTTTCCCCAGGGAACCTCCCCTGACACTTCCCCCTCCATTAGGGCCCTCCCTACCCAGTGCTCCTGTATTCTTCTATTTGAGACCTTGATTTCCTTGGTCCCCTCCATTGTTGGTTTCTAGAGATGGAGCCAGGCCCAGGGACCCAAGCGGGGGATCAGACCTGGGTCCTGGCCCTAACTGCCTCACAGGGGTGTGCCTCTCTGCAAAGCCAGCCTGATCAGACTTCAGGCTTCCGTCAGAAGCTTAGAAGTTGTACTTGGGTTCCGATTCCAGAACTTTGGGTTCAAATCATTACCTATAGGGACATGACACATAGAGGTCTCCCCTCTAGGAACCTGCTGCCCCTTTCCCACTGGGGCTGGCCAACAGGGGTCCCAGTGCCTGATTTAGGTGGGGAGGAAGCTGGGAGGGAGCGCTCGGTGGGGAGGGTTTGGGACATCTCTATACCTGACAGAATCTCCGCAGGGCCCGCTGGTTTGTCAGTTTATACTTCCAGGTAAGGTACCAGCTCCGCTTCTTCCGAGCCCCAAAGGGCTTGATGAGGGGGCTGGGCTTCCAGTCGTCCATACCGGATTGGCGGGTCACCAATGTCCTGGCCAGCCCATGACTTCAGGAATCTGAAGGGACCAGAGGGCCACATGGGGTAAGATGCTCCTCCCAAAGTCTGATGCCTTCTGGGGAGATGAGGGAGGACCTCCCAGCAACTCTTCCCTGCAAGCACCCATACTGTGTGACATGGGGAAAGTGGCTCAACTTCTCTGGGCTGGCAGGAAACCCTTCAGTGGGGTTGGATCACCTGGAAATTCCCTGAGACTGGAGTAACTCTCTGAATCAAGGCTGTCCAAGGGTGGAGGCCAAATAATCGGCTCAAAGTTCGTTAGCCCCTACAAGGACCAAGTTCCAGGCCTTCCCAAGCCTGTGGTGAGCAAAGAGCGACCTCTCCTGCCCCAGTCTTCAACCCTCGTCCCATCCTATCTGCCCCAGCTTCTCTCCTCCTCCCAGGGCCCGGAGCCGCCCGAGGGCTCAGGAGACCTGCACCGGCAGCGCTACCCGTTCCGGACACCCACGCGGAGGCACTCACGGCTTAGGGGCCCCGGGCCCCGCTCGGGCCCCGCTAGGGCCCTCACTGCTCGGCCCGGCTCGCCGCGGCCTCCGCCTCCTCCATGCCGCTTGCGGCCCCGCCCCGGCCTGGCCCGCCCCCCCGCTTCCGCCGCCGCCGCCGCCGCCGCTGCCGCGGGGTGAGAGGGCGACGGGCGGTGCTTAGGGCGGCGGCGGCGGCGGCGGCGGTGGCGGCAGCGGCGTCGGGGTGTAAGCAGCCAGCGAGTAAGGCGAATGCTCAGACCGTGCTAGGCAGCTTCGCAGCCCGGCTGGCTGGTGGGGCTGCCTGCACGAGAGCAGCCCGCTCCCCAGCACCGCCGATGGCAAGCCCGACTCCAGTCAGAGGCCTAGCACCTTGGACCAGATCACAGGGCACGCCAGGGTCAGAGGGGCTGCAACCCTTGGACACAGGGCACACACCACCCGCCCCATACCCGTCCTGGGCAAGGCCGTTACCTAGTCCTGGGGCATGCACAGCTATTGGAGGCCAAGGGAGATTAAAATCCAGGTTCTGTCACTGTTCTAAGCACCTTACTGATGATGTTTAATTCCACAACAACCCCATGAGGTAGGCGCTATTATCATTATTATTGTTTTTTTTTTAATTGAGACGGAGTCTCGCTCTGTCGCCCAGGCTGGAGTGCAGTGGCACCATCTCGGCTCGCTGCAACCTCCGCCTTCTGGGTTCAAGCGATTCTCCTGCCTCAGCCTCCTGAGTAGCTGGGACTACGGTCGTGCGCCACCACACCCAGCTAATTTTTATATTTTTAGTAGAGACGGGGTTTCACCATGTTGGCCAGGCTGGTCTTGAACTTCTGACCTCAAGTGATCCGCCCGCCTTGGCCTCCCAAAGTGCTGGGATTATGGGCAGTGAGCCACCGTGCTGGCTATAGGCGCTATTACTATCCCTGTCGCAGATAAAGAAATAAGACCTAATATCACAAAGCTAGGAGAGGTGGAATTGAAACTCAGCCTAGCTCCAGATTCTGCTCTTAACCACTGCACTCTGCTGGCAACAATACATAAGAATTGCCAGGTTTAAATAACATCATACATAGAAAGCAGTTAGCTTAACACAATGGTTCTCAAACTTTAGCTTGCGTCAGAATCACCTGGATGACTTCTTAAAACAGAGGTGCTGGGCCCCATCCCTAGAGTTTTAGATTCAGTGGTCTGGGGCAGGGTGGGATTTTGCATTCCTGAGAAGTTTCTAGGTGATGTTGATGCTTGTTTGAAGTGGATAGCCATAGAACAGTTTTAGGCAGGGGAGCAATATAATCCAATTTCTGTTTTAAGAGAACCTTTACTTTTTTTGTGGAGAATGGGTTGGAAGCAGACAGAGGAAGCCAGAAGACCAGTTAGATTTTTTTGAGCTTTCTGTATTCCATCTGCTTCCTGAATGGTGGGGTAATATCCCCCAAAATGAAATGTTAACAGTACTTGTCTTAGGAGTTAAAGAAATACATGATTTTTCCTAGTAAGTATGTATAAGAATGGAAGAAAACCCAACACATTTTATTACATTTGAAAAGATGTCCCGGCTGGGCACCATGACTCACGTAATCCCAGCAGGTTGGGAGGCCGAGGTGGGGTGGTCAGTTGAGGTCAGGAGTTTGAGACCAGCCTGCCCAACGCGGTGAAACCCCGTCTCTACTAAAAATACAAAAGTTAGCTGGGCGTGGTGACAGGCGCCTATAATCGTAGCTACTCAGGAGGCTGAAGCAGGAGAATCGCTTGAACCTGGGAGACAGAAGTTGCAGTTGAGATTGCACCACTGCACTCCAGCCTGAGTGACAGAGCAAGACTCCGTCTCAAAAAATAAAAAAATAAAAATAAATAATTAAAAGATGTCCCTCAGGGTTCCTTCCTGACCCTCTTTTCTCCTCAAACTGACTCTTCATGGATGATCTCATTCTCTCATGACCTCTGTTACCAATCTAGATGCCCAAACTGACATTGGCAGTTCTAACCTCTTTCCTGAGCTCCAGGCTGCCTGATGTCCAGCAGGACATCTTCACAGGCCCCTCTAACGCAACAGCACAACTTCTGGAATCATTTCCTTTCACTCCTAGATTTCCTGTGGGTTCCCCTCCTCAGTGAACTGCACCAGGCCAAACAGCTGGGAGTCACCCTTGACTCCTTGTCTGTCTCCAGTGACCAGTCCAGGTATGTCTTGCTCACCATTGTATTCTCTACACCACACACAAAGGCTGGCACATAGTAAGCTCTCCGTAACATTTGTTGAAATCATTCATTTGTATTTTTTAACAAATTTTTATTGAATGCCACTATAAATGAATGTAACCAGTCACCTAGTCCTGTCAGTCTTACCTCCTAAAGAGCCTTCCATTCTAGTCTAATTCTTCTTTGACCTCACAATCAGCCCCAGTGCAGGCCATTTCAGTTTCTTGCTTTCCAGCCAGTCTCCTTGACTCTAGATTTTTACTCCTCCTATCCTTTTCTCCTTGCAAAATCCAGAGTGATTTTCTTTAAGGCAAATGTTGCCGGGTTCGGTGGCTCATGCCTGTAATCCCGGCACTTTGGGAGGCCAAGGCGGGTGGATCACCTGAGGCGGATGGATCCGCCTGGCCAACATGGTGAAACCCCGTCTCTACTAAAAATACAAGAATTAGCTGGGTGTTGTGGCAGGTGCCTGTAATTCCAGTTACTCAGGAGGCTGAGGCAGGAGAATGGCTTGAACCTGGGAGGCAGAAGTTGCAATGAGCCAAGATGGTGCCACTGCACTCCAGCCTGGGCAACAGAGCCGGACTCTGTCTCAAAAAAAAAAGACAAATGTTTTGTCTATCTCTAACTTAAAACCCTTCCATGGATCAAAAAGTACCAAGGAAAATGATGTTACTTAAAATTATAAAGGTAGGCCAGGCATGGTGGCTCATGCCTGTAATCCCAGCACTTTGGGAGGCTAAGGTGGGAGGATTGCTTGAGGCCAGGAGTTCGAGACCAGCCTGGGCAACATAGCGAGACTCTATCTAAATTTTAAAAAAAGTTAATTACAAAGGTAACCTTAGATGAACTAAAAAGAGTGATAGAAATATGTAGTGCCAGGCCGGGCGCAGTGGCTCACACCTGTAATCCCAGCACTTTGGGAGGCTGAGGCAGGCAGATCACGAGGTCAAGAGTTCGAGACCAGCCTGACCAACATGGTGAAACCCCCGTCTCTACTAAAAATACAAAAATTAGTCGGGCATGGTGGCACGTGCCTGTAATCCCAGCTACTCAGGAGGCTGAGGCAGGAGAATCGCTTGAACCCAGGAGGGCAGGTTGCAGTGAGTCAAGATCGTGCCACTGCACTCCAGCCTGGGCGACAGAGTGAGACTCCATCTCAAAAAAAAAAAAAAAAAGAAAAAAGAAAGAAAAGAAAAGAAATATATATTGCCAATGGGGGAAAGGAACTACAGAGTGTGAGTTAAACCCATATATCCATATTTATCTGAATAGGACAATAAACAGCAGATGAATGTTTAAAATTGAGAAGTAGTGTGGCTGGGCATGGTGGCATACTCCTGTAGTCACAGCTGCTTGGGAGGCAGGAGGATTGCTTGAGCCCAGGAGTTTGAGTCCAGCCTGGGCAATGTAGGAAGACCCTGTCTCTAAAAAAGAAAAAATAGTGGTAGGATTTACAATAAGAGGATAGTTACTCCTACCCTACCCTTTCACACCTCTAGGCCCACTCCCAATTGGCAACCACTTTTAGTTAACTCTAAACAATAACGTTATGGGTATGAACACCAAAAGAAAAAAAAAAACTAAAAGTTATTTTTTGCCAATTGGGAGTGGGCCTAGAGGTGTGAAAGGGTAGGGTAGGGGTAACTATCTTCTCATTGTAAATCCTTCTGCAACCATGGGCTGGAATTACTTGAATTAAAAGCCTAAACAAACCAGAGTTTTCATGGCTGTTCATTACCTGTTAAATAAAACCCAAACATCTCAGAACCATTTTCTGTAACCTTGTTACTCAAAGTGTGGTCCCTTATTACTTGAAGTGTGGACCAGCAGCATGGCCATCACCTGGGAGCTTATTAGAAATGCAGGATCTTGGCTGGGCGCAGTGGCTCACACCTGTAATCCCAGCACTTTGGGAGGCCAAGGCAGGCGGATCACTTGAAGTCAGGAGTTCAAGACCAGCCTGGCCAACATGGTGAAACCCTGTCTCTACTAAAAATACAAAAATATTAGCTGGGCATGGTGGCGCATGCCTGTAATCCCAGCTACTCAGGAGGCAGAGGCAGGAGAATTGCTTGAACCCAGGGAGGCAGAGGTTTGTAGTGAGCCAAGATCGCGCCACCACGCTACATCCTGGGCGACAGAGCGAGACTCTGTCTCAAAAAAAAAAAAAAAAAAAAAAAAAAAATGCAGGATCTCAAGCCCCACCCCAGATTTACAAAATCAGAACCTACATTTTAACAAGATCCGCAGATAATTCATACGCACAGTCAAGCTTAAGGAGCATCTTGCTTGTAAGCCCAACGTGGACCTCTTCAGCTTCAGTACTGGTTGCCCTTTTCTACTCCGTTAGCCTGAATTCTAGCCCCTGGGGGGGGGGGGTGGTGTGTGTGTGTGTGTGTGTGTGTGTGTGTGTGTGTGTCTAGCTAAAATCCAGTCATCGTTTTATACCCAATTCCTCTGCTCCAGGAAGACTTCCAAGCCCTCTGCAGCTCTCTGTTACCGCTGTTCCTTAAACTCCCACATCTCTGACTGAAGCTGCTTAGACTTCATTCTGCAAACATGTATTGGGCGCCTGCTGTGTGCCTGGCTGGATTCAGTGCCAGGGTGGGGCGAAGGCGCTGAGGTCTCCGAGTGCTCTTTCAGGTCCAACTCCAGAATCGCCCAGCCCCACGCAATCCAGGGCCAGAGGTTGTGTGCGCAGCACTCGAATACATCCACAGACGGTGCTGCGCGGCTTTTCTGAGTGTTACGGCGCCCTCCTCCCGCCCCCGCGCCGCGCGGGCGGGGACCCACCGGTTTTGCTCCGCTTTAGCAGCGGCGAAGGGAGGACCCCCGGGAGCCGGTCCCCGGCGTCCGGTCGCCCAGCCCTTTTCAGGCTTGGGCCCGCATGGAGGGGACCGTGGAGTCCCAGACGCCTGACCTGCGGGATGTGGAGGGTAAGGTGGGCAGGAAGACCCCTGAAGGGCTGCTCCGCGGGCTGCGAGGCGAGTGTGAGCTGGGAACCTCTGGCGCCCTGCTGCTCCCAGGGGCGTCTAGCACCGGCCACGACTTGGGGGACAAGATCATGGCGCTGAAGATGGAGCTGGTGAGTGCTGAATCCATGGGCCAAGGGGACGAGTCCCTAGTGTAGGGCCGGGAGGGACGAACTCATGCTCCCAGAGTTAAGCTGGAGAGGAGGTAGTTAAAACTCTCCACCTAACTGCTCAGAATCCCTCCCAGATCAATCCGTAAACGCTGGGGTGGAGATGGAGTGACGTCCATTACTTGTCCCCCAAGAGTGAGTGGGGTGTTGATGGTCCTGAGGACTTGGGTTGGGAGCAGTGGGTTTTGGAAGTTATTCCTGCCAAATAATTGGGAGGAGAGAGATGAGGACTGGGAAGTACTGAGAACCCAACGCAGCACAAATTCCCCCCGCCTGTATGGGCCACCTATTCCCCGCCAGTCCCCGTTGTAAGGCAACCGGTTTTTTCTCCTTCTGCTAACCGGGAAAGGGTTTAAGTTCCTGTGAGGCCGCAGTGTTCCGCACAGAAAAGAAGTGGGTAAAGGGGCCTATCTGCTGAAAACTACCTGGACCAGGGGCACTGAAAACCTTCTCCGTTTCCTCTACATCCCCCAGCCCTACTTAAAATAATGGAAAGTTCCTAGACCCATAGCAGGGACAGAGAGTAGCAGCACCACTGGTGCTGATTCCCTCGCCTCAGACTCAGTCTCCTCCCAGCCAGTCTTCCAGGTAAACTGGATATTTGGATCTCATCTGTACATTCTTGGGGAGAAGAGGAAACAGCAACCCTCCCCTTTCTCTATTGCTGCTGGTCTAGATTCAGAGCCAAAAGGGCAGCCGAGGCCCTGGCAGGTTCCCCAGGGCCCTGATTCCGGTGAAGTGGGTGATTTACACCTGCCACTACTTTGCAGCCAGTTCTGGGGAACTGAGGAATTGCCATCGGCTTCCTGGCTCACAACCAGGAGCCCACAGTGAGTACGTCAGCTAAAGTCTTCCTGTGTGCCCAGCCTGTGCCAAGCTGGTCTGTGAAGGAGAAGGGGAAGGAAATCATGGGGGCTCTGAGACCAGCCAGGGCTCCGACGCCTGAGCTGAGAGGCTGGGAAGAGAGTCTGGTGGGTGGAGCAGTCAGGAAAGGCCCCCTGGGAGAAGGACTTGAATGCCAAGTGTGCACTTGGCCTTGAAGGTTGGAGGTGAGTGCCCAATTCTCCAGAGCAAGGCTGTGACTGTACCCACCTAAGCGGGGGCTTGCCTTTGCCTCACTGTACAAACTTTAGCTCAAGGCCTAGTAAGAGCCTATCTAGACTGTCTACTTGCTTTGAAAACTTTCACCCAGTGCATGTGCCAGGCAGCTTGCTGAGCACTTTACATGATGCTCTCTTCATCTCCACAGTAACCCTGTTAAGTGATATTTTATAGATGGAGAAACTGAGGCACAGGGTGGGCATGGTGGCTCACGCCTGTAATCCCAGCACTTTGGGAGGCCGAGGCAGGCAGATCGCTTGAGCCCAGGAGTTTGAGACCAGCCTGGGCAACAAAGCAAGACCCTGTCTCTACAAAAAATACAAAAATTAGATGGGTGTTGTGGTGTGTGCCTGTAGTCCTAGCTACTCTGGAGGCAGAGGCAGGAGGATCACTTGAGCCCAGGAAGAGGAGGTTGCAGTGAGCTGAAATCGCACCACTGCACTCCAGCCTGGGTGACAGAGCTCAGAGCTAGACCCTGTCTCAAAAAAAGAAGGGGAAGAAGGGGAGGAAGGGAGGAAGGGAGGGAGGGAGGAGAAAAGAAAAGAAAACAGAGGCACAGGGAGTTTAATAACTGCCCAACATCACGCAAAAAGCAGGGCCATGATTTGAACCCAGATCATCTGACTGCACTTTGCATCTTTACTTTGAGACCTGCTTTGTGCCAGATAGTCTGAACATTTTATGTCATTGAAATGAGAAAACTGGTCATCATTTCTCCCATCTTACAGATAAAACGTGCTTGCAGATTCTGAACTCACATAGGGAGTCAGTGGAAGAGCCACGCCCAGTCTCTGGCTCTCTTCTCTGCCTTGGTGGAAACTATCTGTAAACTTTAAGGGGCTGCATTTAACTTTTGATTTTGTCTCTCTGTATTCTTGACCCAGCTTGCCTGGGGCCTGAGGCTGCCCGAGAAAGGGCACAAGGGAGGGAGCCTTCTGGGGCCAGAATGAGGAGAGATCCCCATCCTATTTTTTCTCCTTCCTCAGGCCAGGATGTTATTAATATTAATCTCTTCTTGTGCTCTGCCCTGCCTACTGGGTTGCACCCAGGAAGGACAAGGGGTGGGGCAAGGGATTTGCCTTCGGGCTACTGAAGGCAGGACTGGTTCAAGCCCTCTAAGGACTGTCCTTCAATTGTTCCTCTCCCAGCTCTCCTTGCACAAAGGGGGAAGGCCTACCCTTGAGGCCAAGGTCAGTCCTGCCTCTAGGCCTCGTCCCTCCTGCTTTCTTCCTCTACCCTCCATTCAAAGGTTGAGTGAACAAGCCAGACTGGGATATGTGGGAATGGGAAACAGTGGCAACTTCTTCTTAGTTCTCCCACCCAAAGAACTGTTGCTATGACAACCCACCTCCACAGAGGCAGTTTGAGAAAAAGCTTTAGGCAAGGAAGAATGCACGGGTTCAAGTCTTGGCTCTGCTTCTGAAACGTTTTGTGGTCTTGAGCAGCACTCTGTCTCTCTCCTGGCCTCAGTTTTTCCTCCTTTTGGTGGAGGGGGTAGAGGGAGATGGGGACTGTGAAACCAGATGATTGTTAAGAACCTTTATAGTAACAATATTCTGATAGTCCCCGCTCTGGGAGCTCGGACTGGGATTTCCAGGCTTTTACCCTAGGGCCTGATTTATATTGAGCAATGAGGAAACCATACAGGACCCCAGCGCTGGGCAGAGAGTCTGGTATGTAGATGTTAAGGAGAGGAGTAGGGAGCCTGAATCTCCTTGGAAGGAGAATTGGGTTTGGAGTCGCCTCTGAGGCTGCATCTCTCCTGAGCTGTTTATCCTATACTCTATTTTCTTCAAGAGATGGTGTGAAAAGAGTGTTTCTTTTTCTGGCAAGAAAACCTTGCTTTCTTCTATTCTGGGAGTGATGCTGTCACAGTCAGGGAATCCCACTGCCACAGGATTATAGAATCTGCTCTCAGATTTATTTCCCAGCAACACACTACAACCCAGACCCCTGAATCCTGGGAACCATCAAAGGGGTCAAGGATAGTAAAGGCAAGAGAATCACAGAACTGAATGTGACCTCCTTAGCACTGGGCCAAGCACCAGAAATGGATTGGGCAGGATCTGCTCTCAGGGAGCTCACAGTCTGGTTAGGGAAGGAGGAGACAGAAGAACATTTCTAGTACAGGATGATAAGTGCTGGTAGAACCCAGGAAGGGCCTCCTGGAAGAGTCTTCACTGTAGAGTGATGTGGTTGGGTTTGTGCTCTAGAAAGTCGATTTCAAATTGGAAGGAGGCACAGGCTGTTTCCTCTGCTTGAAATGCTTCTCTCCACCTCTTTGTCTGGCTGAGTCCTTCTATTTTTTTTTTTTTGACACAGGGTTTCACTCCCATCACCCAGGCTGGAGTGCAATGGTACAATGTCGGTTCACTGCAACCTCTGCCTTCCAAGCTCAAGCGGTTCTCCTGCCTCAGCTTCCTGAGTAGCTGGGACTATGGGCATGTGCCACCACACCTAGCTAGCTTTTGTATTTTTAGTAGAGACGGGATTTTGCCATGTTGGCCAGGCTGGTTTCGAAGTCCTGACCTCAAGTGATCTTCTGCCTCAGCCTCCCAAAGTGCTGGGATTACAGGTGTGAGCCACTGCGCCCATCCTAGCTGAGTCCTTCTTAACCTTAAATTTTCAGCTCATGTCCCTTATCCTAGGAAGCATTTCCTGACCTGGTTAGGTTATGGCCCTCTAGGTATCTACAGTCCTCTGTATAGCAGTTGTTTCCACTAGCGTTTGCCACACTGAACTTTTCTTTCTTTCTTTCTTTCTTTTTTTTTTTTGAGATGGAGTCTCGCTCTGTCGCCCAGGCTGGAGTGCAGTGGTGCGATCTCGGCTCACTGCAAGCTCCGCCTCCTGGGTTCAGCCCATTCTCCTGCCTCAGCCTCCCGAGTAGCTGGGACTACAGGCACCTGCAAACACACCCAGCTAATTTTTTGTATTTTTAGTAGAGACGGGGTTTCACCATGTTAGCCAGGATGGTCTCGATCTCCTGACCTCGTGATCTGCCTGCCTCGGCCTCCCAAAGTGCTGGGATTACAGGCATGAGCCACTGCACCTGGCCTGAACTTTTCATTTTTAAATTATTTATTTATTATCATTATTTTTTTTGACACGGAGTTTCGTTCTTGGCGTCCAGGCTGGAGTGCAATGGCGTGATCTCGGCTCACTGCAACCTCTGCCTCCCGGGTTCAAGCGATTCTCCTGCCTCAGCTTCCTGAGTAGCTGGGATTACAGGCACCCGCCTAGTTAATTTTTGTATTTTTAGTAGAGATGGGGTTTCACCACGTTGGCCAGGCTGGTCTTGAACTCCTGGCCTCAAGTGATCTGCCTGCTTTGGCCTCCCAAAGTGCTGGGATTACAGGTGTGAGCCACCCCACCAGCCTTATTTATTTTTTTAATAGAGACAGGGTCTTGCTATGTTGCCCAGGCCAGTCTCAAACTCCTGGCCTCAAGCAGTCCGTTTGTGTCAGCCTCCCGAAGTTCTGGGATTGCAGGCTGAGCCACAATGCCAAGCCAACCACACTGAATTTTAAGTGCTTGCTTCATTGTCTTATCTTACCCACTAGATTATGAACCTTCTGAAGGTAAGAAATGATGCCTTTTCTTTCTTCATCGAACATAGTGCCACACCAATAAGAAACAATAAATATTGGTTCCATAACTGAATGGATTAATTCCATCTCGAGGAAGGGCAAGGAAGACTTCCTCGAGGAGGTGACATTTGAGCTGGGGCTTGAAGAATGAATAAAGTCAGTGGGAATTCCAGTTCAAGATACCAGATTGAGGGCCGGCACGGTGGCTCATGCCTGTAATCCCAGCATTTTGGGAGGCCGAGGCGGGCGGATCACCTGAGGTCAGGAGTTCGAGACCAGCCTGACCAACATGGTGAAACCCCATCTCTACTAAAAATACAAAAATTAGCTGGACGTGGTGGTGCACCTGTAATCCCAGCTACTAGGGAAGCTGAGGCAGGAAAATCGCTTGAACCCTGGAGGCGGAGGTTGCAATGAGCCAAGATCGTGCCACTGCACTCCAGCCTGGACGACTGTGCAAAACTCTGTCTCAAAAAGAGAAAAATAAATAAATAAAATAAATAAAAGGCATGAAGCCGTTATGACAATGAGAATAAGAGACAAGGTAATAGGAACAAAATTTTGGAAACTGAAATTCAGAAGGAAGAGTGGTAACTAACTCAGACCTAAAAAATGCTCAGTCCCGAGCCAGCAGTGGGGAAAGCTGAAAAGCAACACTTTTTTATTTTGTGGGGGATAGAGTTTTGCTCTTGTTGCCCAGGCTGGAGTGCAATGGCGCAATCTTGGCTCACCGCAACCTCCGCCTCCTGGATTCAAGCAATTCTCCTGCCTCAGCTTCCCAAGTAGCTGGGATTACAGGCATGTGACACCATGCCCAGCTAATTTTGTATTTTTCGTAGAGATGGGGTTGCTCCATGTTGGTCAGGCTGGTCTCGAACTCCCGAACTCAGGTGATCCATCCGCCTTGGCCTCCCAAAGTGCTGGGATTACAGAGCCACCGCCCCCTGCCAAAGCAACACATTTTATACTGCAAAAACCCTTAAAGGTCTTAGGGGTTGGAAGCACCAGGTATTTCTGGAACTGGGGGCACAAGTGGGGCTGAAAACAAAAGGGCTGGTTGAATGTTTAAAAGTCATATTCTAAGATCCCCTCCCTAACTGTGCAACCAGGTGCCACCTAATTCTTTATCTAGCAGAAGACTGGAGATGTAAGTTCTGTTGTTGTTTTCTTTTTTTTTTTCTTTTTTTTTTTTTGAGATGGAGTCTCGCTCTGTTGCCCAGGCTAGAGTGCAGTGGCCCAATCTCAGCTCACTGCAGCCTCAGCCTCCCGAGTAGCTGGGATTACATGCACCCGCCACCACACAGCTAATTTTTGTATTTTTAGTAGAGACGGGGTTTTGCCATGTTGGCCAGGCTGGTCTTGAACTCCTGACCTCGGGTAATCCACTTGCCTCAGCCTCCCAAAGTGCTGGGATTACAAGCATGAGCCACCATGCACGGCTGTAGATGTAAATTTTGGAAAGAGGAAGGAAGGGAGGGATGGAGGGAGGCAGAAAGGAAGGAAAGGAGGGAGGGGAAAACAGCAGGACAAGTGTTTTTAGTATGAGGAGCTTTGTTTAATGTATTTAGTTTGGTCATGGACTAGGACAGTTGTCTTCACTGTTCATATATTTGTCTCCAGGATGAAATAATTGAAGATAATCTCCTTTATCAAGTTAATAGTCTGTACAGTCTGATATTGCAGTTATTTATGTTCATCTCCCCTTATTGAGACTGCAAGCTTCTATTAAGCAGGAACAATTTCTCCATTATCTTTGTAATTATTAGCAAATCCATGTACCCAATAGTCATTTGTTCAATTGAATTAGAGTTGTGATATTCTTCCAAAAACACAAATAATTTCAGGTATAAAATTTTTTTCTATGCTTTTGCCATAGTGTTTAGAAAACCCTAAACTGTGTGTGTGTGTTTTTTTAATTTTTTCACTTAATGCAACACAACAATAATCATTAATACAGAAGACCCCAAAATATATGAGGATTTCTTCCCACCAGCAAGCAAGCAATCAGTTCTGCAGCAGATACCAGCTGGGTGTCTACTAATTTAATTTCAACTCTGTCTACCTGGAGACAGTGTCACATCCCACAGGTTGAGGGCTCAGTCCCCAAGACTGTCCCCCTCTTCAGACACTAGTCGTAAATCTGGGCCTCCTGACCTTCTGACCAACCAGCTTCAAATTGGGGTTCCTATGACCCCCTCCTTGGGTTTGATTGGTTTGCTGGTGTGGCTCACAGAACTCAGGGAAACACATTTACTGGTTTATTATAAGGATATTACAAAGGATATAGATGAAGAGATGCATGGGGCAAGGCATACGGGAAGGGGTGCGGAACTTCTGTGCTCTCCCTGGGTGCACCACCCTCCATCTGTTCAGCTACTTGGACGCTCTCTGAATCCTGTTGTGGGGACCTTTTTTTATTTTTTGAGACAAGGTCTGGTTCTGTTGCCCAGGTTGGAGTACAGTGGCTCAATCACAGCTCACTGCAGCCTGTACTTCTCTGGCTCAATCAATCCTCCCAGTTCAGCCTCCTAAGTAGCTGGCACTACAGGTGTGCAATACCACACTCACCTAATTTTTTTTTTTTTTTTTTGGTAGAGACAGGGTTTCCCTGTGTTGCCCAGGCTGGTCTTGAACTCCTGGGATCAAGCGATCCTCCCACCTCAGTCCCCTAGAGTGTTGGGATTACAGGCTTAAGCCACTGTGCCTGGTCCTTTGGGCCTTTTAAAGAGACTTTATTGGTTGTCCACGATTGAAACATGGACAACCATATCAAAATGTTATTGGACAAAAAGGGTCTGATCAAAACCCAGCAAAGCCTGTCTGTTTAGATTCTTATTGGCCTCTCTCTGCGGCATTCCTTCCTCCAGGGTATGAGTCAGGACCTTCTCTGGAATGAGGGTCTTATGACCCACAATCAGATTAGAGTTCTACTCTGGGAAGGTGAGAGGAGAGCAGGAGAAGGTCAGAAAGAGACTGTTTCCTGAAGCCTATTTCTGAGTGCCCCAGCATTATAACAAACACTGTAACAATGGCTATGGGGCTTATGAGCCAAAAACTGGATGAAAACCTGCACACACACACACACACACACACACACACACACACACACACAGTAATATCACAACTAGTAAATAAGTCGACCATAGTAATATGTAGAGCCAAATAGCCTACCATTTATTGATTTACAGTATTATACTTGTCAGATGGTATGCTATGCATGTTAATATGTTCCTTCGATGTCTCATGACAAACCTTTAGATAGTACCTCATATTATAATAAAGAAATGAAGGTTTAAAGAAATCAATTTTAATTTCATATGGCTCATTAATGGCAAAACTGGAACTCAAATCTAGGTCCATTTAATTCCAGTGTCTAATTTTCTCAATGTACAAATATATATATATATTTTTTTGAGACGGAGTCTTGCTCTGTTGCCCAAGCTGGAGTGCAGTGGTGTGATCTCGGCTCACTACAACCTCTGCCTCGGTTCAAGTGATTCTCCTGCCTCAGCCTCCTGAGTAGCTGGGCTTACAGGCGTGCGCCACAACGCCTGGCCAATTTTTGTATTTTTATTAGAGACGGGGTTTCACCATGTTGGCCAGGCTGGTCTCAAATTCCTGATCTCAGGTGATCTTCCCACCTCGACCTCCCAAAGTGCCGGGATTACAGGAGTGAGCTACCACACCTGGCCTCAATGTACAAATATTAATGCATGGTCTTACTCTGGTTTATCATAGATGTGAATAAAGCAGTTATTTCCTGAATAATTCAATAAACATTTTTCAAATACAAAAAACATTTACTGTGTTTGTGTGACCTGCGGGATCTGACCTGTATATGTAAATACACATACACACATAATGACGTTTTGGTCAATGTCAGACCATGTATAACATAAACAACCATGTAAATTTTTTTTTTTTTTTTTGAGACGGAGTCTTGCTATGTCATCCAGGCTGGAGTGCAGTGGCGCGATCTCAGCTCACTGCAAGCTCCGCCTCCCGGGTTCATGCCATTCTCCTGCCTCAGCCTCCCCAGCAGCTGGGACTACAGGCGTACACTGCCACGCCCAGCGAATTTTTTTGTATTTTTAACAGAGACGGGGTTTCACCGTGTTAGCCAGGATGGTCTTGATCTCCTGACCTCGTGATCCGCCCGCCTTGGCCTCCCAAAGTGCTGGGATTACAGGCGTGAGCCACTGCACCCGGCCAAATTTTTTTTTTTGAATCAGAGTCTCGCTCTGTCACCCAAGCTATAGTACAGTGGCACCATCTCAGCTCACTGTAACCTCTGCCTCCCGGGTTCAAGTGATTCTCCTGCCTGAGCCTCCCGAGTAGCTGGGATTACAGGCAAGAGCCACCATGCTTGGCTAATTTTTTATTTTATTTTATTTTATTTTATTTTTTTGAGACAGAGTCTCGCTCTGTCGCCCAGGCTGGAGTGCAGTGGCATGATCCCAGCTCACTGCAAGCTCCACCTCCCGAGTTCACACCATTCTCTTGCCTCAGCCTCCTGAGTAGCTGGGACTACAGGTGTCCACCACCACACCTGGCAAAAATTTTTTTTGTAATTTTTAGTAGAGACGGGGTTTCACCGTGTTAGCCAGGATGGTCTCGATCTCCTGACCTCTAGTGATCTGTCCTCCTCAGCTTCCCAAAGTGCTGGGATTACCATATAAACATTTTGATCAATGATAGACTACATATGTCAAATAAACATTTATCATGTGTGTATATATGCACATATATATAAACATTTATGTGTATATAAGTGTGTACACATACACAAATATTTATATGATGTTTCAGTCATCATACGACCAAAACATACGATGTTTCGATGAACAGCATATACCATAGTGATTTCATAAGATTATAACACAGCATATACACAAATATGATATATGGCACTTGATATTGGCATAGCAGATCAAGTAGGGATTGATATTCAGTAATTGTGCTGGGACATTTTGTTTTCCATATTTTAAAAAGTATATAAATTTTTTAAAATGTCATCTAGTTTGTGCATTTACCCTGTCATATTTGCACGGCAGTAAAACCTCCTGCTGGTGTATTTCTCTAAGCATATCCCCATTGTTACGTGACAAATGACTTTATATATGGAGAATAGAACAGAAGGTCTCTAGATTAAAAGACACTGAGCATAGTTGAGGACAAGAGGGACTAAATAAAAATACACTAAATACGGCCAGGCACAATGGCTTACGCCTGTAATCACAGCACTCTGGGAGGCTGAGGTGAGGAGTTTGAGCCTGGGAGTTTGAGGCTACAGTGAGCTATGATCATGCCACTGCACTCCAGCCTGGACAACGTAGCGAGACTTTGTCTCTACAAAAACTTTAAAAAGTACTAAATATCATGAAATACCTCTCCAAGCCTTTACCCCTACTTGGCTCCTAGGATACTGACAGCCTTGCTTACGTTATACTCTCTAGAGTGGTATAATATGGGGAATATGATTAACTCAAGAAAAAAAAAAAAGATACAGACTTTAGACCTCCAATTAAACAGCCCAATCAGATCATCCTGTAGTGAGGCTCAGAGTTGGCAAGCTTCATACATACACGGTTTCTAGTCATTGTAGAGATCCACTCTGAAGGGTGAGCAGCAGTTAAAGATGATAGACATCTGACCCTCTATATAGACCTAAATAAATAGGAAAAAGCAACTTGAGGCCGGGCATGGTGGCTCAGGCCTGTAATCCCAATACTTTGGAAGGCCGAGGCTGGATGATCACTTGAGGTCAGGAATTTGAGACCAGCCTGGCCAACATGATGAAACCCCATCCCTACTGAAAATACAAAAATTAGCTGGTTGTGGTAGCGGGCACCTGTAATCCCAGCTATTCAGAAGGTTGAGGCATGAGAATCGCTTGAACCTGGGAGGTAGAGGTTGCAGTGAGCCGAGATCGTGCCACTGCACTCCAGCCTGGGTGACAGAATGACATTCTGTCTCAAAAAGAAAAAAAAAAAGGAAAAGAAAAAGCAACTTGAATGAAATGGAGATAATACAGAGAGATACGAACTTATAAAAATCATTAAGCATATCCTTAAAGAGATAAAAGATAATACTGTAGCCATGAACAAAAACAAGAAGGTGTAAAAAGGTAAACATTCAGAGAACTAGAAACAGCACTTGGAAATAAACACATCATGGCGGGGAAAAGAAAAAAGAAAAACCAAAGAGTTGATAATAGGCCAGGTGTGGTGGCTCATGCCTGTAATCCCAGCACTTGGGAGGCCAAGGCAGTGGATCACCTGAGGTCAGGAGTTCAATAGCAGCCTGACCAACATGGTGAAACCCCATCTCTACTAAAAATACAAAAATCAGCCAGATGTGGTGGCAGACACCTGTAATTCCAGTTACTTGGGAGCCTGAGTCATGAGAATCACTTGAACCCGAGAGGCAGAGGCTGCAGTGAGCCAAGATGTGCGCCATTGCACTCCAGCCTGGGGGACAAGAGTGAGACTCCATCTCAAAAAAAAAAAAAAAAAAAAGAGGAGTTGATCAAGTTGAAATATTTCAGAAACTAGAGCAAGTATAGAAATAGATGTGACTGGGTGCTGTGGCTCACGCCTGTAATCCCAGCACTTTGAGAGGCCAAGGCAGGTGGATCACAAGGTCAGGAGATTGAAACCATCCTGGCTAACATGGTGAAACCCTGTCTGTACTAAAGATACAAAAAATTAGCCGGGTGTGGTGGTGGGCACCTGTAGTCCCAGCTGCTTGGGAGGCTGAGGCAGGAGAATGGCGTGAACCCGGGAGGTGGAGCTTGCAGTAAGCCAAGATCGCACCATTGCACTCTAGCCTGGGCGACACAACAAAACTCTGTCTCAAAAAAAAAAAAAAAAAAGAGATGCAAGAGTGAAAAAAACAAAAACAAAAACATAGAGGATCATCAGTTCAGGACACCCTCTGTCCAAGTAATAGGATTCCCAGAAAGAACAGAAAAATACTGGAGGATAATCATCAAAGAAATAATTTTAAAAAATCTCCCAGAACTGAAGAACGTCAGTTTCCAGATTGAAAAGGCCCATCAAGTGGCTAACTCAATAGATGAAAATAACCCACACCATGGCAAATTGCTGTAAAAACAGAACACTGGGAACAAAGAGAAGATCCTAAAAGCTTTCAGCAAGAATGGGAAAAGGGTCACATACAAAGGATCAGGGATTGGAATGGCATTAGATTTTTAAAGGCTAACACTGAAAATTAAAAGACATGGAGGCTGGGTGCCATGGCACATGCCTCTAATCCCAGCACTCTGGGAGGCCAAGATGGGCAGATCCCTTGAGCTCAGGAGTTTGAGACCAGCCTGGGCAACATAGTGAGACCCCATCTACAAAAAAAAATTTAAAAATTAGCCAGGTGTAGGTACATGCCTGTAGTCCAGCTACTTAGGAGGCTGAGGCAGGAGGGTTGCTTGAGCTCAGGGGATCAAGGCTGTAGTCAACCATGATTGTGCCACCACTGCACTCCAGCCTGGGCTATAGAGTAAGACCCTGTCTCAAAAATAAAATACGACAATGGAACAATGCCTTAACCCCTGAGGAAGAATTATTTTCAACCTGGAATTCTATATCCTGCCAAACTATCAATAGTGTGAGGAAAGATTAATAACTTTTTAAAAATAATTTCAACTTTTATTTTATCTTTTTTTTTTTTTTTTTTTTTTTGTGACGGAGTCTCGCTGTTGCCCAGGCTGGAGTGCAGTGGCGCGATCTCGGCTCACTGCAGGCTCCGCCCCCCAGGTTCACGCCATTCTCCTGCCTCAACCTCCCGAGTAGCTGAGACTACAGGCGCCCGCCACCTCGCCCAGCTAATTTTTTGTATTTTTAGTAGAGACGGGGTTTCACCGTGTTAGCCAGGATGGTCTCTATCTCCTGACCTCGTGATCCACCCGCCTCGGCCTCCCAAAGTGCTGGGATTACAGGCATGAGCCACCACGCTCGGCCCTATTTTATCTTATTTGAGAGAAATCTCATTCTGTCACCCAGGCTGGGTGCAGTGGCACCACCATGGATCACTGCAGCCTTGACCCCCCAGGCTCAAGCAATCCTCTCACCTCAGCCTCCCGAGGAGCTGGGTCTACAGGCACATACCACCACACCTGACTAATTTTTAAATTTTTTGTAGAGACAGTGTCTCACTCTGTTACCTAGGCTGATCTCAAACTCCTAGACTCAAGTGATCCTCCTCTCTTGGCCTCTCCAAGTGCTGGAATTACAGGCAAGAGCCACCATGCCCAGCCCAACTTTTATTTTAGATTCGGAGGGGGGTACCTGCGCAGGTTTGTTACATGGGTATATCACATGATTCTGAGATTTGGGATACTGTTGAACCCATCACCCAGGAAGTGAGCATAGTACCCAACAAATAATTTTTCAATCCTTGCCCCCACCTCTCTCCCTCCTCCAACAGTCCCCAGTGTCTATCATTACCATCTTTATGTTCATATACCCAATGTTTAGCTCCCATTTATAAGTTAGAACATGCAGTATTTGGTTTTCTGCTCTTGCATTAATTCACTTAGGATTATAGCCTCCAGTTGCATACATGTTGCTGCAAAGGACATGATTTCATTATATCTTATGGATGTGTAATAACATTTTAAAACATGCAAAGCTTCAATAAATTTACCTCTTATGCCAACTTTCTCAGGATGCTACTAGAGGGAAAGAACCATTCACCCAAATGAAGGAGTAAATGAAAAAAGAAGATATGGAATCTAAGAAACGAGGGATCCAGCTAAGGAAAGAGGCAAAGGAATTACCAAGATGATAATGGAGGGAGATCCCTGGAGGGCAATTGTGCAGCAAGGACAGATGGAAGCAGAGCAGAGGGCTCCTTAAGAGATGCCTCTCAGAAGATGGAATAGATAGAACGTGTCATGCATTCAAAAGCCTGGAGAGGGAAATTCAGAGAATTGAGGGAGTGTTTGAGGTTGACTTGCTGATAACTACATAGCAAACTAGGCAATATAATAATAATAATAATTCTAAGGATAAAATGTTGTAAGAAATAAAAAGTAACTATAGTAAACTACATGGCTTAGCTGTGAAGAGCATTTCCAAATCCTAATAAAGTAAACACTGAGTAATTTTATTGCCTATTAGGAGGATGGAAGATGGGAAGGGTATCTGTATGGCAGGGGAGTGGGGAGTGGGATGAAAGTTAAATCCTGCCTGGGCGTGGTGGTTCACGCCTTGTAATCCCGGCACTTTGGAAGTCCAAGGTGGGCAGATTATTTGAGGTCAGGAGTTTGAGACCAGCCTGGCTAACCTGGTGATGCCCTGTCTCTACTAAAAATACAAAAATTAGCCAGGCGTGGTAGGTGATACTTGTAATCCCAGCTACTCAGCAGGCTGAGGCAAGAGAATCGCTTGAACCCTGGAGGCGGAGGTTGCAGTGAGCTAAGATGGCGCCATTGCACTCCAGCCTGGGCAACAAGAGAGAAACTCTGTCTCAAAAAAGAAAAAAGAAAGTTAAGTCCCTAATCTTATATAGTGTGGGAAATCAATAGAAAATGCCTGAAATTTAAATACCAAGAAATAGCAATATAAATATGGAGATTAGGAGGTAAATACCAAAATAAACAACTAAATAAATAATAATAGTTGTTTCTGGGAAGTAGGACCAGGATGGGAGAACTGTTCATGTTCATAATCTTGTGGAACTGTTTGCCTCTTTAATCTCTGTGCATCTGTTACTTTGATTAGAAATAAAACTGGGCTGGGTGTGGTGGCTCACACCTGTAATCCCAGCACTTTTGGAAGAATTGCTTTGAGCCTAGGAGTTTGAGACCAACCTGGGCAACAAGGTGAGACCTTGTCTGTACAAAAAATAAAATTAGCCAGGTGTGGTGCACGCCTGTGGTCTTAGCTCCTTGGGAGGTTGAGGTGAGAGAATCGCTTGAGACCAGGAGATGGAGGCTGTAGTGAGCCATGACTGTGCCACTGCACTCTAGCCTGAGTGACAGAACAAGACCCTGTCTCAAAAAATAATAATAAAAGTAAAACTAAATAAAACTAGTTTTAAAAAGTCATTTGTGGCAGCACCTTGGGTTCACAGAGCAGAATGCTAGAGGCGAAACTATAGAGATGGGCGAGAGCCACATGTTACAGGCTTTTGAATGCCAGTTGCTAAAATGTTTAGATTTCATTCTCTAAGAGGAGGGCGGAGTTCCCTGCTATTGTAGATGTTCGGATTCGGCACTCTCTAAGAGCAGTGCAATGCCTATAAAGGCTCTTGAGCAGGGAGAGACAGGTTCAGACTTGTGCTTAGGGAAGGTAACAGTGCATCTGAGCTGGAACGGACGCTTGAGATTACCCTGTAAGTCAAATTTACTTCCAGTACAGACAGGTAGACTGGTGTGTACAGGCAAGAAGGCCTGAATGCCCAGCCAGTGGGATTCTGATCCTTCTAAGCTCTGGCCAACCCTTTCCCCTCTCGGTGGCTGCTACCAATGCCCTGAAAAGACTAGGGAACCAGGTTAGCTCTCTTTATTCCCCAGCTCCTGCCTCCTTTTGGCCCAATCTACTTCCTGATTAACACCCTATCTTGCTATTCTTTGTTTCTATGTCTTTCTGGTGAATATGGGCAGGCTCAATAGTCAGTACCCTGTGGCTGGGCATGGTGGCTCATGCCTGTAATTCCAGCACTTTGGGAGGCTGAGGTGGGCGGATCACCTAAGGTCAAGGGTTTGAGACCAGCCTGACCAACATGGTGAAACCTGTCTCTACTAAAAATACAAAATTAGCTGGGTGTGGTGGTACACGCCTGTAATCCCAGCTAATTGGGAGACTGAGGCAGGAGAATCGCTTGAACCCAGGAGGCGGAGGTTGCGGTGAGCTGAGATCGCGCCATTGCACTCCATCCTGGACAACAAGAGCGAAACTCCATTTCAAAAAAAAAAAAAAAGAAGTACCCTAAATATGAAGTTCAAAGCTTAATAGGATTGGATTTTAATACTTAACATTTACTGAGACCTTCCTCTGTGCTAGGCACTGTGCTGAGTACTTAATAGACAGCATTTCAGAATCCTCACAGCTACCCTGTGAGGTAAGTGATTTAATCCTGTTTTACAAACAAAGAGACTGAGGCTCAAAGAAGATATGTCTAATCAGTGGTAGAGCTGAAATGTTAGGCAGCAGTCTGTCTGCTTCTGAAGCCTACACTGCAAGCCGTTATAATTCCATCCGTCTTAAAGTGAAACATGGTTGGCTGAACCACAAGGTAGTGGCCTGTGGAAACGCTGGGGAAACCCATGCCCCAGAACTGGGACTAATTCCTTCTCCCACTCCCCCAGGCTTACCTGCGAGCCATCGATGTGAAGATCCTGCAGCAGCTGGTGACCTTGAATGAGGGCATCGAGGCAGTGCGCTGGCTGTTGGAGGAGCGGGGGACGTTGACCAGTCATTGCAGCAGCCTCACCAGCAGTCAATATAGCCTGACAGGCGGGAGCCCAGGCCGCTCAAGGCGAGGCAGCTGGGACAGCCTGCCAGACACCAGCACCACCGACCGGCTGGACAGTGTCTCTATTGGCAGCTTCCTGGACACAGTGGCCCCCAGCGAGCTGGATGAACAGGGCCCACCTGGGGCTCCACGTTCCGAGATGGACTGGGCAAAAGTTATAGCTGGTGGAGAGAGGGCCAGGACTGAGGTGGATGTGGCAGCCACCAGGCTAGGGAGCTTGAGAGCTGTGTGGAAGCCCCCAGGGGAGAGGCTTCAAGGTGGACCACCTGAGTCACCAGAGGATGAGAGTGCCAAGCTGGGCTTCGAGGCCCACTGGTTCTGGGAGCAGTGCCAGGATGATGTGACCTTCTTGTAACAACTATTCCACCCTTTTGTAATCCTGTGGCTCTTTTATCCATTAGATGTGGTCTCCCCCAAAATTGATTCTCCCTCAGTCTGAGACTAGGAAGAGGCTGCACTGAAATCAGTTACCATGGAAACCTGGCTCATCATTTCTCTAGTCCCTAGGGAGTCTCTGCCTTTATCCCTCAATTATTGGGTCCCTAGAGCTAGCTTGCTCTTTCTTTCTTTCTTTCTTTTTTTGAGACAGGGTCTTATGCTGTTACCCAAGATAGAGAGCAGTGGCATGATCACAGC